>NT_167249.2:3446689-3754881 GCF_000001405.40 Homo sapiens | reverse complement strand
GTTCATTGGATAAAGAAGTAAAGTTCTTAAACAAACAGGACAACAACAACAACAAATCAAGTATTTAAGACTGTTAGTCAATCACGGACAGACTCTTTAACCCCAATCTGACTTCTAGACAGGGATATACCTGAAGCACATTAGTGAGAATAGAATCAATGGAAACACCTAAAGTGAGAGCTAAATACAGATCATATGTCTGTGCAATGACAGTTGGAGAGTTTGCGTAAGGGACAATAAATTACCCAAATAGAAGGTAAATTGTCAGGCCATGGAGATTGTCTGAATTTTGGCAGTACTGAGGACATAGCTTCACTAAAGAAGCTCTTTCATGCTTCTTGGAGTCCTAGACTTCAAGATGATCAACTCAGGCCAAGAGCTTGGGATGGCTGGCATTGTATCTCATTTAGAGAAAATGAGAGGAGAAACTCTGAGGTTCAACACTCTCAACACTGGAGAAGGATGAAAGGCTGTATCTTGAAACACAGGTAGTAGTTAGTGGAAATAGTGGGCTGTAAAGGAGCTACCTTCTTCTCATCTCTACCATCTTATATATGACAAGAGATTGGAGTTGACTAATGGACACACCTCATTTGAGGATTCAGGTCAATGAATATGAGAGAGTATAGTGGGCAAAGCCTATTCTTTTTTTTTTTTTTTTTTTTAGACAGAGTCTTGCTCTGTCGCCCAAGCTGGAGTTGGTGGTGTGATCTCAGCTCATTGTAATCTCCGCCTCCCGGGTTCAAGCGATTCTCCTGCCTCAGCCTCCTGAGTAGCTGGGATTACAGGCGCCCACCACCATGCCCGGCTAATTTTTGTATTTTTAGTAGAGACGGGGTTTCACCATGTTGGTCAGGCTGGTCTCAGACTCCTGACCTCGTGATTTGCCCGCCTTGGCCTCGCAAAGTGCTGGGATTACAGGCATGAGCCACCGCACCCAGCTGGCAAAGCCTATTCTATTGGGAACGTTAGAGATAATAACTCACAGAACGGCTTTAATATTCCTTCCCTCATGTCATAAGATTATGAAAGTTTTTCTCTTGTCATATGATTATTAAAGATCTGCTCTAAAGAATATATTTTGATGTTCAACATAGACAGTCCTGAAAATTAGGAGACTTCGACTCTCTTGTTTCTGAAGATACAGTGTTATGAAAAGGAGAATGTTAAGTTCTTTCCACAGAAAGGACTGGAATACAAATACTTCCATGAAGAGTGACCTGGCAGTGAGGGAGCCCATCGGATGGTGAATCCATTGTTTTTTTTGTTGTTGTTTTGTTTTCGAGACGGAAGTCTTGCTCTGTCGCCCAGGCTGGAGTGCAGTGGCACGATCTCGGCTCACTGAAAGCTCTGCCTCCTGGGTTCACGCCATTCTCCTGCCTCAGCCTCCCGAGTAGCTAGGACTACAGGCGCCCGCCACCATGCCCGGCCAATTTTTTTTTTTTTTTTTTTTTTGTATTTTCAGTAGAGACGGGGTTGCACCATGTTAACCAGGATGGTTTTGATCTCCTGACCTCGTGATCTGCCTGCTTCTGCCTCCCAAAGTGCTGGGATTACAGGCATGAGCCACCGTGCCTGGCTGGTGAGTCCATTGTTCAACATCAGTCATGACATGTCTGCTTAGGGTGGATTTTCCATACTGTTGTGCTGGGGTCTTGTCCTGCCATGCAGCCGTTCTCACGAGTTATGAACACAAATATTCCATACATTACTGATTATCTGATCGCATCAAAGGGCTTTGAACACACTGTGGCATTAACTCCTAGATCGCTAGAAAGAGACCTACAGCATGGTCTCTCCTGCAATTTTCAGGAATACCTTTCCTGAAAGGTAAAGAGTCAGGAGAATGGGCCAGATGAGAGCCTATGGTATCAGTCTGTGCTAAGAGTCTGATCCTATGATTTAAGCTTGTCATCTCCTCTTTTAGAGGCAAAACCATGTATAATTTTCTATGTCTGCCCTTTGCTGGCTGCCATAATGCCTTGTTCTTAAATGGTGCTTGAGAAAAACATGGTAAATTCAAAGACATTTCATATATTATAATAGCATCTTCAATCCAAGTTGTTGCTCAGCAACTTATGACACTGTTTAGTCCTAGAACACTGATTGGTTCTTCTTGTGAGATTACTAAATTTGGGAGACTTGAGAAATGACTTTCAGTTCCCTTTCTCTGTGATAGGAGAGAAGTTCCTATTTGGACAGTGCTCATGGTTCTCCGTTTTCTTTCAAACTCTAATTTCCTGTGTGTTTGAGGGAATTTCCAAAGGCACCTGAATGAGGACTTCTTGGTGATGTCAAATGGTGACGAGCCACTATAGCCATGAGAATTCAGTCAAGAAATAGGAATCCCTGTAATCAGTCTAAGCAGAACTGAATATATTACAGGGAATTAGCCCTTAAAACTGTTAGGGGGTCTGGAGGAGCACAAGTCACTGCAGACCCCTAATTTTAAAAGATCAGGAACCCACAGGAAGCTTCTGCTGATGTTGCAGATCCTCTAGAGCCCCTAGGAGTAAATGTCTTTAGAACACAAGGCTGCTGCCAAAACTCATGTCTGTGAAACCTGTCCCTGAGATGGCTGTGGCCTAACTTCCACCTCCCAAATCTCATAATACTGAGTTTCACTGGAGAAATGTATTCCACGTTCAGAAACCTGGGGCAGAGCAAGCCTGAGAGATGTAATATTCTTACATCTATTCCCAAAGATACAGACAGGATCAGAGAAGCAAATGGAAATTTTACAAAAATTACTAAATGCAAATATGTGTGTCTATGTTTGTGTGTATATCCACCATAGATCACTCTGGTTCTCCCCACAGTGCCAAGTCTAAAACCAGAGGACATATTCTTCTGGAGAAATAAGTTAGGGCTTTCACACTGGGCCCAGATCAAGTCTGGGACCTCAATACTTCATTTGTTTGTGTGGTTTGAATTCTGAGAACCTCCAGCCCCTTCTTTTAGCTTCCCTTCCACCACCCCCTACCCCCTTTTCCTTCTGCACTAAGGGTCTTCATGGTGTTTTTCTCCTACTAAGGACTTCCTACCAGAGGTGCTGAGGGAATATTGATCTAGGTATTTCCTTCTCAATTCACTACATAAGAAGCTTTTCTTGTGTTACTTTTTCGCATCCTGAGAGGTCACAGAAGCTGGTCTGCTGGAATAGATCCCTATCAGAATAAAAACTGTGAACTGTTGATATCAACAAATGCACTAGGACGTTAACAAATGTGCTAGGGCAGTGGGTTAATGGGCCTTCCTAGCATGTCCTGTGTTAATAGAGGGCTCCACGATGACTGGACTCATCTTTAACCTGGGAGGATGGCAGTTTGAGTTTGATTCATTCTCTCTTCACCTCTACCTGAAACCTGATGCTTTAAAGACCAGAGTTATCTTTATACAGACCTCCTGAGGTGTGAAATTACCCCTCTTTACTTGAGTAGTCTTTGTAAATTAGAAAATGCATGCAGGTAGGGGTGTGTGTGTGTGTACGTGTGCACACTTAGAAACTTTGAATCCACATCTCAGAATATTTTCCTGCCGGCCAACTACAAGTTTCATTGCTATAACTTGAGAACCTGTAGTCAGATTGTTCTATAATTCTCTGTGTTCTTGTCTGTTCTAAATGGCACAAGCTAAGTCTTATAATTGAGAGACTCTGAAGGAAAAGATTAGCTTGACCAATCACCAAAGAAGTCTAAGGGTAGTTGTCTCTAATAGCTGCCCCCATACAGCCAGTCCATGGCTTGATTCACTCACTCAACATCTCCTGTTCCTTAGAAATTCTGGCAATTTGTTTTCAGAGTTCCTTCCATCTCTATCATATTGGCCACTCCGAAGTCAGCACAGAGAATTAGGATATAGGACATTCTGTTGCTCTCATCTTCTCATCTTTGTTCTCATCTTCTGAAAAAACGCATGTCCTCACCTGTGAATCCTTTCTTAGCTATTCTTCCAGGAATAGGGAATGATTTTACTCAATCATCCATGTAAAACAGAGACCAGAAACTTCATTTAGACATTATGTTCTGTTGCATGAGTAAACTATGGAATCTCATCAAGGTCAGAATGATTTTATAGAATTCAGATGTGTTTGTATGCATACGTGTGTGTGTGTGTGTGTGTGTGTGTGTGTGTGTCTGTGTGTTGAAGGAGGAGAATTAGGAAAGTATCAATTTCAATCAATCTAATTCATATAATTTTTTAATTTACTCAATTGTTTAAATACTATTTGATCCTATTCTTTATTTAAGGTACTTTCTTTTGTTTATTTTTTTAAAACATCTGAAGCATACAAATGTAATTGCTAGGTTGGATAAGCACTAAATGGAATCTTTAATCAAACAAAAACTCATTGTGCCTGCTCTTGCCTCTTTAGAGAATTTCATTAGAGATGCTATTCCCCTGCGCTTGGGTAGGAATTATAGCATACTTCATGAATTATTTTCTTGATTCTAATTAATATGCTATTCTACAATTCCCTTAAATTGCACAAGTATATCTTAGTTCAGCAATTAGATTGTTTGGTACTATATAATAATTGAAAGTCCCAACTTGATTTAATATAAATCTCTTTCTATCCCTGTGTAAATTGTTGAAGGCAGGAATGAGTGTGGTTCTCCTTCCTTCTTATGTTCTACTGGCACTTTGAGGCCATAGCTCATCTAGGGTAGGTTCAGGGAAGGGGAGGAAGAGAAAAAGACCAGAAACGTCTTACTGGAAATGAAATATTTGTGTTCTCTGCGCCTGGATGATGTTCCAAGTAAAGCTTTTCTCTTGTGCAAGGTTTGGTAGGCTCTTCAGATTCCTTCATGGCCCGTGTCTGGTGTATAGGGAACACTAAAACATTCTTTGTGTCCACAAACTCTGGGAGTGTGACCATTCCCAATGCATCACAGTTTCCAAGATCCAATACCAACTAGTCCATATACCCTGCCCTTTAGGATTCTGATGGAAGCAGAAGCCAATCCTATCATCTTCAACCACCCAACTTCATATCAAGTAGAGGAAACTCTTGGTCCCCCTAGAAAACAATTTCACTAAATTCCAGGCAAGTAGGTTGGTCCCTTTCCCACATACGCCGGGAGTAGATGATAGAATTCATAGTAAAGAGCAGATCTATTCAAGGATATCACAAATCTGCTTCATCCTATACTCTCTGACCACCCTTTGGTCAGTAGAGAGACAATAACAGAAACTTGTTTGTCCCATCATTCCTTATTTACTTATTTATTTTATTCTACTTTAAGTTCTGGGATACATGTGCAGAACATGCAGGTTTGTTACATAGGTATACGTGTGCCGTGGTGGTTTTCTGCTCCCATCAACCCGTCATCTAGGTTTTAAGCTCCTCAAGCACTAGGTATTTGTCCTAATGCTCTCCTCCCCTTGCCCCCCACCCCCCCCAACAGGCCCCTGTGTCCATGTGTTCTCATTGTTCAACTCCCACTTATGAGTGAGAAAATTCAGTGTTTGGTTTTCTGTTCCTGTGTTATTTTGCTGAGAATGATGGTTTCCAGCTTCATCAATGTCCCTGCAAAGGACATGAACTCATTCTTTTTCATGGCTGCATAGTATTCCATGGTGTATATGTGGCACATTTGCTTTATCCACTCTATCTTTGATGTGTTTTCCCCATCATTTCTTTATGAATTCTGCAAAAGAGGTGAACAACAGTCTCGCATGTCCATAAATAGATATCTGTGTTAATGGCCTCTTAGCTGATACTGAGGAAAGACCACAAACATTGAAAACAAAACAACAAACATATGAAAAAGTATAAATCATGGTCATTGTCTGTTACTGGTCACATAGACATAATTATAACACGGTTTAGGAAATGGAGGCAGAACTGGCCATTTCAGCTGTGTTTCCTAGTCCAGTTTTCTTACAAGGTAATGGAGAAGAGTGTGCATATAACATGTTTTTTGTTAGATTAAGCATCACTCTGTTAAGGAATAAACTTGAGTTACTTTCAATCACTTTTAAGGATGCTGCTCTTTTTCCCAAAGTAAAATTGATATTTGAGGCCTCAGTAAGTTCCATGTTATGTCCAATTATTTAGCATTACAGTGTCTGTCTGCTTCCAAGTGACTAAAGACTTTTACTCTTGGCCATGTGCCACATAACTGAAGATTATTCTTTCAGGTGAAAGTGGCAGGATTTCTATAAGACCCTTAAGAGGCTTTTCCTTTAGTTAGAAGGGAATTTAGGGACTGGAGTTCTGAGAACTGGCCATGTCCAGACAATAGTGCCCCCAGATGACAGTCATTTCTGCCACCTTTTCTCTGGACATATGCAGCATTATTTGGAAATCTTTTTTCATTAAGCATGATCTGTGCTCATTTCTGAAGATCATAAGAATGTCTATGTAGCAGTCTTTTTCTACTCTTAATTCTTTTCTAAAAGGTATAATTGAGAGTAAGAAACAAAAAACTAGAAGACGGTTTATTTAAGGTACATGGTTAGCAATCATAGTAAAGGAGCTGAGTTCTAAACATGTAAAACACTTACTGTAGTGAAGTTAGGAAGACAAGGAGTGTGAAGATGAGAAGTTAGAAGTGTGGAGAAGGAATCACTAGAGCCTCCTGATAAGAAAGATGGTAGAAAATGATTTTTTAAAGTACTTAAGTAGGTAAGATTTCAAATCCAAATGTCATGAATGAGTGAAGGAAATTTTCACAAAAAATAGAAGTCATGAGAAGAAGGTGGCTCTTGTTCACACTAAGTATAGCATGGGTCAAGCACAGAATGTAAGAGGGGAATTAGTTCTCACAATAAAATAGAAGAGAATATAAGTGGCTAAATGGCATCTAAAAAATAAACCATTCCAAGACTTAAGCTAATACAGATGGTCTCTGACTTATAATTTGGCTTATGATTGTTCAACTTTATGATGGGTTTATTGGTGTATTAAATGCATTTTCAGCTTAAGATATTTTCAAGTTATAATGGGTTTATTGGGACATAACCCTATTGTTAAGCTGGAGAGCATCTGTACACGAGCAGTGGTCCATGCTGCAAAATGTTTTTTAAAAACCAATAGTGAGGATAGAGAATAAACTATTTTAGGTTTCTGAGATTACTTAGGAACTTTGAACCTTTAAGGTAGAAAGAAAGGTGAGAAATATGCCAGAAGACTGTTACTGCTTTCACTGAAATTCTTTTTTGGGGTCCAGTTTCTTTTTACCAATTGAAAATACTACTGCTATGACTATGACACTAAAGCTTACTTATATTTATTAGATAATAGTTGTATTTCCATTTTACCTGAGAAAACTGGGTTTAAAGAAATCTAGTCTTTTGGTCAAGGGCTTACTTAGAAAGTGGCAACTGTGATTTTCTAAATCAAGTCTCTATCTCTGTAGCCAATAATATGTGGAGTCCAAGAACCAGTCCACTCAAAACACTAAAACCACTCATACCACAAACATATCCTTGGGTAGGGATGATGGTTGGTTTTTTCTTGTATACTATGTTTATATGTGACTATTTCAAAAGTTCTCAGGACACATATTTTTCCCTTGATTTTCTAATTTATAGTATAACTGGGACTAGGTTTCCCTCTTGTGGTCAACAGTGTTTAATTCTTCATAAGTGTTTTTGACATTGAGTATTCAGACACCTTATGAAAGATCAAGGATTTCTTAAGTCAGGATGCTTCAACTAATTTTTTTCTTATGTGCATATTCAAAGTGTGTTTGATTTAATTAGGTCACTTAAATGGTTTGTAATTTTATTTATAAAATTACTTATAAAATATTTAAAACTTATAAAAATATTTAAAGTCTTTTTATAAGTATTACCATGCCTTTTTTGAATAAGCACACAAAATATAGGATGTACTTCTTTTAAATAATTTGAAGGTTGAAATAATGTCTTAAAACGGACAAAATTAACTGTATTTCATTTTGAATCTTGTGGATAAATGCTTTATAACACCCTTTCTACTTCTCCATGATGTATTTAATCTTAGGCTAATTTTCTAGCTGTTTTCTGGAAACCTGATGGAGGAAGAATGTCAGCTGGATTTTTAGACAACATTGCTTATGGCACAAATGGCTTCTGGTTGGCATTTTGTATCTTTACTGGGAAGAATATTTCATGAACCGTAACAAATGACGGGGACCCATAGTTTGGGTATTTCCAAATGCAGTGACCCTTGTAACTGAGCATGCCCTTTACAGGGACTCTGGAAGCTGTGCCCATGGGTTTGTTATAAGAGGTACTAGCTCGTAGATGACATGAGGATTCTAAGCTAGGGTGGACACAACTTCTACAGGTGTAAATTCAGCTCCTTGTACCTGAGTTGTCACTTGGGGGATGGGGGCAGAGTATGAAACTAGCACCTGGAATAAATTATGGACTGTTTCAAGAACTTCTCCCACTGAAGAAAAAGACCTGATTCAGCACTTTGGCATACTTTGACTTCTGTCTAATATCCTTCTAAGTGAATCTGAGAGCCAGGTGTGGCCTATGGTAAAAACTTGAATATGAGTATTTAGTTAAACCTGAGAATACTCCCTGCCCCCGGGTATTGATACATCGGCAATTTTCATTTTATGTCTTTTTTTTATGTGTATATGTCATATGGTATATGTGTATACATAGGAGATACACACACACACACGCACATTTCCCATATTTTGGGAAAAAATTTGCATATTTTTTATGGCTTTAACATAATTAATAGTTTTAGTCTTGTTTTATTTTTGTTACCAAATTAACTCTAAGGATAGATTATATGTTTATTTAAGGATCTAAGGATAGATGTATAATATTTTAATATATGACAAAAACATATTTTAAAAAATATGGTGAGAGATTTCTGGTTCTAAGACAAGTTGAAGTAGGTACAATTCTTCCTATTCCTCCTGCTAAGTACAGCTACAGACAGACATAAAAAGCCCTTGAATGATGGAGAGGAGAAGCAGGTTGGCCTCAGACCATGGGATTTGGGAATGACAGAGTGGTGAGTTTCATAGGTCTTCTTTCTGCCTAATATATCCAGGAATGAGTGCTGGAGAAACTGGAAAACAGGAAACATCAGTAGTCACAGACAAAAATATCCTAAGGAAAGCATGTTTCTCTATCCAAGGGAACAAGAAAGAGCAGCCTACCAGGCAGATAACTGACAGTAACCGCACTACTCCAGTCAAATACAGAAAAATCAGGGGCTTCCATCCCGCCTCAGTCAGCAAACACTGAGTGAGGAGCTTTGTCTTATCCCATTGCCTGGCGATAATGAGACACTACCTAGACCCATCAGGCTTATGTCAGAGGAAGCCAACTGGGGACCTAGGACTTTTGCCCCTGCTTATCAGTAATCAGCCACCTCCACACTGTGGTGTTAGTGAAGCCCATGTGAAGAGCCTGGACTTCCACCTGCCCTGTTGCAAGGAAGCACTCCTCACCCACTTTGCCAAGGTGTTGTCAGAGGAGGCCAAGTAGAAAGCTGGGACTTTCACCACTGTCCAGGTGTAAGGAGGCACTTCTCCCTTCCTGGTGTCAGTAGAGGCCATGTGGGAGCGCTGATGAGACCCTCTCCCTCCCAGTCAGGATTCTGTAAGTGGAGGCCTAGTGGGGAGCCTGAGTTTCTATACCCAGCCTGCAGCCACAAGGCACCCCTGCCAGAGAGCCTTCAGTTCTAAGTTCACCAGGAATTGAACCTGTCAGCATCTTGATCTTGGACTTCCCAGCCTCCAGGACTGTGAGAAACACAGAGCGTCCTCCTATAGCATTGTTTTGTTCAACGTTTTGTTACAATGTTGGTGAGAAAATAAATAGGTTCCTGGCCAGGGCCACTGTCCATGAGGAGTTTGTGTGTTCTCCCCACGTCCGCATGGGTTTTCTTTGTGTATTTGAGTTTTATCCCACATCCCAAAGACATGCATGTTAGGTTAATTGGTGAGTCTAAATTGTCCCAGCAGAGTGACTTTGTGTGTGTGTGTGTGTGTGTGTGTGTGTATATGTGTGTGTGTGTCTGCATCCCACAATGGATGGGATGGCATCCTATACAAGGTTGGTTCCTCTCTTGTCCTTGAGCTGCCGGGATAGGCTCCAGTCATCCATGACCTTGAACTGGAATAAGCAGGTTGGAAAATGAATAAGCGAATGAATAGAAATGTTTCTAAAATAAACATTTGTAAAGTACATGATATTCATACAACTGTACAATAGTAAACAATGGGGTACAAAAGTACTCAGTGAGTTCAACGTATTTGTTCTTCTTTGCGTTTGAGCTGTGTGGTGGCAGGAGGTGCTCCTTACCATTTTCCTTTTACAAACATTTGTTCCTTAATGTAACCCACCACCACTGTGACCACCATCACTCACTAATTCACCAAAAACTGGATAATTAATTATCTTACTTGTTATTATAAACCTACCTTAAATGTATATATAGTTCCCATTTATTTTAATGTTTAATATTAGAAGTGTTCTGAGTCTTTATTTAGGAGTTTGGTGATGTGTTTGTGACCAGAAATAAGCCACAGGAACTTAAATCTTGTTCGCATCAATTAGCCCAGGGGTTCCCAACCCCTGGGCCACAGACCACTAATGGCCTGCTGTCAGATCAGCAGAGGCATTGGATTCTCACAGGAGTGCAAACTTTTGTGAACTGTATTGTGGACTGCGCATGCGAGGGATCTAGGTTGTGCCATCCCACTCCCTGCCACCGCTAGTCCCCAACCCCCATCCATGGCAAAATTTTCTTCCACAAAACCAGTCCCTGGTGCCAAAAATGTTGGGGATCGCTGAATTAGCCTATGGTCAAATTAGTTTTATTATATGTCATTTTGCTTAAAGTCACAGCTTCTAAGAACCTATTGATGATGTTAAGTGAGGACTTTGTCTGTTGTTTAATCTACTCCATCTGAGTGTCAATGGAGCCAAGTAGAGGACATGGAATTTCACATCATCTGGCAGTTTTGGGGTGAGAGTTACATATTTAAGTCAGTAGATTTTAAGTAAAGTACATTGCCCTCCATAACTGGGTTCCCCTCATTTAATCAGTTGAATGCCTGATTAGCATAAGAGGGAACTCTCCAACAGATTGTCTCAGACTCCATCTGCAATCCTGGTTCTTCCTGGTTCCACAGCAGACTACCTTTGGGCTCAAACTGCAACTCTGTCCCAGTCTCCTCCACTGCTGGCCTCTTCCATCAGAATTTGGACTCAGTAAGCTTCCACAATCATGTGAGCAAATTCTTTAAAAGAAGTATCTTTCTATATATACATATCCTGTTAGTACAACTGCTCTGGAGCACCTAATACAGATCCCAAGGGCATTATTCTGAGTACAAAATGCCAGTCTCGGAAGGTCACATATAGTATAATTCCATTTATATAACATTTTCTAAATGATAAAATTATACAGATGAAAATCAAATTAGTGGTTGGCACAGTGTAGGGATGGTGGGGGTGGGGGAATGGTGTGACTCTTAAGGAGGGCGAGTGGCATGAGGAAGATCTTCGTGGTGATGGAATATAGTTCTGTATTTTGATCACAGTGGTGGTTACATGAATCTACACATGTGATAAAGTAGAAAACTGCAAATACATTGTATCAGTGTCGATTTCCTTGTTTCGATATTGTGCTATAGTTATGTATGATGTAACCATTGGGGGAAACTGGGTGAAGGGTACAAGGGACCTCTCTGTACTATTTTCATCAACTCCTGTGAATGTATAATTATTTTGAAATTAACATTTAAAAATCATAAAGCATATTATCTAATTTTTTCTCTCAAACTTTAAACAAATCAATGTTTACCTTGTAAATCTTCTCTGCACTCCCAACAACATTGGATATTCTTTATTTGTAATTTTTTTTAAACTACAGACACACCTGACTTAAGATGGTTTGACTTAGGATTTTTTGACTTTTCAATGGTGTAAAAGCAATATCCATTCTGTATAAACCATACTTTAAATTTTGATCTTATTCCAGACCAGCGATACTAAGTAAGATACTCTTTCACAATGCCAGGCAGCCTCAGCCACATGATCATGAAGGTGAACAACTTATACTCTACACTTTCAACTCACAATATTTTCAATTTACAATGGATTTATTGGGAGTTAACCCCATCATAAGTTGAAGAGCATCTGTATTACATTTAAAAACCCAGGTTATTTTAAAATAGTTGCTTATATTTACATACTTACAAGATTATTCAGTCTAGCCCAGATTTACAAGGGGGAAAAAACACACTCAAGGTATTTTAAGCCCAGAGAGATGTAATACAGTGAAGTGCATTGCAAAAGTTTTGTAAGGACAGAAAAAGCAAAATTGTGCTTCCAAAGGTCAGGAACTGCAGGAAGCTACTATTGGCCCTGCAGCACTAAACAAACCCACACTCCTGGCAGCTGCTGCTACTTGCTGTCAGAAGCAGAATGACAGCAATTTTCCACTGCCTTCTAATCGCAAGTGAGTGCCTTCCTAAGAAAGGGACTCTGGAAGAAGTGGTGTCCAGGCTTCAACCCCAAGTGATATGGAAAAAAGCACAAAACAGGGGGAAATTGATTTAGTACCAACAGACAATATCTCCAACTTAAAATATCTTGAATATTTATTCCTGAATATATTACCCCTTTCTAATATCTCTCTTTGCATTCTCCTTATTTGTACTTACATATATATTTGATGAATTTTTAGCATTTTTAGTAATTTACTAAATCTATACTTAATAGAAATATTAAACCTAATATAATGTATAGCATTATCCGATATAGAAGATCTTAAATGTCATTAATTAAATGTTAGCCTCTTGGATTTTAATTTATATAAAGCTTAATAATGTGAAAATACATGAAGATCAACCAAATGAAAAGAGCAAAAATTATTCACAAATTGCTATAACAAAGGAGTCAGCCACCATCTTTTGCATTTTGGCAGAGACTCAAAGACAGGCAAAGAAGTAGGAAACTTTATAGTGGTTAAAAGGGACCTGATTGGAGGCTGTTGGCATGGGGAATGCTTAAGGGGTAACTGGAAGTGGAGTATCCTATGTAATTGGGTAGGATGCATATTTAGCTTTCCCTGGTTGGTCCTAAGTTGGAAGCAGGCACAAATATTGGGGGAACTGTCAGTTATTAATCAAGTCCTGGCCATTTTAAAACAATTGTTATAAAAGTTATTATTTAGCCTCCTGGATTGTTACTAGAGACAGCAATCTGACTTCCTGCAAGTCGGACTTAAGCAGACTACCTTGCTGTATTGTTTATTGAAGATAAGGGAATTGGTTCCCCAGGCAGGCTGCTGTAGGCTGTGGGTCAAAGGTCTATTTTTTTTTTTTTTTTTCTTAGATGGAGTCTTGCTCTGTCGCCAGGCTGGAGTGCAGTGGCACGATCTCAGCTCACTGCAACCTCCACCTCCTGGGCTCAAGTGATTTTCCTGCCTCAGCCTCCCGAGTAGCTGGGACTACAGCTGCGCGCCACCATGCCCAGCTAAATTTGTATTTTTAGTAGAGACAGGGGTTTCACCATGTTGGCCAGGATGGTCTTGATCTCTTGACCTCATGATCCATCCGCTTGGCCTCCCAAAGTGCTGGGATTACAGGCGTGAGCCACCATGCCCAGCCAGGCCTATTTTTATATATGGTCTGGCCATTGTCTGTTTCTATATCCAGTTTTTCAGAAAGCACAATTTAAAATCTTATTCTTTTTTCCACCACAGTATAAGATGCATTAGGGTCACAGTAGGACAAATTGTCCCACTGGCAACAACTACAAAAATAGGATAAAATTTTAAAGGTATATTTTTAAAAAGCATTGTTTAGCTAAGAAAGTAAATAGGACTAGATGAATAAAAATTCCAAAGAAGAACCATGCAAATGTAAGCTGACGTTTGGACATCACTGTTTCTCTTGGTAGCATTTGCTGTTTGCAAGTGTACGCTGCGTTTTAGTGCCATTTTTCTGCTACCGTTTTCTGCTGTAGAAAAGTTTTCTGCTACAATTTTCCTACAGTTTTCTGCTGTAAGAAAGAAATCAGCAGCAATTATGGGGCCAGTGTGATGTAACTAGAAAACTGAGGCATCTCAAACACTCTGGTTTCTTCAAAACACGTTGGTTAACTTCTGATGCTACGGTAGAAGGTAAAACAAAAAACTAAAGTGTCAACTTCTGAAAGGCAGTGCAAAATCTTTCACTGTCCAGTGGTGTTGAGGAAACAAAGACCTACCATTGATAAGGGCCCTAAAACAAAACAGACGTAAGTTTCAGAAGAACTGGTGAATTGATGCCAAGTAGCAACAACCACTTATCACCTGAGGACACTTACTGATCTGAGTGCTTGTTTGGAGCTAATAATCCAGGTTTGGCCTCTGACAATAGGCTCCTCCAGTGGACTAAGAAAATAGCAAGTGTTTTGTCATTTGACGTGGTGCTGCAATGACAAGATTTGAGAGTTGATGACTTCAAGCACTTTGTAGGTGTCTTTTTCAAAACACTTGTTAAATGTTGAAGATGTATGGAGTAGAAGACTAATGAGCTAAGCTGAAAATTTCTTTAAGTTCAGCCTAAATCTCCTTCAGCTCTTCAGGATTGAGAAGATGAAAGCTATCGGGTTTTTCATTGAAAGTCATGGAGGACTATGCTCTAGAAATGGGGCAAAACTGAAGTCATGCATCACTTAGCTAAAGGGACAAGCTCTGAGAAATGTGTCATTAGGTGATTTCATCTTTGTGTGAACATCACAGAGTGTCCTTACGCAAACTAGATGTTATAGCCTACTATACATTTAGGCTATATGGTACACCCTATTACCCCTAGGCGACAAACCTGTACAGCATGTGACTGTATTGAATACTATTGGTAATTGTAACACAATGCTAACTGTTTATGTATCTAAACATACAAAAGGTGTGGTAAAAATACCATATGAAAGATTTTTAAATGGTAGATCTTTCTAGGACACTTACCATGAATGGAGCTTGCAGAACTGGAAGTTGCCCTGATGAGTCAGTGAGTGAGTGGTGAGTGAATGCAAGGGCCTAAGGCATTACTATACATTACTGTAGACTTTATAAATACTGTAACTAAGACAACATTAAATTTATGAAAAATGTTTTTCTACAATAATTAACCTTAGCTTACTCTAACTTTTTAAACTTTATATACTTAATTTTTTAACTTTTTGACTGTTTTGTAATAGCACAGCTTAAAACACAAACACTATACAAAAATATTTTCTTTATATCCTTATACTATGAGCTTTTTTCTACTTAATTTTTTTTTTTCACTTTTTAAACTTAAAAAAAAATCTAAGAAACACACACATTAGCCTAGGCCTACTCAGAGTCAGGATCATCAATATCACTGTTTCCCACTTCCACATCTTGTCCTACCAAAATGTCTTCAGGGGCCATAGCACACATGGAGAGGCCATCTCCTATGATAACTACACTTTCTTCTGGAATTCCTCCTGAAGGACCTGCTTGAGGCTCTTCTTGAGGAGGTGTCACTCTTCAGAAACAGGTCCATGATGGTTTGCTTGGTTTCCTTTTTTCATCATAGATTTGCTTATAAGCAGATGATTCACCGTGAACATTCCTCTTTATTAATGAAAACCTTGTTGTGCTGGGGTTCATGTTTTCAAATTTTTAAGGAGCTTGTTGAGGTCTGCAAAAGCTCCTGCTAAACCCTGCACAGGGAATTTTATTTGGGGTTCTTCTTCTTCTTCTCCTTCAGTTTCCTTTTTTTCTGACCACTACTTCAACTATGCATTCCTGTCTCAGTTCCAACAACTCCTCATTAGTCAATTCCAAGGAACTACCTCTAGGAGCTCCTAATGCCATCCTCATCCGTACTCAGTTTAAAGTTGTTTGCCATCTCAACCAAAGCCTTGTAGATTTTTGCAATCTCCTCATCCTTGGCAAACCCTTTGAACTCACAGACAAACCTCCTGAGTGTCTTCTTCCAGATGCCATTCACACACTCCTCGGTGACATCATCCCCATCCCAAGCAAGGTTCTTGATGTAGCCATAGCTGTTGTTATCCTTCCAGAATTGCATCACTGTCTTCTCAGTGTCTTCCTGAGTTACCATAATAACATGGGCAAAGGCCCTCTTCAGATAGTAAACCTTAAAAGCTGCTATAATTCCTTGATCCATTGGTTGGATTAAAGAGGGAGAAGCACCACTTCGATATTGGGATAAAGATCATTAATAACAGGAGGATGTGCAGGAGAACAAATAACCATAAACAAAATCTTGAAAGTTATGGTATTTTTCAGACAATGCCTCTCTATTTCTCTGGCATAGCAATTTAGGATGTAATCATGGAAGAGGAGATGGGTCATCCATGATGTTTTATTACACCTGTAGTGTACTGGCAGGATATACTTTATATATATATATATATATATATATATTTTTTTTTTTATGGAATCTAGCTCTGTCTTCCAGACTGGAATGCAGTGGCATGATCTCGGCTCACTGCAAGCTCCACCTCCCAGATTCACACCATTCTCCTGCCTCAGCCTCCTGAGTAGCTGGGACTACAGGTGCCCACCACCACACCCGGCTAACTTTTTGTATTTTTAGTAGAGACAGGGTTTCACTGTGTTAGCCAAGATGGTCTTGATCTCCTGACCTCGTGATCTGCCCACCTCGGCCTCCCAAAGTGCTGGGATTACAGGCGTGAGCCACCGTATCTGGCCTCTTTTTATATTCTTAAAGGAAGGTCCTGGGGTTTTCACCTTGCTGGATCACAAAGGGCTTTAATTTGTAGCCTGCAACATTGCCCTCAAGCAAGACCGTTATCTGTACTTAAAAGCCTTGAAAGCTAGCATTGACTTGGCCTCCTTATGGGTTAAATTCCTTTCAGGCAGTGAGAACAAAGACACAACATACCAGAATTTCTGGGACACATTTAAAGCAGTGTGTAGAGGGAAATTTATAGCACTAAATGCCCACAAGAGAAAGCAGGAAAGATCTAAAATCAACATCCTAACATCACAATTAAAAGAACTAGAGAAGGGCAAACAAATTCAAAAGCTAGCAGAAGGCAAGAAATAACTAAGATCAGAGCATAACTGAAGGAGATAGAGACATGAAAAACCCTTCAAAAAATCAATGAATCCAGGAGCTGGGTTTTTTTTTTTTTTTTTTTTTTTTGTAAAAAAAGATCAATAGATAGACCGCTAACCAGACTAATAAAGAAGAAATGAGAGAAGAATCAAATAGATGCAATAAAAATGATAAAGGGGATATCACCACTGATCCCACAGAAATACAAACTACCATCAGAGAATACTATAAACACCTCTGATAGAACAGACTTTAAACCAGCAAAAATCAAAAGAGACAAAAGAGGGCATTACACAATGGTAAAGGGATTAATTCAACAAAAAGAGCTAACTATCCTAAATATATATGCACCCAATACAGGAGCACCCAGATTCATAAAGCAAGTTCTTAGAGATCTACAAAGAGACTTAGACTCCCACATAATAATAGTGGGAGACTTCAACACTCCACTGTCAATATTAGACAGATCAACAAGACAGAAAATTAACAAAGATATTCAGGACTTGAACTTAGCTCTGGACCAAGCAGACCTAATAGACATCTACAGAACTCTCCACCCCAAATCAACAGAATATACATACTTCTCAGCACCACATCGCACTTGTTCTAAAATTGACCACATAATTGGAAGTAAAACACTCCTCAGCAAATGCAAAAGAATGGAAATCATAACAGTTTCTCAGACCACAGTGCAATCAAATTAGAACTCAGGATTATGAAAGTCACTCAAAACCACACAAATACATGCAAACTGAACAACCTGCTCCTGAATGACTACTGGGTAAATAACAAAACGAAGACAGGAATAAAGACATTCTTTAAATTTCCACTCTTAGCCTTACTTTTTGTGTGTCTGCATCCTTGATCTCTATGGCCACGAGACAACAAACCTCAGGTCACCCCAGACAAACGAGGCTGCTTCAATCCCACTTATATGAGGTGTCTAGGTAGCCAATCTCATAGAAACAGAGAATACGTTGGTGGTTGCCAGAGACTGGGGGCAAGGTAAATGGGGGAGTTACTGTTCAACCAATATAACATTTTAGTTATGCAAGATGAATAAGTTCTAGAGATCTACTATACAACATTGTGCCTATAGTTAACAATACTGTGTTGTAGTTAAAAACTTGTAAAGAGGGTATATTTCATGTAAGGTGTTCTTATCACAACACAATGAAATAAGTTGGAAAATGAAGGTGGTCCAGAATTTATCATTGTTACCAGCAAGAGGGTTATTTCAATACAAACTACTCCGTCAATACCAGAGGCCATGACTCTCCTTCCAGAGCTTTTAATTAAGACCCAGGTAGGTCTCTGTTCCTACAAATGTCAGTGAGAGATTCAGCCCTGAACTTCAGTACTTGCTGGCCCAGCTCCCTGGCCTCCTTCTCAGGTGGCTTCAGGAGCAGGCACATGTGAAAACGGGGAGACCCACCTTGTGCTCGACAGACCCAGGCTGAAGGCAGTTCTCCGTGTCCTGAACACAAGCAACATGGAGGAGTCCTCATTCTGCCTTTGGAGTTTGGGGCCTGGCTCATAGCTCAGTGCTGCACCACAGCTCAAGAAATATCTTGTGGGGAAATCACGCCATGAATTTGAGAATTTGAGAACCTCAAATATCTAATTTCTTAGTCTGTCCCTGTGTCCCTTGCTTGGTTTCCCTTTCTCCAGCAGATTCCCTCCTGAGCCCATGACACCTCTTCTGTATGAACAATGAATTGGCAAATGCCCCATGGGTGGCAGGGGAAGAGCTGTGATTGTCAGCTCACCTCAAAAGGATCACCTATTCTCTGCAATTGTATTTCATCTAGTGCATGTTGCTTCCACAGCTCTCCTTTTCCTTTAAAGTACGAATTTTGTGTTTTAAATTTTTAACTTTTCTAGCTGGTGTACTGGGAGTGTTGAGTTAATCTAGCAGTATCCCACAGAGAAGTCAAAGTCGTATATTTATGTTCTGTTATGTTTTTCTTGGATTTTATTATTTTTTGTTTTCTTATATATTTTTTAATTGATGCCATGCAGAAGAAAAATATGAGTGATAATTTGAGGCTCCAGGAAATATTATATTTCTCTAGAGGTTATTTAGTTTTGCTTGTGTCAGGCAATGAGGCTATGAGGCTAAGGTCATTAATATCTCAAATCACCCAAATCTAGTCTAGGATTAGTTAGTTAGAACTCAGGATTCAGTTCCTATGAAGGATGATCTGTTTCTATTTCACCTTATTCCACATATTAGACTTCCAAGGTTTCTATGGAAAGCGTATTTTTATCTTATGGAGTCCTTCCTTTATTTGTGAGGCATGAAATCCAAATTTGTCCCTCTAGCCCTTTGAACATTTTGTGAGGTTTTTGTGCTTAATGGAAGTTGAGCCAAATGAAAAGGAACACAGGTATCAAACACCACATGGAAGCTGAAGCAGCTAGCTGTATTGAACATGTTTCCCCCTCACATAATAAATAGCATATATTCTTATCAAGCTGGAGCTGGCATCGTAGGAAGCACTTTTTCTCTTTGCATTTACATCTTCTGATCTTTGGGAATGAAAATCGTCTGTATACGTGATTCTTTCCTACTTGGTTGTGGCCATTATCTTGTTCCCTTACTCTAAGGAATTATCTAGATGTTGGATGATTTGGGGCTGGATAATGATGGATGTGAAGTTGTATTTTACTTGCTCGTGGTTAGCTGGAACGTTTCCCTCCCCACCATCTACCTAAGTAGTTTCCAAGCTGCCTATATCAGATCAATCAGGTCCAGGTGAGCAGGAATAGAATCCAGAGCCGCCACATACACTGGGATATGAGGATGTCTGTTGAGTTGTGTTTTGTATAAATTGTGAAAGGAAACTAAAAATTTGGCACCCCAATTCACCATGTCAAAAGGAAAGAATTAAGGTGAAAGCTGAGTCACGCAAGAAATTGCCTTTCCTTTGGTTTCCAAGCAGATAGCTACAGATAAAAGGTTAAAAATATCCCCACCGGTAGCTACTCTATGTTCACCTAATCATATGCAAAGCGATGATTTACTGAGAGCAAGATGAATACATAACTGACTCTTCCCCTACCTGCCCCTTTTTCCTTGCAACATGTGGATTGCCATACCTTCTCTCCCTGTCAGCCCACTTTTCCCCTTTAAATATTGAAATCATCTTTGGAGAAAGACACAGACCAGATTGCCTGTGTCATTTGATGATTTTTTCTTTCCAGCATGTCCCTAACCTTGGGAAAATAAACTTCTAAATTGCTTAAGACCTGTCTCAGACACTTTTTGGTTTACAACCTTGACATATATCAGAGTTTCAACCTATGTGATAGTCCAAGGAAGAGTGAAAATTACCAAGGAAAGTACACTATTGGAGCTATTCAATTCTCCCTCCAGTCTGCTTTTCACCTTTAAATATTGAAGGCTTCTAAATCATCTTTGGAGAAAGCCACAGACTTGTCTTCTGGGCATTGTCTTAAACCCTAGCAAAATAAACTTCTAAATTGATTGAGATCTGTCTCAGATATTTTTGGTTTGGAGTATTGTAACTATGGTCTTTGTACTTGCCGCACTGCCTCCTCTCCGTTTGATTTACCAATGCCCAATGAAGCCATGTTTTCAGCATGCAAAACCCAGGAAAGAAATTCTACAAAACTTGCCAAGCAAGAACTCAATGTTGCACAAAACTCATAATGATAGTGCACCAGCTCATCGAGAGGGGAGCCAATTCACAAACAAGCATGAGAAAATCTAGATGAAGGCCATTTTACCAGCCCTAAAAAAGCTATTTCTGACCGGGCGTGGTGGCTCACGCCTGTAATCCCAGCACTTTGGGAGGCCAAGGCGGGAGGATCACGCGGTCAGGAGATCGAGACCACCCTGGCTAACATGGTGAAACCTCGTCTCTACTAAAAATACAAAAAATTAGCCGGGCGTGGTGGCGGGCACCTGTAGTCCCAGCTACTGGGAAGGCTGAGGCAGGAGAATGGTGTGAACCCGGAAGGCAGAGCTTGCAGTGAGCCGAGATCACGCCACTGCACTCCAGCCTGGGCAACAGAGCAAGACTCCGTCTCAAAAAAAAAAGCTATTTCCATTTATGAATTTAACTATAAATAACTATATAGTATAAATAACTATAATTGATATGAAAATATATAAAGTTATTCAGTTGTTAATGGATACTTAAGTTGTTTTGATGTTTTGCTATTAGGAATGAAGTTGTAATGAACTTGCAATAGTTCTTGATGTATGTTCTAGAGTAGCATTGTAGTAGTAATGTAGTATGATAATGTATATATATTTTCAACCTTACTATGTTATGCTGACTTGTTTTCCAAAATGATCCTAACAATTTCTATTTCCTTCAGAAGTCTGTTGGTAGAAACATTGACCCACATCCTTGCTAGGTTTTGATATTTTTATTGTTTTTTCAGTGTGGCGTTTATTTACATTTCTCTGACTTATAATGAAGAGTTTGAAATTTTTTCACATATTCACATGTCATTTATACATGTTACTATAAAATGTTTCTTCTTGCCTTTACCATTTTTTTTCTCAGAAAAATATAGTCCTTTACTAATTGATTTGTAGGAGGCCTTTCTATGTTCTGGGTACTAATCCTTTTCATGGTTTAATATGTTGTAAGTATCTTTATCCAGTTTACCAAAAAAATTTCCTCTCTCTAGTGAGTGATTCCAATCAGCATATAAACATGCCACGGCATTTCCTTTTCCCTAAATCCAACTCTGCTGATGAATTTTTACTTCTAATCTGAAGGAAACTCTTAAAAATATTGGGCTGCACCTGTTATTTCCATTCCTCCCCATTCTTCTTCCACTCTTCACAGATCAGGCTACAGTCCACATCTTTAACTGAACTCCTTGTCACTGACATGTGTTAGCTCCATGTTGCCAAATCCAATGGTCATCTCTAGGATGTCATTTTATTCATCATATCAGAAGCATTTTATGTAGTTAACCACTACTGCATCATTGATGTATTTTCTTGACTTGTTACTAAACCTCACTGTCTTGAGATTCTCATCACATGAGAATAACAGCCAGATCTCAGCCTGCCTTGCCAAGTCTCCCATCTTCCCAACCTCTAAATGACTGAGGGCCCAGGACTCATCTCTTGCATTTGTTTCCTATGCATCTTCATTCCAGAATCTCCCATGGATTCCCACAACTAAGCACAATTCTTTGTTGAAGTTTCTCTAACTTACATTACTAGCCTTGACATGTTGCCCATAGCTTTGAAGCATGACTTGAAACCAAGCTTTGCATATTTCTTCTGTCCTTTTTCAAATAAGTTTTGGCTATTGTAGATCCTTTGTATTTTCATATAAATTTTAGAATTGTCTATTGCCACAAAGAAACCCAGTGGGAATATTGATCAAGATCGTGTTGAGAACTGTTATTTCAAAAATATCAATTCTTCCCAAATCAAAATATATTATATCTCTTTACACATTTAGAATTTTATCAGTTTCTCTCATCAGTATTTTATAGTTTCACATCACACATCTTTCGGTTCAGTTTATGTCTAAGTATTTTATGTTTTTATTGCTGTCATAATGAAGTGATTTTTAAATTTTATATATGATATTCTGCTGTGGTGTATAGAATTACAATTTGTTTTTGTATTTTACCATTGTTAAATTCACACATTCTAGGCATTTTCAATAGCTCTCTTAGGGTATTATATATAAGCAATCAAGCTTTCCAGGCTGTAATGTTTACTGTTTGCCAAAAGGAGTCTGAAATTATGTGAAATCTGCCAGGCTTAAACTAATTTTTAAAATAATAAAAGTTGAAAGAAAAATCCAGGTCAATTTAAAAAATAAAGAATATTTTAAAAATAGTTTCCCATGCCCAATTTTATGTTAAAATACAACCAGACATAGTTAAATGTTTTATATATGGTCATGAAACTAAATTGTCCCCAATTATTTTCATATTCCAGTTCATATCAATTTCAATGGCTAGGCTATCCTTTGGGGTATAGTTTTCCTTTCATCCTGCTAACCCATTAATTATCCTTTTCTACGTGTCCACAAATGTCAGAGGTGTTTGAGCCGGAGCAACTCCATCTTGAATAGGGGCTGGGTACAATGAGGCTGAGAGCTACTGGGCTGCATTCCCAGGAGGTTAAGGCACTTTCAGTCACAGGATGAGATAGGAGGTCTGCACAGGATACAGGTCATGAAGACCTTGCTGATAAAACAGGTTGCAGTTAAGAAACGGGCCAAAACCCACCAAAACCAACATGGCCACAAGAGTGACCTCTGGTCATCCTCACTGCTCATTATATGCTAATTATAAAGTATTAGCATGCTAAAAGACACTCCCACCAGCGCCATGACAGTTTACAGATGCCATGGCAACATCCAAAATTACCCTATATGGTCTAAAAAGGAGAGAAGCCCTTAGTCCAGGAATTGCCCACCACCTTCCCGGAAAACTCATGAGTAATCCACCCCTTATTTAGCTTGTAATCAAGAAATGCTAAACCTACATGAAGTATGAACGATTCCTTACATTCCATTCCATGCACCACATCCTCCCTGAAGATTGTCTTGATTCCTTCATAGTTATTGAATTATTATAATATTAGTGCCTATGTTCTCTACTCTCAAAAGTGCAAATGACATTAATAACTGAACTTATAATATTTTCTGCTTTGCTACCTTAAGAATGAGTGCCTGGTATTGCGACGTGATTACAACGAATTTAAGACAATGAAGCAGTCCTCTCTCCCTATCTCCCTCATATCCTCTCTGGCTCTCTCTCTCTCTCTGTCCTTCTCTCCTCCTCTCTTTCCCCCGCATTCTCCCAGGGTGGTTCAGTGGCAGAATTCTGCTGGGACCTTTAAGAGAGAGAAGCATATTCAGCAGCAGCAGCAGTTTTCCTATTCCTGCCCCCATCCGCGGCTTTGAACTGAGTTTACCACGAAATACAAAAACACAATTTTAGAAAGAAAGATATTGGCAGTTAAGATTTGGGAAGTTTCTAAATGGGACTCTCAGTCCTTCCCGCCACTCTGAAATCGCGGTGCAGTAGTAAAATCTTGGAGGCGGTTCTTGAACAAACCTGTCATCTACTGGCCATGTGTGGAACTGCAACAGCCCGGTGGGGAATGCACTTCGCAGAGATGGAGATCCTCTCAGAGGCCCCAAGAGGACCAAGTAAAAGAACCCAGGATGAATGGCAGGCTGGATGGGTGCAAATGCAGGAGGCTTAGTAGATCGGTATGATTTTCTTTGCCTTCTTTCTCCCAATATTTGGAAGGGTCCCCTATTTCCAGTGTGAGACATGCCCGGATATCTCTGTGAGTGCAGCTTCTTTGGGGTCCTGGGAGGAGTGTGATGGTATTAACACATTCTGTACACCCCCTCCCCGCAATTCCCCAAGGGGGCATCTGCATTAGTTTTGGAGTCAACTGAGGTGGGCTTCACCGAAGCTTACATCTCTTCCTGGGAACTTTAGTCTTATAGGCTCCCACCTGCAGTAGAATCAATTTTAGGTAATTTCATCATTTTCAAAAAATAATAGATGATCATTGTGATTGTCTTAAACTTCTGTAACTCTTTCATAAAAGTAAATTTAAAAGTAAAAATTTATTTTATTTTATTTTATTTTATTTATTTTTTGAGACAGAGTCTCACTCTGTTGCCCAGGCTGGAGTGCAATGGCGCAATTTCAGCTCACTGCAACCTCCGCCTCCCAGGTTCAAGTGATTCTCCTACCTTAGCCTCTGGAGTAGCTGGGATTACAGGCGTGCACCACCACGCCCAGCTAATTTTTGTATTTTTAGTAAAAACGGGGTTTCACCATGTTGCCCAGGCTGGTCTCAAACTCCTGACCTCAGGTGATTCACATGCCTCGGCCTCCCAAAGTGCTGAAATTACAGGTGTGAGCCACCACACCCAACCTAAATTTTTTAAAATTAAAAGTTTTAGAGGAACTGGTTTGTCAGACACTTTTTGTAAAGTATATGACAGCCATGTATGTAAAGAGCTCAACTTAGACTGTAGGTCAGCCAGAACTAAGAATACCTCAGTCCTCCATCCCTAAATGTTTGGGCATTTTCCTATTCAGAAGTTCTACTGCCTGCCCTTCCTCCTTTCTTCTCTTTTCTTTCTTTTCTTCTTTTTTCTTTTCTTTTCTTTCCCTCCCTCCTTCCTCCCCCCTCCCTCCCTTCCTCCCTTTCTTCCTTTCTTCTTTCCTTCTTTTTGCCAATCAAGAAAAATGGCCAGAGGTGCAGATTGAACCGTGGCCACGCTGTGAGGAAAGGCCTCCGTCCTGTGAGCACCACCCTCCCCTCACTGGCCTCGGGAATCCCAGGCCCCCCACTCACATCTGGGGGAGGAGTCGCAGGGCTTCTGCAGGTGCTCTCTCTCCTCCAGTCAGTCAGCAAACCGAGGGGACTGTGGAGGACAAGCCACTGTGCCTCCAGGAGATGAGAGCTGCTGATTTTTCTTTCCTTTCCCTGAGGAAACGATACCTGTATAAGTCTCACTGCTGGGAGACTCCACAAAGTAATCATCTTTCTGGTGAGTTGATCTAAGAGCTCTCAAAACATCTTTCAACCAGGTCCCCAAGAAACAGCTGATGGCGTCGCCTGAACTTCTCCATATTCATAGCAACACTTTCCTGACATTTCTTGGATTGACCTTGATTTCTTATCTTCATTTCTAATCTCCTCTATTTTTCTATCCACCTTCTTTCCAAGACCTTCCATTCCCAGTAATGACACCTAATAGCTATATAGGGATTTTGTATCATGATTATATTCTTACTTTATCCTTACAACGATACTTTAATGTGAGCCACCCACATACTATCCCTGTGTAAAAACTAAGAAAATTGAGACCCCTGGAAAGAACAGACTTACCCAAAGTAAAGCTTGCCCAAATGTATAGCAAAGCTAGAATGAAAATCTCAGTCAGCCTAAACTCAGGGCTTCTTTTGTCGTCTAGTGGCTGAGGGAGTTATGAATGTGGGTCACAGGTGACCGCCGCATTTGAAGAAGAGTCTGTAAGTGAATCGACTTGCGGAACAACCTTGAAGCCGACAGTGAGCCCGTCTCTGCTGCCCTCTGGTGGCCAGGCAGATCCATGACTCCCCTCTGCTGTTCCTCCTGCCCTCGCCGGATGCTTGTTTTTCCCTCTCCTCAGTTCTAGCAGCTTATGCCTTGTTTTCCCGCTTCTCCTGGAGGTGGACTCTAGTCAGAATGGCAGAGATTGTGACTCCTTTTTTTCTCTCCCACACACCAACATCTTCCTGCACAAAATGGCCTCCCATAATATGTAGCATAATTTAGGACACAGTTCTCAGCACAGGCAGACCTCTGAGAAAGTGTATGCAGATGATTTGTGAGAACACACACACGCGAGTGTAAACGGAGCTTCTTTACGCGGTGAGTTGGCGCTGATGTGACTGACCATAAAAAATTCAAATAATTCCAGCATTTGGTACCATAGAGATGATACTACAGAATGCATGCAATGAGCGGCATCTTTTCACACATTCAGGTGTATAAAGTAAATTTCTATATTTTCCTATTACGGATTTTAATTTGTATGCCAAGCATTATTATGTCTTCTGACAGAGGAGTTCATCTGGTAATTTCCAGATAAATTCAGTGGCTTTCACACAATTAATTTAATAGCAGCCTCTTCTTCACCCGCCGTGTGATTTCTAAGTTCTGAGGTGGGAGGTGGTGCAGGGCTGGTGTAGAAGTCTCTCCTCACATTTGCATCATCAGCTCCCACAATATGTCACTATCCCATCGTGTTTCCTGGTCGTCACTGTCCTTCCCACAGTGGTGACGATC
Source organism: Homo sapiens (assembly GCF_000001405.40). Taxonomy (NCBI): domain Eukaryota; kingdom Metazoa; phylum Chordata; class Mammalia; order Primates; family Hominidae; genus Homo; species Homo sapiens. The sequence goes on along the minus strand of NT_167249.2, from coordinate 3,728,028 downwards.
ACTGTTATGTCCTTGATGCCACTCTCCTCTTGCTGGAACATTCCATCCCAGCATTTTAGGCAGCAAACTTTCATCCCACTGTTGGAGCCTTCCAGAGTCTGCCACTTCTTGCCTTGGAGAACTTTTCCTTTGCTGCCACTCTGAGAGGGACATCTGTGGGCATCGCTACCATTCTGGGAACCGGAGGTGAAGTGGGGTTCATTCCCCTCTACTCCAATTGAGAGAGAACCAGGGTAAAGAGACCCTCCTATCCTCGTCCATGTTTAATTGTTTCTCTTCTCTCCAAATCTCTCATCCTCTACAGTGAGGGGAGGGTCTTTGTCTAGACTGAAGGATGGAGGGGGAAACCCTTACATTAAGAATCGTAACCGTAAGTCAGGGGACCCAATTATGGGCTGCTCATAACGGGAGGGAAAGAAACTTAAGGAAAAAATCGGCTCAAACCTTGTAACATCATAATGCTGCATATGCTTTTATTATTACATTGACATGAAAATCTGCAATTAAATTAAAAATTGTTCTGGAGAACTCTTGAAATCCTGAGACTATATCTGAGACCCCCTCTAGCTCAAGGAACACAGACTTAAGGGGAACGTAAAGGAAAATCTGGCAGAAACAAAAACACACACAAAATATGCCTATCATTATACTCTTCATGCCCAAATATTATGCTGAGAAGGTTATTACATTTCTTTGGTAAACATCTGAGAGTAATTAAACCTTTTATTACTCAGCAAAGGGAGATAAAGTACCTGAGTAAAAAGAGCAATAAAGTAGCCCACAAGGGACCTTGGCCCAGAGCTCTGATCCTGGAGAGGGCAGTTCCTTTCTCTGGGTCTCTGTTTTCTCATCAGTGGAATGAGGGATGGCACGTTTGATATTCAGTTTTGCTTCCAACTCCAGCCCGATGAGTGCCATGCTCTGGTGGAGACTTGGCACTAGTTGGGAATCTTTGATGTGTGGCAAGGTGGAGGGAAGGGTGGATGGCACCCGCTGATGTGTGGGACGGTGGGGTCTGTGTGAGGACCTAACTGGGGGGTTGCAGATGAGGCCTCCATGAAGGCCTTGGCTTTCTGGGGAAGGTGAGAATTGCCAGTGTCATGATTTTGTGTGCACGTCTGCAGAATTCACAACTGAACCCAGCCAAAGTCCACTTGTCCCCGGAGTTTCACTGTTGAAAGGATTATAGCTGTTAGGAGGTGAATGTGCTATTCTGATTTTCGGAATGCAATCTCATTTTCACAGGGCCTCCGGGATTTGGCTCTGCCTTCAACTGGGGTGAGACGGCTTAAATCCTCCTTCACCCAAAGTCCTGGAGGAGGCCTCCACACTCTCTGGCTCTCCCACACTCTCTGGCTCTCTGGTGTGTCTTTGATCAGCACACCCGAGGGCTCTGACCTGTTTCTGACCACCTGCTATGTGGATGAAGATACATCTGGGGCCAAGTGAGAAGACCCAGTAGCACCAGGTTTCGCCCCAAAGGAGAGAGGGAGACACGTGAGTGGTTTGGATTCCCTGGTGAAGGATGGCCACGGGAAGCTGGGGACATTGTCTCAGATTACAGAGTAGGACATACGGACGGAATCAATGTCCTTTAGGGAAATGCTGCCACCTGTTACACTGCCTCCCACTTATATTTATATCCCACTGTGCAGTCTTCAAAGTGCGATCGTAGCCCATTTGACCCTCACAGTGTTCTCGTGAAGCAGGCTGAGTGAGGAAGAAGCACGAAATTATAAACAAGAAAACCAGGATCACATTTTCATTTGTCATGGATGATGTGGGGCATGTGTCCCTGAGCCTTAACGTCTTCTTCTGTCACATGGTCATGACACAGCTTGGAAAACGTTAGGATGATTGTCTCCACCACACAGCAGAGAAAATACAGGCTCAAGAAAGTAAAGAAAGATGTCCAAGGTCACACACACACACACACACAAAAACCCAATTCACTTTGTCTCCTAGAAATCTTATTTTAGCTTTCTCTATAAAAATGTATTAACATATGATAAACTATAGCTGTTTTTAATGTCTACATAGATACATAAGCTTTCGACTTCGTGAACTAAGTTAATTTATTCTTACCAGTCAGTTACTATGGCTGCTTGGCATTTTGAGGAGCAACATTTGAGGCTTTTACTGAAAAAAGTTCTAATGACCCATGATACGTAGTAATTTGCAATTTTCTTTGATATGAGTTTTAGCAGTGCAGGATAGGCCTTGAAATTCAGAATTGTTCATCATCTAATGCCTAAACATAAGCTACCACTTATTATTACAATTTAACACTTATACTTTATCCAGAAAATTAAATTAAATTAAACATGGGTTTTTGAGAATTCGATGATACATTTGCATATTAGATCATATATCTTGACAACACCAAAATTTACTATATTTAATAGGAACAACAGTTTCAGAAGATTCTTGCATTACATCCAAATAGTAAAACGGAGGGGTCAAAAGCTTATCTTTTTAAAAGGTTTTTACTTAAAGATGGCAATTTAAGTCTAGTTATCTATTTTCAAAAAATGTGCCAAAGCTTTTCAGCATCCTGACAGCAAACCCTGTGGCAGGGCATTTCCTCGGCACCACCGGCCTTCTGGGCTGGATGACTCTTTGTTGTGGGGGCTGCCACGTGCCTCATAGAATGTTTAGCAACACCCCTGGTTTCTACTCAATATATGTCCCCTCCCCCAGTCGTGACAACTGAAAATGTTCCCAGACATTGCCAAATGTCCTCTAAGGGCAAAACAGCCTCTTTCCCCATTAAGAACCCTGGTCCAAGGTGGTTATCCTCCCTGATATATTCTCTCACAATCTATCTGAGCACTGGAGATGGATTCTCCCAACATTCTTCGAAAGCTTCATTGATTTGAGCAATTTTTTTGAGAGTTCACTTGTAGATTTTCCCTCCCACCGCTTTGACATGAAAGACCTACAGGAACACAAGCCTCTGAAGTGGTCTGTAGCAAGTGTGAGTTCATTTTAGTTCACACGGCTGAGAAATCATGCTTGGTATGGATGTTGTGGGGCTTTCTTTACTCTTACTTGGTGGAAAAAAATGTTCCTGCTTTTCACAAAAGGAGTCAAGGAGGCATCAGCAACACCCTTCAGTCTAAGGGGAGGTGACTAGTAAGTTTCAGGTGGCAAGGTGCTCATGGTCTGCACTGTCTTCTAACACCCAACCCCATTTTCACATAAATATCATACTGCCCTTTTCGATCTAGGTATTGTGAATGGGCTCATATAAGTTTCCTTAAAGATATCTTATATGAAAGTACATATTTTTTATAAAGCAAATGGGCAATATTTGTGTAACAACAATCTCCTGACTCATTTGATTGTTAAATCTCCATTTCAAAATGTTGATTTTTACCCCTGTCCCATAAAATCTTACTAGCAGTAGTTTCTTGGAAAGGGGGAAACTGTAATTGACTTGACATTGCTCCTGAGCTGGTTTCTCTACTTTGTGTGAAGCAAGTTTTCTTTCAATAAAATACTTGACACATCACATATAATAAGTCTTAGATTTCTTTCACTCTGAAGTTTGTATTTTTCAATGGTAAAACTAGCCTTCTATCCTTGTCCTGGTAAGTTTTAAAGTTTTTAGCTGTGTGAAGTATTTTTGTTCAGCTGGGACAGTGGGGTTGCTGGGTTTGCCAGTTTCTGCCAGTTGGGCTTTTTGTTTTTTTAATTCATTCATGTTTTTAAGTCTATTCTAAAAGGCCACTTACAGATATTTTCCCGACTATCTTTCTACTACTCTTTCTTTCACTTTCCACGGCATCTCTGTGTCCCGGGTTCTCTGAGCGCTAGCACTGAATGTTGGCTTTCTGGCTGCAGTGTGGAGACGCAGAGCCTTCCTGCCCTTTCCTCCATGTGTAGAAAACAGTGGTAAAGAAAGTCTTTGCAGGAGGAGTTGGGAGGAGGACAGGAAAAAATATTTGAATCTTGCTCTATAAGTTTTGCAAGCTCACAACAGATGAACCTAAGGAGTTTTGTTTGCTTTGGTTTGGTTTGGGGTTTTTTTAATATTATTGTTCCTTTACCTCAAGTGTTTTTTCATTTCAGTCACAAGACTTCCTTACACCTAAAAAATTGCTTAAAATATTGTCTCATGAAATTAGGGTTGTTGAGGCAGGAATAATTTCATAAAGTTCTATTGGAAGGCAAATGTCAGGATTGATGTAGGAAGACACACCAACGAAGTTGAGGGTGGTCCAAAGTCTTACAAGTTGGAAGGCTTTTGTAAGGAAGTTCAGGCAGAAAGAAAGGGGCTCTTCATATTGGAGTTGTCTTTTTTCACTGGAGGGTACAATACAGAGGTTACAATCATTGGACACAGATGACAATATATAGACTAAAATATTTCATGCACAAAACAATCAGTAAAACTTTATGATTCAGAAACAAATCCATATCCTTTTCGATGTCAGGAGGTTACATATTAATCACTACATCAAATTAGCTCAGAAGCTACATTGAAGCCGAACTACATCAATGTATGGGTGTATGAGCAGATCGGGTTATAGGTTACAGAGGTATTCTTCAATCAGACGTTATCTTATGTGTAGGAAAAGGCAAGGACTATTATTCCTTATCTTTTAAGGAGTAGAGTGACTCAGGCAAGAGAGATGGGAGGCCGTGTGCTCAATCTTGTTTTGTCTTTGAAGCATCTTTCTGGAGAACTGCAGGTCATCACAGCAGGGGCTTTGTGAAAGTATGCTAGCAAGCCGAAATGAGCAAGCAAGGCTTCTTACATTTGCTACATTGTCTCACAATATAACACGTTAGGTAAAGGGTTGGATGTGATCAGTAATTGCAGAGAAATGGAGCCAAGCCCATTTCACTGACTGTGCAGGGGTTGATGTGGATTCTCTGCTAAGACTGCATAACCAATGGAAGCCATGGAGTGTGCCGGGTGTGTCACAGCCTCACTTAGGCACAGCGTTTCCTTGTCTTTGTTCCAGGGAGGATGGTGGATTTTCCAGGCTACAATCTGTCTGGTGCAGTCGCCTCCTTCCTATTCATCCTGCTGACAATGAAGCAGTCAGGTAGGATTCCCTTCTCCCTTTACTGTATAGTCTAATGTCCCAGTGAGCTAGTCTGGGTCCAAAGGTCGAGAACAACATCTAAGAGTGTAAGTCTGGGGCCAAGCCACCTGTATCCAAAAAGGAACTCCTCACTTTTGAGGAGCTCCTCCACTCCCAGGAGCTCCTCCACTCCTAGCTGAGTCACCTTTGGAAAGTTACTAGAGCACCTCATACCTTAGTTCTTTCATCTTTTTAATGAGAATAACAGCAGTAACTACATCTCAGAGGCCAGCACAGGCTTTAGGATTAAATGAGACATTAAAAGCACTTGAATCAGTGGTTGCACCACGTTAAATTATTAATTCACTCTAGTACTTTGGGGTCAAGAAATGCAGCTGCTTCTTATCATAAATTAAGCTGCAATTAAAAAAAATACTTGGAAATAAGAAATTAGAAGAAAGGGACTTTGGAAATCTCACTAGCTGAATTTTGACGTCAAAATGTTGCACCTTGAAAAATAATTATTTAAAAATTCAGTGTCAAAAAAAAAAATCAGTGTCAGAAGGAGATGTCAGAGCCCTAAGGAAAATGCAGCATGGCGAAGTGGGAAAAAACACGACACAGAGCATCAGAGGGCGCAGGCTCTGCCTCGGCACCGCAGAGCTGGTGTGTCTGCCTCGGTGCCGCAGAGCTGGTGTGTCTGCCTTGGCCCTGCAGAGCTGGTGTGATGTGATGAAGCTGCTGGCTTCTCTGTGCTTGTGCTGCAGCTCCCTACCCTGTAACAGTCAATCTGATGGAATGTCTTCAGTTCTAGCTTCATATTTAGACTTCATCAATGAAGAATACAAGCAGATCTCCACTTAGGCTCTTTAGCCACCTTTTGAGCAGCATCTATTTGATACCCAGCAGCAGCTAAGTAGGGTGAGGTTCTTCCTAGCAGGATTGGATCTGCACAGAGAAAGAGCAAATGGCCCCGGAGCATTTAGAATGAGAAAGAACATATCATACATGACATAAAATGATCAAACATAATAACATACCTAACTGTTAAACATCTCTTCAATTTGCAGATAACAAGGAAGAGATCAGACATGTCTTAGAATTTGTTTGGAAGACCCAAAAATCTCTAGACAAACCAGTGTCATTAATCCAGCACAAAATGTCCTTGTGAAAACTGCATTGTACATAGTCCCAGTAATTGGCCTCCTGCCAACTCCAGACGGGAAAAAAACAAACAAAAAAACAAAAAAACAAAAAAAACAGTTTTTATATCTAAGAGAAGAGGAATCCTGAAAGGCTAAAAAAGCTAATAAATGGATTTATTATCTAAACTTCAGGAAAATAAAATGTTAATAACAAGAATAAGGTTTCCAATTTAAAAAGTCAATTTACATGAGAATAAATGACTCAAGGAATAAATAATTTACTTGAGAATAAAAACAACCCAGGTATGCTGGTATTAATATCTTGAAGATGAAGAAATTAGGACTTCAAATCTCAAAATCTTACCAAGAGTAATAGATTTGCCACCGAATCACATAGCTGGTAGGTGACAGACAGCAACCTCACCCACATTTTTGAACTGCATTTGTTTTCAGTACACAAAATTGACTCTGTAACAAACAGATGTGCAAATCATCATGCTGGATTTCTCTAAAACATTAAACATATATCTCTCCCTCTTCTAGTTGCCTCCATTTTGACAGGCTGGACACCCCAAAGCATGCATATGATTTTCTGATTGGCATTTCCTCGTTCCTCTTTTTCACTTATTTTATAGAAGACTTTAGAGTCATTGGCCCTGCTCATCCTATCCTGGCCGGGGTTGGGGAAGATGCCCTGTTAACCTGCCAGCTACTCCCCAAGAGGACCACAATGCACGTGGAGGTGAGGTGGTACCGCTCAGAGCCCAGCACACCTGTGTTTGTGCACAGGGATGGAGTGGAGGTGACTGAGATGCAGATGGAGGAGTACAGAGGCTGGGTAGAGTGGATAGAGAATGGCATTGCAAAGGGAAATGTGGCACTGAAGATACACAACATCCAGCCCTCCGACAATGGACAATACTGGTGCCATTTCCAGGATGGGAACTACTGTGGAGAAACAAGCTTGCTGCTCAAAGTAGCAGGTGAATATCTGGGGAAAGACACAGGGTCTCAAGAGGCAGAGATATATTAATTTGTGGTAAGCTTTGTGACAGTTGAGGAAATCCTTTTGAATCATCAAGGTAATTCCTAATGCTTAGTCCTCTACCCTGATTGATTTAAAAATAAGTGGTTCTGGAGTCTTCAAGCTTAGTGTTAAAATATTTTCCCAAATTTAATTTGCACAGTTTTGACTGTTCTTGAGGATTATTTGGAATCCATGACATGCAGTCTTTAGCAATTTTGCTGAGACACACATTTGTGCTACCTAAGGCTGGTGCGCAAGAGCAAACCAATTGCTGCATGAATGAGCCCAGCTGACGTCCGGCATCTGTATCTCAGGGCATTGGTTTTTCTCTACCCAATCCCATCTATGCAGAAACTGAGACGTGAAAATGTTCTTTCCTTGTGAAATGCCCTCAGTTAGAAAGCTATCAACAAGACTGAAAAGGCTAAGAATGTCGTGCTTTGGAGATTGTTATATACTAGTGTTCAATGAATTGGGGACTCACAGATGCTTTTGGACACACCCTCTGTGAATGGGAAGGTTCTTCATATTGCTGTTGTATTAGCTAAGCAGGAAGGAGTAGGGAAGAAGGGGACAACTGAAGAATGGATCTGTCTTATGAAAAGTAAACTATCATATGATTCCCTGACAGGGCTAACTTCTCCATGCTCTAAAGAGAAAATCAAGTAAATCCAATTACTAAGGCAAATGGGGAAAATAGTTCTCTGGAGATGTTAACGTCTCCAGCTGATACTGCTTCCTTCTTTACTTCCCTGGAAGGCTGTTTCCTAATACCTTTTTTTTTCTTAACATCCATTACTGTTACTGTGTTCAAGGTGATTCAAAATGGATGGAGGAATACATATATTTCTGACATGGGGGGACAGGGAACGTACTGATGTATTTCAATATCAGGAACATTTACAAATAAGTCACACATTTTCTAAGGGTCCAAGGGAAGGGAGTGGATCTCTCTTTTACCAGCAAGTGATTAAGACAGAATTCCCATTTATGGAAAATATAGTCCCCTTAGTTTGGGTGTGGGAGTTTCACGTTAAATAGAGAAAAAAAATCCATGATTTCATAAACTGTTGTAAACTAGGATTTCTCAAAACCATCTTACCCATTGAATAGAATATTTAGCTACAAATAACGCCTCGTGGAGATTCGCATTTCACATGCTCCCGTTTATCCACTTGCTTCCGAAGATCACAGCCACCAGCAAAAGATGCAGGAAGAACAGGCCCCTGGGGAGTGATTTCTGACTTTGTGTTAAATCTTCAATCAAATTGGAGTTCAAGACATCATCTAAAATACCAGACAATGTGCCCAATACAGATAATTTTAAGATGAAAAAGGCAGAGTTCATGGCACAGAGGAATTAATGAATAAATTACAGCTCATCTCTGTTTGCAGTGCTAGAAGCGTTGCAAAATGTCATGATGTCCCCCTTCTCCGATTCCCCTTTCTGGATCTGGAGAAAAGTACTGGTCAGATGCTAAAATGTAAAGACGCAGACTGGGGAACAAATAAAGTGTATCTGAACTCACATTTGAATGGGGAGACTGAGGTCGACTTTCTGCTCCTCAGACTCCTGAACTCCGGCCACCTCCCTGTGAGCAACGTCACTGGGATCTCAGCCTCTGTGATTTCTGCCTCTGTGGGCTCTGGGTGTCAGAGCTGTGGCTTCCCTCTGCAGGTCTGGGGTCTGCCCCTAGCATCCACATGGAGGGACCTGGGGAGAGTGGAGTCCAGCTTGTGTGCACTGCAAGGGGCTGGTTCCCAGAGCCCCAGGTGTATTGGGAAGACATCCGGGGAGAGAAGCTGCTGGCCGTGTCTGAGCATCGCATCCAAGATGAAGATGGCCTGTTCTATGCGGAAGCCACCCTGGTGGTCAGGAACGCCTCTGCAGAGTCTGTGTCCTGCTTGGTCCACAACCCCGTCCTCACTGAGGAGAAGGGGTCGGTCATCAGCCTCCCAGGTCAGTGCTCTGCCTCTAGGACCCACACGCTCAGATCAGCAGGAGAGGTCCCAGGGACTGCACCATAGCACCTCGTATTTTTATCAAGAGACATTGTCTATCATATAGCAATATGTATTGAAAGCCATAAAACATTTATGACTGGAAATATACGCACTACATTTTACTTGAATAGCTGTTATGGCGCCTGCGTTATTTTTGAGTTCTACCTTTCCTTCTTCTGCATTGATTGTTTTTACTCACAAGTATTCATTGCATTGTAAAGAAAATAAAGCTATATTTCTTCAACTGAAATGTTTTCCTATGCTGTCTTGTGCTGATTACTTCTAGAAATCTATCATATGAAGATAATCAGAGATGTAGACAACTATTTGCATAATAGAATATTAATTATGGCCTTATTTATAAATAGCAGCAAAAACAACCAACCCCCCAATACAACAGTACAGTGTGGAATCTTGTCTTACTATACATTATAGCATTAATAAAAAGATATTTTTAAATAATTTTAATGGTTGAAAAAAATCCTCATGATGCACTATTCAATGATAAACATGACATCTACCTATAAATTGACATTTCCAATCACATAAAAGTTACTGGCCTTAAATAACTTATAACTGCACTAAAACTTTCAGGATACCCTCCACATTTGGATATAAGTATACAGTTATTCATATAAATGGATAGATTAAAAAAACTTTAAAGTTAATGTTACATTTTAATTTTAAATGAAGCTGATTGTATATTACATATAATTCGTCTCTCTACTTTGTAATTTAGGTGATACTGTTTATGTCCATATAATTTTGTACTTTCTGTGTATCTATAAAAGGAACATATGTTATTTTCATGCTGATAGCTAAGTATTTATGCTGTAAATATCAGAAGAAACCAACAGAATCATGGGGAGATAGAAGTGACAGCATTTTTGTTGTGCAGAGAAAAGGAAAAAAAGCTGTATCATTGGGTAATCTGTGGGAAAGAATCAGTATTTTTCTGCATTTCATTTTTTTAATGAATTGAGCTTCCCTATATAATGTATAAATTGCTTTCTTTTTTAAAAAATAGTTTCTCTCCTTTCCCTTACACCAAATTCCTTAATATGTTATTCTTGTTCTTTTTCCAGAGAAACTCCAGACTGAGCTGGGTAAGTACGAGGTGCTGGCACACACCTGTGGAGGGAGCCTCTGCCCTCCCCAGCAGAGGGAGGGGAGCTACCATGAGACCATGTGACCCAGAGGAAAAACTGAGGCACGATTTTACCAGGTCCTATGTTCATTAAATACCAGAGGAGACCAGCAAAGTAATGGCCTCATTCAAGGAGGTTGCAGCTGTGTTACCTGACACTTTGGGGGCTCATGGAGATTCCAGTGAGCATCAGATGGACACCTATAGGAAGCATGGCATCATCTCTGTTCTATGTGTTGAGGGGAAAGGGAGCTGCCTCAGAATGTGTGGGGGATGACAGCAGACAGCTGGCCGGGGCCTGGAGGCCCTTTGAAAACATTTCAAGTGTGAACAAGGGCAGCATCATTATGACAACCTGGGTTGCACCCAGCACCTCCCTGCTCAACTCTGCTATGGGGTCCTGCACCTGCTCCTCACCCCAGTACACCCCTAAGCTAATCACTATTGGGAGGGAGCTGTTACTTTCTGAGTGCAACCTGGGATACTGTGAGTGTAGCAATTTTTTTTTTTTTTTTTTTTTTTTTTTTTTGAGACGGAGTCTTGCTCTGTCGCCCAGGCTGGAGTGCAGTGGCGCGATCTTGGCTCACTGCAAGCTCCGCCTCCCAGGTTCAGGCCATTCTCCTGCCTCAGCCTCCCAAGTAGCTGGGACTACAGGCAACCGCCACCACGCCCGGCTAATTTTTTGTATTTTTAGTAGAGACGAGATTTCACCGTGTTAGCCAGGATGGTCTCGATCTCCTGATCTCGTGATCCCCCCACCTCAGCCTCCCAAAGTGCTGGGATTACAGGCGTGAGCCACCACGCCGGGCATTTTTTTTTTTTTTGAGACGGAGTCTCGCTCTGTTGCCCAAGCTGGAGTGCAATGGCGCCATCTTGGCTCACTGCAACCTCCATCTCCTGGATTCAAGCTATTCTCCTGCCTCAGCCTCCTGAGTAACTGGGACTACAGGCACACACCACCACACCCAGCTAATTTTTTTTTTTTTTTTTTTTTTTGTATTTTTAGTAGAGACAGGGTTTCACCATGTTGGCCAGGATGGTCTCGATCTCCTGACCTCATGATCCGCCGGCCTTGGCCTCCCAAAGGGCAGGATTACAGGCATGAGCCACTGCACCCAGCCTAATTTTTGTTTTTTAAATCTCGGAGTTGGACTGAGGGTATTATTTTGCTGCACCTGAGATAAGTGGTTTAAAACATAACCAGCCGATGTCTGAGCCCCTTTGAGTTTCCCCTTTACCTCCTTACTAGCTCCCTCCTTTTTATGGCCTCTTCTCCCAGCCCAAGGCAACCAGCCTGCCTCCCTGCCTAGGTGCATAGAACGTGGATCCCTTATGTGCTCTTTCCATCAATTCCTTGCTCTCCATCAAGTCACCTGCTCCAGGAATGTGTATCCATGTGTGTGCTTTAGGTGAGCTTAAGCACACCTTTCAGCCCACGAAAGAGTTTTTGAGGAAAATCAGGGTAACAAACACAACCCAATCTCTACCAGAGTCTACTATGGCACCTTCAACCCCATTAGGCCATAATCATAAAGGGAAGGGTCCCTGGAAGGCGCAAAGTAACTCCACAATCTGAGGAGAGACACACACCTGTGTATCTTACCCTTCTGAGATCAGGAAGTAAAGCCAGTGTTTGGGGCAGGTTGACACAAGTCTGTCTCTCAAGAAGGTTTTAGGGGAAGAGTCACTCCTCTGAGTTCTCTGAGACCCACTGGAGACCCAGCACACAAAATACGACCCCATGTCCAGTTGTTCCTAAGTCATGGTAACCTCCGGGGCCACAATTAACCAACACGGAAAGACGGAGCTTCCCTTTGCTTCCTGTCAGGTGGGAGAGGAGGGCTCTGGGCACGGAAGCTTTGCAGGTGAGCTCTAATGATGGGACACCCAGCTCTCTATGGAAGTCCTAAGACTGAAATCACTGCTTGTAGTCTTACAAATAATGTTTTTCATTTATAAAAATAATAGTTTTTAAAAATATTAATTGTATGCCAGGCACGATGCTGAATATGTTATGGGAATTATTTCATTTTTTCTTACAATAATTATAAAGTTTAATTGCTTTATCCTCATATTACAGCTAAGAAACAATCTTAGAGACATACATGGTTTGCCAAAAATCAGGAAGAAATGGTGATGTTTACCTTCTAATCTACATCTATCTAACTTAACAGTGCAAGTCCTTAATTACTTATGTGTGACTTTGTCAGCTCATTCATCTCTATTTTTCTCATCTTTAAAGTGAACAGGTTGAATTTAATCTCTAATGTAGTGTCCAGTTCTAAGAGATTAGATATAACTTAGCATATTTGAGAAATGAGATAGTGCATTAATTGAATATGCTGATTGAAAGAGGATTATGTGGTATGATGATGAGATTATCAGGTTTCAAGGAATCAGTGTATAATTCAGTGTACTTCACGCTCCAGAAGGGAATTAATTTTTCAGTGGATATTCAGAAGGCATTCAGAACATACAAACAATAACCAAAACAAAACAAAGCAATATATTTCAGCACAAAATTGTCTGGAAGGCTGTGTACAAAACCGTATAGAAAAAGGAGGTTAACTACTGCATGTTCACACTTATAAGGGGGAGCTGATTGGTGAGAACACATGGATGCATGGCAGGGAACAACACACACTGGACACCTGTTGGGGGATGGGGGAGGGAGAGCATCAGGAAGAACAGCTAATGGATGCTGGGCTTAACACCTGGGTGATGGGATGACCTGTGCAGTAAGCCACCATGGCACATGTTTACCTATGTAACAAACCTGCACATCCTGCACATGTACCCCGGAACTTAAAATTGAAAGAAAAAAAAAAAGTGGGTTAGGCATAGTGGCTCCCAAGGAGCTTGTATTCTAGTAGAACATCAATTATTAACAAACAGGGCTGCATGATTTTTTTAGCACTTTAAACTTTAGTTTTACTTGGATTCTGGACAAAAGGAGTTTTGTCTGTATCTGTAATGCATCAAATTAATTGAATCTCCATACTTACATTTTGCTTCCTTCAGTCTCCATTGAAGTCAATTTTAGCTCTTAATTACCTATGTCAGGCAGGGCAAGCCAGTTTAAGATCTAATATGTGCACAGGTCACACACGGACAGGGAATAAAATCCTCATATGGATAAAGGAGATGAGGAAACAGTCTGTTTTATTAAGTAATTTACCGTAAGCCATGTGGATGCAGAAACAGCCCCAAACTAATCCCTAGTCCATTTTTTCTGATTCTTGTCTTCAGACTTTAATAGATACATAGGAGAGGAAAATAATATTGTTTTAGGTAAAATTACAGGACAAAGCAAACAAAATGCTGGAAATAACTGGGAGTCAACTGTTACCTGGAATGGAAGGTAATAATCTGAAAATTCAAATTGTGTTGACAGGGACTTTCCTCTCTACAAAGGTAGCTGGCAGTTTTCGGCCAATGACATAATGGGATGTTAACGCCTTTGGCCAGTGACTCTATGCAGAGAACCAACAATTTTATGCTTGTGTTTCTATTATAAATGATCACACCTTATGCAAAACCATTCTTATCATTTAACAGAAAAGGACGACACTTAATTTAGAATAGAGAAAAAATGGCACGGGCAGGGCCTGATGAGAATGGAAAATGTAATATAGCTTGGGCCCAGGAAAGCCCTCAGAGAACATCTTTCCCCACTTTGCACAGTGGGAGAATTAGACCCCTTTTTTACATTCATCATTGTTTCACAATTTGTACTTTGCCGACTTCCCCAATTATTGATCTTAAAATGTTAATTTTAATTTTCAAAATTATTTGAGGACATTCAACTGGTGTGTGTCTATAACTCCACCTATGTGGAGCATTGGGGAAATAAAATATAGCGGCTGGACCAGACTTACAAGGTACTATAAAGTCCACCTAGAGGAAAGCTTCTTCAAATATCATTACCAAAAGTCCACATGAGACACGTTTTTAAACCCCTCCCTATTACCACGTCAGAGGGTGGGGATGGCTCCAACGCCTTCAAGTCTCACAGGTCTGTGCACCTCTGCTCACGCTGCAGGGTCTTCCAGGCACTTAATGCAAACTATTTTGTTCAACTCTGAAACATTATGATTTTGGTAGTTGTATAGCAAATTTACAGTTTAAGAAACTGAGGCATTAAGAAGTAGTTTAAGACAGATTAAGAAGTAGTTTAAAATCATACAGAATTGAAGTGTTAGAAGAAAAACTTTAGACAGACTAAATTTAGCAGAGTCTAACTGAGAAAAGGATGACTCATAAACAAGCCATCCCTCAGAATCAGAACGGTTTCAGAGAATTCAAAGCAGCAATTTGGTCAGACAGCATTTATGGACAGAAAATGGAAATGAGGTACAGAAAACAGAAGTGAGGTACAGAGACAGCTCTATTGGTTGCAGCCTGGCGTTTGCCGATTTGAACAGGGTTTCAACAGTTGGCTGCCTGCAACTAACAGAAGTGCAGCAGCTGCTACTCAGCTATTTATTACAAAAGTGTACTCCTAAGTTAGCCTTAGCTCCTAAGTTAGGCTTATTCATAAAATAATTTTGCAATTAAAACTCTCAGAATAAAATGAGCAATTTATAAATTTGGCCCCAGGATGCCTCTGTACCTGAGTGCTTATGTAACAAACCAACCTAAGTTAGGCTTTCAGTAGTTGACGTACTAAGTTAAATTGCAGTTTGTTACATAAGGAGTCAGGTACAGAGGCATCTGGGGCCAAATTTATAAACTGTTCACTTTATTCTGGGTGTTTTTTGTTTGTTTGTTTTTAAAGTCTCGCTTTGTCACCCAGCCTGGAGTGCAGTGGCATGATCTCAGCTCACTGCAACCTCTGCCTCCCGGGTTCGAGCAATTCTTCCACCTCAGCCTCCTGAGTAGCTGGGATTACAGGCACCCACCATCATGCCCGACTAATTTTTGTATTTCTGTAGAGACGGGGTTTCACCATGTTGGCCAGGCTGGTCTTGAACTCCTGACCTCTGGTGATCCACCCGCTTCGGCCTCCCAAAGTGCTGGGATTATAGACTTGAGCCACCACACCCAGCCTATCTGGGAGTTTTAATTGCAAAATTATTTTATTATTGGTCTGTAAACTGAAAAAAATACAGGTAGAAGCAGGTAGGGATTCAATTACTGTTTTACTCAGACTGACACACATCATGGAACGATTCCTCCTTAAAGAAGAGCAACCTCTATTCTGAGTCCATGAAACCCCCACCTCACCTAAGGATGACCCTGAGCCTCACAGCAACCCTGGGATGCTCATGGTTTCTAAACTCCAATGGAGCTGTTCTTAGAGATGACATTATTGGTTCCATTTTGATTCTTTCATTGTGTTTTGTCCACTCTATTTAACAGCTTCTTTAAAAGTGAATGGACCTTCCCAGCCCATCCTCGTCAGAGTGGGAGAAGATATACAGCTAACCTGTTACCTGTCCCCCAAGGCGAATGCACAGAGCATGGAGGTGAGGTGGGACCGATCCCACCGTTACCCTGCTGTGCATGTGTATATGGATGGGGACCATGTGGCTGGAGAGCAGATGGCAGAGTACAGAGGGAGGACTGTGCTGGTGAGTGACGCCATTGACGAGGGCAGACTGACCCTGCAGATACTCAGTGCCAGACCTTCGGACGACGGGCAGTACCGCTGCCTTTTTGAAAAAGATGATGTCTACCAAGAGGCCAGTTTGGATCTGAAGGTGGTAGGTAAGAATTCTAGATAGATATTTTGTATTCAATACCTGCTCCTGCCACTTTAATATGCTAGTTCCTGGACAATTTCTCTGACATTTGAAATTTTCTTAATGCTTATTCATCATCAAATTTATATCAAATCCTCCAGTGTGTGAAACTGTCATAGTTACTTAAAATCCACAAACTCAAATGGATGAAATTTAATTATTTGGGCATATAACTTGTATCTTTTCCAGTATCTTCAAAAATTGACCATATCTTTAAGGAAATCTGAGTATCTTACTACATATTTTACAAAAGACTCATTGTTTCACAGTGTGTTATTAGAATTCTGAGAAATGCAATAAAATTCTAGAAACTGTAATCATCTGAAGACTAAACTGGATCCACTGTGTAAACCAAAATTATAAATATTGACAGTTTTGGCAGGGACAGGGGAGAAAAGATGAAATCACTCCCTGCAGCATCATTTCCCACTGTCCGTGTGTGTGAGAATTGAAACGTCCAAGGTTAGCAGATGCCATTGAGTACATATAGGCCCAAGTCTTGGATATGCTACGTGTTTCTCCCACGGATTTTGATTCTAAATTAATAAACACGTTTAGCCATGGGAGCGCATGTTGAGAAGTTTCATGAGCCTCGTATTTTCTGCCATTGGACGTAGATATTTATAAGGTTTCGATTTTTGAGAATATCCTCCTACTCCGTATGTTAATCCTGTCCATGTGACCCATGCCCTGGCCGAAGTTATTTTGTTCTCAGGGACAGAATAAATGTTGGATTTGAACATTTACCTTACCTCTTAATCATCCCAGAATGATTTAGGAATACAAAGAATAAAAATAAGCAAACAAACAAAATAAGAAAATGCTCCAGCCAGCCTCATCCCTAAGTGGAGTGCAATCCCCCTTAAGCTTTTCTCCCTTCCCCAAGCCCTCCACATCCCCTTCTTTCCTCCCAGTGAAATTGCTGCCCACTCATCCACTTGAAAGGACCCCAGGCTTTGGTTGCTTTCTCTGCCCCAGGTCTGGGTTCTTCCCCACTGATCACTGTGGAGGGGCAAGAAGATGGAGAAATGCAGCCGATGTGCTCTTCAGATGGGTGGTTCCCACAGCCCCACGTGCCATGGAGGGACATGGAAGGAAAGACGATACCATCATCTTCCCAGGCCCTGACTCAAGGCAGCCACGGGCTGTTCCACGTGCAGACATTGCTAAGGGTCACAAACATCTCCGCTGTGGACGTCACTTGTTCCATCAGCATCCCCTTTTTGGGCGAGGAGAAAATCGCAACTTTTTCTCTCTCAGGTTGGTGATTCCTTATGTTCCTTCAGGTTTGGAAAATAAATATGAAGACCAACTCAGACTTACTCATTGTATTGCTCTTCTTCCTTTGTGATTTTTATTTGCTGCTCTCTGACGAGGTCTCCTGCTATCCTCTGCAAAGCTGGTTTTCAGGACACCCAGGGATTCTACTCCTCTGAGTTTCTCTCTGACACCCTCAACTAGCGCCCTGCAATTATTTTTATCATTGGATACACACTAAATTCTCGTAATTGACCCTGTTTTCACTCTCTCTCTTTAAATTCTCTTCTTCTGATGTGAAAACAATTAAATTACAGAACTTTGTGTTTTCCCCCTCATGGAGGATTTTCTTCTGGATTAGAAACTGATTTTTATTAATACCATCTTCATGGTTGCGGCTTGAGTAATTTTATCCTTTCCTCCTCAAGTCATTCCAGTGATTGTGTGATATAGTTGGAAGAGAGAAGGGAAAACTTGTCTGTGCATGTGTACATTTCTGAGACGAGCAAACATGAAATACTTGCATTCTCTCCTCTGCATCTCCAGAGCAGGGAGGAGCAGGCCAACTGCTTCCTGGGAGGCCAAATTCTCTCCCTTCTCTCCAGCCTAGAAGCTGCTCAGATGAAAAGTACAATCTTAATATTGTCCCAGTTTCACAGTTTCAAGGGATTCTTGGGTTTCCATTTTAGAGTCCAGGATGACGTTTTTGTGGAAAACACTGCTTGTTTGGGGATTGCTTCTTGCTGTGGCTGTAGGCCTGCCCAGGAAGAGGAGCTGAAAAGAGGTAAGTCAGGGAAACAGAAACAGCGGAGCACACTGCAGTGGGAACCGTACTGCGTACTTCCCCGAGCCTCCCTTTTCACAAGTCACCTATGGGAGGCAGTCAGTGAATATCCAGTAACTAAGGAAACATGAGAAACAGGAAAGCCCAGGGCTTATCATGCAATCCAGGCTCAGTGATGCATGAGGTCAGTGTTTCCACTTGTAATAGAAGCAAAATGATTAAAAGATAATGATTTGATTTCCTGCTGCCCATTCCCCAGTGATCTGGTTAGGGAAGAAGAAGAAAAAAGTGAGTAGTACAGCCATCCTTGTTTTCAAGGCTGAGAGCTGAGGTTCACTGAGATTTGTTGGCGTGAACAATTTCCTATGATCTTTAAAAATGTGGTGACCTACTTGTTGGTGATTTCTGTGTTGCTGGTGACTTCTCATGTGTTAGGGAGGCTGTTTTGTGTGCTCTAGAAAGTGCTTCCACTTTAAATTTCTTATGTCCGTGAAACACTTGTCTTCCTGTTTGGCTGTTAATAGAATGAAATTATATTGATTAATTATCAGAATGGATTCTCTTTCTTTACAGTGAATGTGACATTGGCTTCAAACACAGCTCACCTGAGACTGATTTCTTCTGAACAAAACAAGCGTGTGATCCATGGACATTCAGGCAGCCAGATATCCCACAGAGATCTGACTATCTGCTCTATGGGCCAGAGGGAACTCCTGTCAGGGAGCTGGTACTGAGAGGTGGAGACTGGGAACAGGGCGCGATGGGTCCCGGAGGTTGCCAAGCACATGTTGCAAAGAAAGAGTCATCTCTGTGTCACCTGACAGTGAGTTTTAGGCAATGGATTGCAAAAGAAATGAGTTCTGGGCCATCCCCTCTCTTCCAAGCCCCATCCCCTTGAAGGTGGCCCCTGAACAAGTCAGAATCCCCCTGACCGTGCCTCTGAATACCTCTCCTCTTATAACATGATTGGCAAGTGCCCTATCTACACCTTCCCCAAAACTTCCTTCTCTGGGACTCTGCACCCCGCTTCATTCTTTGGTTCCCTAATGTAGGTTCTCTGGACATTTTTTCTGTACCCACAAGAACATCTCCAACGTATCAGGAAAATAACAATCTGGGATTCTGGAAACCAGAATGATATTCTGAGTCCTGATCATTTCTCATTTCTCTAACTGCTTGAAGGGGGCTGCCATGATCATTGAAGTACTAACTCAAGGTGTTTTAATTCTACTCAGGAAAATCTGCTGGAGACTGATCTTTTCAGAGACCTATCCTGTTCCAGGTTCTCTGAGATCCGGCCTATCAATCACAATCTGACATCTGATAATCAAGGACCCTTAGAAAATCCCATGGGAAATACAATTTAGCCTACAGGAAGAAATGAAAGGAATAATCAAGGATTTGGTCAGTTTCTTTTTTTTTTCTTTTTCTTTTCTTTTTTTTTTTTTTTTTTTTTTTTCTGAGACAAAGTCTCACTCTGTTACCCAGGCTGGAGTGCAGTGGCATGATCTCAGCTGACTGCAACCTCTGCCTCCCGGGTTCAAGCAATTCTCTTGCCTCAGTCTCATGAGTAGCTGGGATTACAGGCATGTGCCACCATGCCCAGCCTATTTTTGTATTTTTAGTAGAGATGGGGTTTCACTTTGTTGGCCAGGCTGGTCTCAAACTTCTGGCCTCAAATGATCCACTCGCCTCGGCCTCCCAAAGTGCTGGAATTACAGGCATGAGCCACCACACCTGGCCTGATCAGTTTATTTAAGATGGTGACAATTAATTGTCCACATAGGTGGAACTGAGAAAATAAAAAATATATATATACAGTTAAAAAAAAGTGAAAGAAAATACAGCTGCATAAGGGGGAGAAAAATCTGATCACTAAAATATAATCTTGAAAATCTTATGAAGTGTTGTAAAATCCCTCCTCCAGACTTTTTGAGAAAGTTGATACAGGAAATTGAGTCAGGAAAAAAATTTTAGACTTTCCGATCCAAGCGAAAAATTATGTATCATCTATACGAACATGTCAATTTTATTGTTAGAGCAAAATAAAGTGCACAATTTAAAATTAATAATTATAAAATAAACAAATATAAGCAGTACATGTAACACAGTAAAAATATTTTAAAGTTATAATGAGTTCAAGAAGATAAACTATATGTGGAAGACAGAAGAATGTCAACAAGACTTTTGGAAAGAATGTTATGAAGTGAGAAGACGAGGACCTGCTAGTGACGCTCTGCTGCTCTCCAGGATGGCAGACGTCAGAGGCATCGCGGTCCCATGCGGATCACTCATGAACAGCACTCTGAACTTGCTCTTCTGGGCCATCATTTTTTTTTCTATTTTTAAACTCATAAATTTAAACACATAAATGTTAGAAACTACACATTATTCTTCCACAAATGTTTACACATTAATTTTAATAAACATTTTTTTCAATTGTGGTAAAATACATAACATAAAATAAAACCCTTTAACCATTTTAAAGTGTACAGTTCTGTGGTATTGTATATGTGACATTGCTGTGTGACCATCATCATCACTTTCTAGTTCCAGAATATTTTCATCGCCCTAAACGAAACTTCATACCCATTAAGCAGTTACTACCCATTTTTCACTCCCTACTCCCCAGGTAATCTACTTTCTGTCCCTATGAACTTTTCTATTCTGAATATTTTATATAAATGGAACCATAAACTATCTGTGTATGTGTATGTGTATGTGGCTTCTTTCCCTTAGCCTAATATTTTTAGAGTTCTTCCATGTCATAGCATGTATCAGTGCTTCTTTCCTTTTTTAAAAAAAAATTAACAGACATTATTTTTAAGAACAGTTTTAGATTTATAACAAAATAAAATGGAAAATCCAGAGAGCTCCTAGATCCCTCCTCTCTCCCCCCTATTTCTGCTATTATTAACATCTTACATTAGTGTGGCACATTTGTTACAACCCATGAAAGAATAGTGACACATTATTTTCAACTAAAGTCCACAGTTTTACATTAGGTTCACCTTTTGTTTATATAATCTCTGGAGTTTAACAAATGATTTTTACATTTACATTGATCTATCTTTATATTTATGAAGACTTAAATTTATTAGTAAATATACTAGGTTTACCTGAAAATATTTTAACACTATTTTGATTTAATGTAATTAAAAATAATTTATTGCACAACATCTAAAGGTTAACTATTATTTTTCACTTACTTTTGAGTCTTCCTTCCTAGTGAATGTAGCTCTTTGCTTGTTAGTCTGTGCTTGTGAAGGCCCTATGAATACATATATTCACTTTCCAGGGAGAAAGTCTCAAGAAAATTGGTTTTTATCAGTCACATTCTCTCACTGTATATTAGAAAACATACTTTCCTATAGCTTCCCAAATTGGTGATTAATGTACTTTCTGAGTTCCAGTTCCAGTTAGAAAAGCCACAGGAAGGAGAGGGGTTGGTGGCGTTGAGGATGATGCCCCAGTCACTGGAAGTCCCTGTGGCTGTTGGGTGGGTAATCAGGTTGGTGCCTCAGGATACAGTTCCCTCCCCTCCTGGTGTGTAGACAGCTGGGTGTAGTCATTAAAGTGGGGCCACTCTCAGAATAAATGTGCAGATTGGCTGGATCTCAGTTTCAGGGAGAGGACAGGAGGAAGCCACAGAGACTGAATTGTTAACTCCCTGACATTTTCCTCCTTTGTCAGTACAATTTAACTTCCATGAGGACAGTGATTTTTTTCCTTCTTGTCTAGCCCCACAACCTGTAAAAATGACATACATTGATTATCAATAAACATTTGTAAAATGCATGAATTGTCTCATAAAGTGATATTTATTGAATATCTTACCTGTTGAATGTACTATGCTAAGGCCTAGAGATACAATCCTTAATAAGACATAATTCCTGCCCTCAGGTCTTTCTTTTTTGCAGTGGAGTCACTCTGTTTTTGGAATGTCTTATTATACCTTCATAAACTTTACTAAAAATGGGAGTGCCAGAGTAGTCCAGCAATAAAGAATTAATTGATGTAGCCAGGTGGTGAATTCACTTTTCCAGAAAGGATAGGCTACTTGGAGACCCTGCACTACTTATTGATTTACTCAAAGCTACAAATGAAAATAAGATGGACACTGTTATCCCTGACAGGTCTAAAGCTCTGAGTCCAATCAACCATCCACCTTCACGTTTTCTACCATGTCCACCTGCAGCCACTGCTCCCCAATCTCTAAGCTTAGAAGGACAAACACCCATTAAAATGAGTAAAGAAGTGACAAGTTTAAGAATCTTGTTGTAGAAAAAATATGAATTTAGACTCTGAAAAAGAGATAGTAAAAACTCCTCTTGAACCTCATGCTGAATGTCCTAAGTGTATAAAAAAGTAAAATGTCTAAGGCTGAACCTGTTACATTTCGTGTTCTATACCACAGTTCCACCCCATTTGTTCCTGTTTTGTTGTTACCCCCATGTTTAGGGCTCGCATGTCCAGAAATCCCTTCTCATCCACCATGTCCATTTGATTATAACTATTAATATTTTATCACCATTTATTTACCTCTGTCCTGCCTTGATTATTTCTTGATGAAATGTGTAAGCCTCCCTTTAGGGTCAGTGAAATTAGGACTAGGCTCTGGCTTGATTCTTCCTGGCTTCGAATACTGTCTTTGCCACTTAGTGTGTGACGTGAAATTTCACCAAGGAGATACATCTACAGGACAGATTGTTAGAGGCACTTGTGGTTTACAGATCTGCAAATACTGTAGAAGAAAAACTAAGGGGATCTCTTCCATCATCAGGAAGAAAGGGTTCATTTAACAGAAGAAGCTCGGCCAGGTGCGGTGGCTCACGCCTGTAATCCCAACACTTTCTGAGGACAAGGCGGGTGGATCACAAGGTAAAGAGATGGAGACCATCTGGGCCAACACGGTGAAACCCTCTCTCTTATACTAAAAATACAAAAATTGTGGTTTCCAGGTTCATCCATGTCCCTACAAAGGATATGAACTCATCCTTTTTTATGGCTGCGTGGGAATTGAACAATGAGAACACCTGGACACAGGGCGGGGAACATCACACACCAGGGTCTGTCGTGGGGTGGGAGGAGCGGGGAGGGATAGCATTAGGAGAAATACCTAATTTAAATGATGAGTTGATGGGTGCAGCAAACCAACATGGCACATGTATACATGTGTAACAAACCTGCACGTTGTGCACATGTACCCTAGAACTTAAAGTATTAAAAAAAATACAAAAATTAGCTGGGCGTGGTGGTACATGCCTATAGTCCCAGCTACTCAGGAGGCTGAGGCAGGAGAATCGCTTGAACCTGGGAGGTGCAGGTTACAGTGAGCAGAGATGGTGCCACAGCACTCCAGCCTGGTGACAGAGCGAGACTCCGTCAAAGAAAAAACAAACAAACAAACAAAAATACACAAACAAACAAAAAGCAGGAGAAGCTCATATTCTATATCCTTGAAGACAACTTGATGATAAACAGCTGGAGAAGTCTTACATGCAGCAAGGACAAGGGAAACCCTCAACAGTGGGCAGAACAGGTCAGGAAGAAAAAGAATGTTAATGTTAGCAATGACTCTTGGTACAGATGTTTCTTTATTTC
The DNA here is from genome assembly GCF_000001405.40 of Homo sapiens. Lineage (NCBI taxonomy): Eukaryota > Metazoa > Chordata > Mammalia > Primates > Hominidae > Homo > Homo sapiens. The sequence continues at coordinate 3,704,280 of NT_167249.2, read as the reverse complement.
TACTTTACTGCTTTCTCTCCTAAAGTATAAACTGCAACATTGACTCCTCTTTCATTCACATTCTCACATAGGACACAATTCTGGACTTGCTGACCAGTGAGAACTTATTAAAGAAAAGGGCTCTTTCCTTCCAGAAGGCTTGGGCTCCTCCTCCAATTATTTACAATTATTCATGAGCCTTCTCCGTCCCTTGTCAAAGTCCAAGATTAGCAGTTGATTGTACACTAGAGCCTGAAGAGCAAACACGCTGAGCTATTAAAGGACTTGGACAGATTCCTATGCATCTCCAACAGTGGTAATGGAAGTGAGAATTCACTCTACTGCAATACTTCCCTTCAAACGCCTCCCCTCCTCCATATTTGATAACAAAAATAGTAAGAAGAGATTTCCCTGTAAATGTAGCTTTAAAATTATATACTTCAACACACACTCAGCATGAAAACAGATGAGAAACCCATGAACTTGTTTGGAGTTTTCTTGTGAGAAATAGTTGCTGCCCACAAAGAGACTGTATTTCCCCAATAGCAGCACTGGAGGAAATCTCCCTGGACATTTTCCAGTTCTCTCACTTCACTTTCTGCCTCTTCCTCTTTGACAGAAAGTGAAATCACACCTAGTGAAACTGACCTACTCACCATCCAAGGACAGCTTTCCTGGTGAATGTACCTAGAAGATGCTCCAGTGGAGACAGCAGAGGTGCCAACACTTCGCTGCTTATTATGCTAATAGAACATTAGCTTCCTGGGCAACATCTCTATCACAACTCGTTAAAGAAGTTACAGGGGTAACTGGAAAAGAATCAGGACAATTTTCATGATGATCTAAGCAGAAGGTCACAGATGTGCCAGCACTCTGAAGGCTAGAATAAGGATGGAAAATCCCACAGAAGGTGATTCCAGTAAGAGAATAGATGTGGGACTAATCGACCTCGTTGTGAAAAGACACGTCTCCAGCCTTGCTGTCCTGGAAACCTTCTAGGGGGACAGGGAGGCTCCTGACAGAGTCTCTGGGCAGGAAGTGAGAGCCATGACCCTTCCTTCTTCACATGTCACCATGCAGAAATTCTTCTCTGGACTTTCTACAAACCACCACTCTCTCTTCATTGTGCTGAACAAACACCCAGAGCTCATCTCGTTCCTGGTCCAACTTCTGTCCCCATTATTTACTTCTACCTCCCAGTAATGTCTGTCTCCCCTGTGGTAAAGTAATGTCTCCCCTGTGGTAAACCCAGAACACTGAAGATGGTTTTGGATTCCCCTTGTCCTTGGTGTGTGGGGGCATCCCAGTTCGGGGAACATTCTCCGTTGAAGAAGTGTATCTTCTACCCTCAGATCGGATGAGGTTGGGATGAGCTGCATCTGGATCCAGAGAAACAGCCACTGCATGTATAGTTGGAAAAAAAAAAAAAAAAAAAAGGAGGAAAGCTGCAAATACTGGGAAGGCAGAATGGAGAAAAACAAGAGGGAGAAAACTGGAAGGTTAGGTAAAACTGTGTTCCGTCCTAGGAGATACACGATGTGTAAGTCCTAGAAGGCTAGGGTTGGGCAAGATCTTCAGTAACCATCTATTCCAGCCAGGCTAGGACTGTCTAGCCAGGATGGCTGTCACACCTGAAAGTGTTCCAGGGTAAGGTTTTCAGGATGGGGTCCTGCCTATTCTTCAAACGCCTGTTACGTTATTGCTTGTTCTTAAAATTAAGTCCTATAGTATCTCCAGTCATGGTGTGTCCACTTTCATTTAAGCCTCTTCATTTTCATTTTCTGTGGGTTTATGTAATAACTGGGCCATCCACTTCTCATACACCTTTATTTCTAGTGATTGAAATCCCAGGCCTTGTAGTCAAAAAGATCTGAATCTTGATAATTGCTCTTTCTTTAGTAGCTCTGATCTTGGTGACGTTACCTTGCTTCTTTCAGGCACACCTAACTCTCATAATAATGCAAATAATTATGGCATTCAGCACAGGACTATTGTGAGAAATAAATGAGATAGCGTATAGGGAACTTAATACTATGACTTCTCTGTGATGAACACTTGGTTCATTTTAGCTTCCAATATTTATAGTAACACTAATAGCAGAGGTGATAGTAGCAATAGTACTAATACTGGTAGTAACTAATCTTCTTTTCAAACCAAACATCCTCAGTAATTAAAATTTTTCTCATAAGAATTTGTATTTGTAAATTAGACCTCTCCCTCTCCCTCTCCCCCTCCCCCTCCCCCTCCCCCTCCCCCTCCCTCTCCCTCTCCTCCCTCTCCCTCTCCCCTTTCCACAGTCTCCCTCTGGACTGTGCTGCTGCCATCTCGGCTCACTGCAACCTCCCTGCCTGATTCTCCTGCCTCAGCCTGCCCAGTGCCTGCCATTGCAGGCGCGCGCCGCCACGCCTGACGGGTTTTCGTATTTTTTTGGTGGAGACGGGGTTTCGCTGTGTTGGCCGGGCTGGTCTCCAGCTCCTAACCGCGAGTGATCCGCCAGCCTCGGCCTCCCGAGGTGCCGGGATTGCAGACGGAGTCTCGTTAACTCAGTGCTCAATGGTGCCCAGGCTGGAGTGCAGTGGCGTGATCTCGGCTGGCTACAACCTCCACCTCCCAGCCGCCTGCCTTGGCCCCCCAAAGTGCCGAGATTGCAGCCTCTGCCCGGCCGCTACCCCGTCTGGGAAGTGAGGTGCGTCTCTGCCTGGCCGCCCATCGTCTGGGATGTGAGGAGCCCCTCTGCCTGGCTGCCCAGTCTGGAAAATGAGGAGCGTCTCTGCCCGGCCGCCATCCCACCTAGGAAGTGAGGAGCGCCTCTTCCCGGCCACCATCCCATCTAGGAAGTGAGGAGCGTCTCTGCCCGGCCGCCCATCGTCTGAGATGTGGGGAGCGCCTCTGCCCCGCCGCCCCGTCTGGGAGGTGAGGAGCGTCTCTGCCCGGCCGCCCCATCTGAGAAGTGAGGAACCCCTCCGCCCGGCTGCCACCCCGTCTGGGAAGTGAGGAGCGTCTCCGCCCGGCAGCCACCCCATCCGGAAGGGAGGTGGGGGGGTCAGCCCCCTCCCGGCCAGCCACCCCGTCCGGGAGGTGAGGGGCGCCTCTGCCCGGCCGCCCCTACTGGGAAGTGAGGAGCCCCTCTGCCCGGCCAGCCGCCCCGTCCGGGAGGGAGGTGGGGGGGTCAGCCCCCCGCCCGGCCAGCCGCCCCGTCCGGGAGGGAGGTGGGGGAGTCAGCCCCCCGCCTGGCCAGCCGCTCAGTCCGGGAGGGAGGTGGGGGGGTCAGCCCCCCGCCAGGCGAGACGCCCCGTCCGGGAGGGAGGTGGGGGGTCAGCCCCCCGCCCGGCCAGCCGCCCCGTCCAGGAGGGAGGTGGGGGGGTCAGCCCCCCGCCCGGCCAGCCACCCGGTCCGGGAGCTGAGGGGCGCCTCTGCCTGGCCGCCCCTACTGGGAAGTGAGGAGCCCCTCTGCCCGGCCAGCCGCCCCATCCGGGAGGGAGGTGGGGGGTCAGTCCCCCGCCCGGCCAGCTGCCCCGTCCGGGAGGGAGGTGGGGGGGTCAGCCCCCCGCCCGGCCAGCCGCGCCGTCCGGGAGGTGAGGGGCGCCTCTGCCCGGTCGCCCCTACTGGGAAGTGAGGAGCCCCTCTGCCCGGCCACCACCCCGTCTGGGAGGTGTACCCAACAGCTCATTGAGAACGGGCCATGATGACAATGGCGGTTTTGTGGAATAGAAAGAGGGGAAAGGTGGGGAAAAGATTGAGAAATCGGATGGTTGCCGCGTCTGTGTAGAAAGAAGTAGACATGGGAGACTTTTCATTTTGTTCTGTACTAAGAAAAATTCTGCCTTGGGATCCTGTTGATCTGTGACCTTACCCCCAACCCTGTGCTCTCTGAGACATGTGCTGTGTCCACTCAGGGTTGAATGGATTAAGGGCGGTGCAAGATGTGCTTTGTTAAACAGATGCTTGAAGGCAGCATGCTCGTTAAGAGTCATCACCACTCCCTAATCTCAAGTACCCAGGGACACAAACACTGCGGAAGGCCGCAGGGTCCTCTGCCTAGGAAAACCAGAGACCTTTGTTCACTTGTTTATCTGCTGACCTTCCCTCCACTATTGTCCTGTGACCCTGCCAAATCCCCCTCTGCGAGAAACACCCAAGAATTATCAATTAAAAAAAAAAAGAAAAAGAAACTGCCTCTGTTAGGATCAAAGGTTGAGAAAGTAAGGAGAATACAGAGCTTCCTTCCATAACTGTAGGAAGGCACCAAATTTGAACAGAGTAAGGCTCCTAGTGCCACTGCCTAAAAGGATTGAGATGAGTAGCATAGGTAAGTTCTGCTCCAGGCTTCAGATCACAATTCTAGTAACATAGCACAGTGAGAACATTTTTATTTTTTCTGGACAAGTTTTGCCTCCCCATCGACAGGTTACATAAAGGAAACCCAATTTTTCATTCATCAGCAAAGACTTCCAGGAAAAGGGAGGAAAATTTCCTGTTCTCTCTTAAATGTTGTCAAAAGATTTAAAGCTCTTCATCCTTTTGATTCTCTTTACTTCAGATTCATGAGATAGAGCACACTATGCACAGGGCCAAGGCATCTGAACTAAGAGATGACAAGAAAGAGGGGTACGGCAGAAATAAGCAATAGCCCTGCCAGTACACAGTGTCTTAAGCTCCTACTTCTTGATTTTTTTCTTTTCCATTATTGACATCTGATTGATGTTAGGTAAACAGGTAGAACAAGGGGAATTGGCATGTGTGAGGGCAAAAATCTCACATGGAAATCACTAGATCTCTATAATGGGACAAGTGTCTATGAATTAGCAATGAAACCATAAGTTAGGATAATGTCTTGATGAGAAATGTTCTGGAAATAGCAACCAGATTCCGGTATCAGAAGGGATGGGGATTCATGGTGAGGGTCCAGGCAGGCATTTCTGTGTTTCAAATATTTAATACAATTGAACTGAGAGAAAGTCATGTATCAAGGGCAAAGCTGCTGCATTCAAAGAAGAACTACTAGGATTCAGCTTAGGCTTGCATTTTGGGAACCACTGTAGTAAGTGAGTAATCATAATCCAGAGAGAAGCCACACTTATGACAGATTCTTAGTGAATTAATTATTTATTACTGGTAACAAATTACCTGGAAACTTAGTGGCTTAAAACAACAATTGCATATTATCTTACAGGTCAGGAATTTTGGAGCAGCTTAGCTGGGTAGCTCTGGCTCAGTCTCTCATAGGTTGCAGTGAAGCCATTGGCTGGGGCTGCAGCCATCTGAAGCCTTGACTGGGGTTGGGGGTCTCTTTACAAGAAGGCTCATTACATGGCTGTTGACTGAAGGCTTCAGTTCCTCACCAATAGGCCTCTCCACTGAGCCACCTGAGTGTCTTTAAGATTTGGCAGCTGACTTCCCCCAGAACAGATGATGAGAGAGAGAGAAGAGGGGAGGGAAGTGGGGGAGAAGAAGGAAGACTTTAATGTTTTCATGACCTAATATAGGAAGTAACATACCATAATTTCTGCTGTTGTCAACTGGTCATACAGACCACTCCTGCTATAGTGTGAGGGACTATGCAAGAGTGTGATTGTCAGTAGAGAGAATGGTGCAGGGTTTTGATACATGGTCTTTAATTTGGTTGAATCGATCATTCACAGAGGACAGTGTTTTTTGTTTGTTTAATCCTGCCTACCTACCCCCTCACCTTTATTCTGTTTCTAGATAGAGGGAGGCTGGTGTGGTGACTCAAGCCTGTAATCCCAACATCCGAGCACTTTCGAAGGCCAAGATGGGAGGGTAGCTTAAGGACAGGAATTTGAGACCAGCCTGGGCAACATAGTGAGGCCCCATTTCTACACACATCAAAAAATTAGCTGAGTTTGGTGGCACATGCCTGTAGTCCCAGCTACTCAGGAGGCTGAAGCAGGAGGACAAGGATTGCTTGAGCCTGGGAGATAGAGGCTGCAGTTAGCCATGTCTGTACCACTGCACTCCAGCCTGGGTGACAGAGAGAGACCCTGTCTCTCTCTCTAAAAAAACAAAAAGAGAGATACATGGATTGGCATTCTTTTCTGGAGAGATAGCAATTATGTCCTCCTGACACAGGATTTCTTCTCTTCCCTTTGGATAAAGGATATTTTGCTAATTCAAAAGATTAGGAAAGACAGGGTTGGCAGTTCCACTTACTATATTTATTATTACAGTCTTACTTGACTATAGGCCTAACTAATTTTAAGGACACTGGGTTTATAGAAGAGAATGATGTGAAAGAGGACGTTAGGACAACCTCTGATTCCTAGAGGGGAGGGTATAGCTTTCTCTTCCATATTTGCGAAGCAGGATTTTCCAAAGACATGAGATTGAAAAAAATTGTGGATATGAGAAGACATAAATTTCATTAGGATGATGAAAAATATTTTTTTTCTCTCACCTCAAATCCATATCATCAGTGTTATAAAGTAAGCTAGGGTCTGTCTCCCTTTCAACCCAGTAGTCTTAAAAGGCTCAAGAAGATTAGGCTTGAATTTCTACTCTCAAACTCAAAATTTTGTAATCTCTCTTTTTTAAATGATTGAAGTGTAATTTACAGACATGTATTTTTACAAGCACAGATTATAAGTATTAACAATTGAATACACCCAAGTAATTCATACCTCAATCCAAACAAAGAACATTAATTTTTCACAGGCAACCAGTAGTCTGATTCCCATCATCAAAGTTTAGTTTTGCCTTTTCATTAACTTCATATGGTAATAATACACTATTTGCTCTGTTGTATCTAATTTTTTTCATTCAATATAATGTTGAGATCATGTATATTGCTGTGTATGTTCTTTTAATATTTTAAGTTGAATTTCATTTTATGAATATGCTTCAGTTTTTTCCACTCATTTTTCTGCTGATGGATACCTGGATGTTTCTAGGTTTGGGCTATTATTAATAAAATTGCTATGAACATTCTCTTTCAAGTCTATTGTGGACACATATTTCATTTCTTTTATACTTTTCATTCCATATACAATGTCTGGGTCAAAGAGTAGGTATGTGTTTAATTTTATAAAATGCTACAAATCAGTTTTCCAAAGTGGCTGCACTATTTTACATTCAAATAAGCAATGTATGAGAGTTTCAGTGACTCCACATAACCAATAATTGATATTTTCAGCCTTTTAAATTATATCCAGGTCAGTGAGTGTAAAGTAATAACTCATTTTGGTTTGCATTTTCCTGATGATTATGTTGAATTCTTTAGTCATCTATCTTCATTTATGAAATATTCATTCAAATCTTTGTTCTATTTTGTTGCATTATTTAATATTTTTATGAAGTTGAAGAAATTCTTCAAATAGTCTAGATACAACACTTTTGTTAGGTCTCTTCCTTTATGTAGGTATTTTTAAATTTTTATCTGAAGGGTTTTGCAGTTTTCAGTGTAGGTATCTTGCATATACTTTGTTAATTATATTCTTAAGAATTTTATACTATTTGATTCTATTGTAAGTGATATATTCATTTTCCAAATGTTAATTACTAATGTATGGAAATAAAATTTATTTTCATTATTAATTTTGTACACTGAGACCTTGCTAAAATCCCTGATTAATTATTCTAGAAGTTTGGTGGTTTTATAGATTCCATTCGATTATCTAAGTACTTAAGCACATTATGTGTGAATGACAATATTGTCTTCTTTCTTTCCAATCTTTATTACTTTTAATTAATTAATTAATTATTTTGCTTTATTCTTCTGGCCAGGTCCTCCTCACTACTGGAAGTACTAATAGAGGACATTCTTTTCTTGTTCTCGATTTTAGGGGTAAAGTGAGCAATACAACACTACTGTTTTTGATGTTAGCTTTTGATTCTTCCCTGGCACTATTTAGTAGACTCAGAAAATTTTCTTCTATTCTTACATTGCTAGAGGATATTGTTGCTGCTGTTGTTTTATTTTTAAAATCATGAGTGGATATTAACTTTTATTTTAAAATGTTTGTGCCATCTAAGATTACATAGTTTTTATTTTCTTGTTTTTAATTTTGTTTTTGCTTTATATTATGTATATAATTTCATAATTGTATTAATGTATTACAAAATTTATATTTTTAAGATTAAACTACACTTAATTATATGTATTTTTTACTAGATTTATCTTACTGTTTTAATTAGAATCTTTGCATCTGTGCAAACAATTCTGTAGGTTTTCTTTTCACTCTCTTGATAAGTGTATTTTGATGCACAAAAGTTTTTAATTTTTACAAAGCCCAATTTATGTAATTTTTCTTTTGTGGTCTGTGCTTTTGGTGTCATTTTAAAGAAGCCATTGCCTAATCCAAAGTCATGAAGATTTTTCCCTTGTTCTCTTTTAAGAGTTTTACAGTTTTATCACTTAAATTTAGGTCTTTGGCTCAATTTGATTGAATTTGCACATGGCTTAAAGTAAGAATCCAACTTCATTCTTCCTGCATGTGGGTGTCTAATTTTCCCAACACCATTTGTCAAAGACCACCGTTTCCCCATTGAATGGTCTTGGCACCCGTGGTAAATGAATTGAGAGTTCACTTCTGGCCTCTCAATGCTTCTCCATTTGTCTCTGTATTTTTCTTTATACCAGTGCTGCATGCACTCTTGATTACTGTAACTTTGTATTAAGTTTTGAAACTGGGAAGTGAGAGTCCTGCAAATTTGTTTCTTGTTTTTCAAGATTGTTTTGGTTACTTGAGGTCCTTTTATGTTCCACATGAATTTTAAGAGAGATTTTTCTATTTCTATCCAAAAAATAATGCCATTAAGATTTTGGTAAGGAATTACATTGAATCTCCCTATCACATTGGATAATATTGTCACCTTAGTAATATTAAGTTTTCCAATCCATGACTGTAGGAAGTCTTTTAAATAAAGAGGTATATCTATATTTACATAGGTTTGTTTTCAATATTTATATAATTTTATATGCTTTACTGGTATATAAATAAATTTGATTTATATTTAATATTTTCTTTTATAATAGAAAATAATATATATATTTATGAGGCATAATATCAAGTTTTGACAGATATATGTACCTCAAAACTATTTATATATATTTCATACACAGCATATATATTATGTACAACATAATGTATATTATATATTACATACATTTATAGACTATAAATATATATACTAATATGTAACTATATATAAATAATATATAACTACATATTCATAGATATATATAACTATATACAAATATATAAAAGTATAAAAATAAATCTATATATTATATATAGTGGAATTATTAAATTAAGCTATATAGTGAATGATTGAATTAAACTGATTAACATAATCATCACTTCACATGCTTATCAATTTTTTTTGGTGAACAGACTGAAATTTCCTCTTCGTAATTTGTAAAATATACATTATTATTAGCAATATATTTCAAAAACATATTGCTCTTGTGTAACTGAAACTTTGTACTCTTTGACCAACATCTTCTCATCTTCCCCATCATCGCCCCACTTCCCCAGCCTGTAACCACCATTCTGCTCTCCACTCCTATGAGTCTGACTTTTTAGATTCCATGTATAAGTGAGATCACAGTATTTGTCTTTCTGTGCCTGGCTATTTTACTTAGAATAAAAAGAATCAGATTGCACCTAGCTCAGTTAACCCCTTGACTCTAGGTATAGAAATAATAAAAACACAAAATCAAACAAATTATATGTGTGTGTCTATCATCTATCTATCTATCTATCTATCTAATGTCTATTTAAATACCATCTTTGACATTGCCATGGAGGATTATTATCCATATCATGATAATTTAGTAGATTGGCCCAGGGAATAGATAAACATTGGTGTTACCATACAATTTATAAATGTAGTTTTTAAAGAAAATGTCAAAGTATGTGGTTTAATTTGTAAAGTATATATTCTCATTTCGAATCTCTAAATGTAATATGTTTGTTTTCTCAACAGTATTACCCTGTTTCCAAATATTGCTTAAGGAGCCAATATGTCACAAAAGTTTTGCAGCAAGCAAATAAAATAAAATAAAATATGTATTTATTTTTACTCTAAAAACTATACATGCCTCTTTATTTATAGAGAGCTATAGCTATATCTGGATATCTATAAGACAAAGTTTTTTTACATTTAATCCACATATTTTGAACTTTTTAAAAAGATGTATTCCTAGGTAGTGTGTAATTTTGATGATAATGTGAATTGTATTTTCTTTTCAAATTGTATGTTCTCTTCATTTCTGTCTTATAAACATGTGTTGGTTCTTGGATATTATTCTTGTATTTAATAACCTTGGTAAACTTATTAATTCCAAAAATTTAGCTGTAGTATTTCTTGCAATTTCTAAATACACAATAATGCCAACTGCATATGACAGTTTTATTTGCTCTAGTCCAATATTTGTTGAAAGTCCCCACCTCTGATATATATCCTTTTGTCAGAGTTTGTCATTGAAATACTAAGATACCCTATATTCCTGTTATTCTAGAAGTTAAGAAACAAAATCAGAGCTAAAACTTGCCAACTGGTTGGACCCAGTAACCCAGACAGGGGACAGACTTTTCTTGTTAGATCCCATCTAAGCCACGTAGGCTTGAGACACAGATTCTGGAACCTGAGGGAAAGAAACATGTGTTTGCAGATATAAAATATGGATTTAAAAAAATCATCAGGGAAAGAAAATGTCTATGGCAAAGGGCATAAGATTAGAATCTACTACGCTCAGCGAAGTTGCACTCTCATCTAAGAAGTTCTTATCTAAATAACTGCCCTTTAGAAGCCCTCTGTTAATCAATAAACAGCTGTATAATTAGACATTACTTTCTTTTCTGACAACTACTCCCACTTAACTCTATTTCTGTTCACTTTTCTTCCCTTCCTTAGTTTTCAGACATTGTCTCAGGTGTATCCTTAGACCCTTTAACCCTGGTCTGCATGAAATTCCATACTTATATTTATGTTCTCCTTAATGCCTAGGTATTGGCAATCTTTGGCAGTCATTCCCTTATCCCCAGTGGGGAAAATACTGCTACAAATTTAAATGCATTTCACCACTTTAGTAGTTCACAAACTAGACAAAGGTACTGTCAACGATTGCCTGGATAACTCTTAACAGTAGTCTCCTTGCTTCTTTTCCTCCCACTACTGTCTTTTCTTAACACAGCAGAAAAATTGTTTTATGTCTTTATGCAGACATAGGTAAAAACGTGTCATTTGCCTACATAATGACCCATCTTATCTCTTTATTTCATTCAAGTTAAAATCAAAGTCCTGTCAGTAGCTCACTAGATGTTACAATTTTTTTTGAGGCGGGGTCTTGCTCTGTTGCCCAAGCTGGAGTACAGTGGAACAATCATAGCTCACTGCAGCCTCAACCTCCTGGGATCAAAGGGTCTTCCCCTGCCTCAGCCTTCTGAGTAACTGGACTACAGGTGCATGCCACCATGCCTGGCTAATTTTTTTATTATTTTGTAGAGACGGGGTCTTGCCATCTTTCCCCAGCTGGTCTTGAATTCCTAGGTTCAAGGGGTCTTCCCACCTTGGCCTCCCAAAGTGCTGGGATTACAGGCATGAGCCACCATGCCTGGCTGATCCATTATCTTTCTAACTTATTTTCCTACTGTTGTTTTCCTGGATCAGTTCATACCAGTGACACTGGCCACTTCATATTCCTTGAAAACACCAGACACATTCCTATCTTACGGTCTTTGCTGTAGTTGTCTTCTCTGCCTGGAAAACTCTTCACTCAGAAATCCACTTAGATATCTACCCTACTTCCCCCAAGTATTGCCTTCTCACAGAGGTATATCCAGGATAATCTATTTAAATCGAAATCCCACTGCAGCTGCCAGTAGTTCTCTTTCACTGACTTGCTTTTTCACTTTTCACAGCAGTTACCACCTTCTAAGATACTGAAATGGGAAAGGTCTTCTTGTCCCCCTCACAGGGCTTGCAACAGCGGGAGTGGCTCACTTCTTCAGTGCCCTGCTGCTCAAACCTCTAGGGAGAGCATACAGACGGACAGGATGTGGGGCTCTGGCCTCACGGCAGCATCTAGGGGTGTATGTTTACAGTTCCTGAAGCCCCAGTGGGCATGTGTTACTGTGTGCTCTTTTAGTTTTGCCATGTATAGGCAGCTAGTGTTAACTAGCTCAGTTAGACCCTCTGCCTTATTGCAAGGACAGAGGGCTTTCTGTATCCCAGGTTCTTACCTTGGTGTACCAGAAAAATCAGATCACATGTGGGCTTGAAGAATGAAAGCAAGGTTTTACTGAGTGGAAGTGGCTCTCAGCAGATGGGGGAGCCAGAAGGGAGATGGAGTGGGAAGGTGGTTTTCCCCTGGAATCAGGCTGCTCAGCAGCTGGGTTCCCCTCCAACTGCCCTGGCCAAACTCCATTTTGTTCCGCTGGTCAATGGCCTGCCAGCGTGCCAGCATCTGCTGGTTCCTGTTGGCGTGATCTTTAACCGATGTGTCCCTCTTGACATCCAGCCACTTGTGTGTTCTTCCACTGATGTGTTCCTTTCGACGTCCAGCCGCTTCTGTCCCTGCCTGCTAGGGTCTCAGGATTTTTACAGGCACAGGATGGGGGCATGGCAGGCCAGGGTGGTCTTGGGAAATGCAACATTTGGGCATGAAGGCAGGAGTGTCTGTCCTTACCTAGGTCTGTGGGCACAGGCCCAGGGGTGGAGCCTTAGCCAGGGACCATGCCCTTCCCTTACCAGCACTTCCCTGCCCCTCTTCTATATCACCTCCCCCGTCTGAAGAGGTACATCTAACTGCTGTTCGAATATGGATGATGACGGGTCTTAGCTGCTTCCTGCTGATAGGGGCATCGTTTTGGGGAAAACGGCAGTCAGATTCTTCCCAGAGGTGTATATAAGGGTTCCTAGCAAAGGGGAGCCATCATCCAAGGCTCCGGTTCCCTGACCATTTGGAGGTTGATGGCTTCCAGGTGTGAGAGAAAAAACAAGTTTTATAAGGTTAAGTATGCATGGATTATATATACTTGGGTATGTATACCCAAGTTATACACACTGTAACTATGTACATACATACTATACATACTATAATAAATACGTGTATTATACAAGGAAAAAAAATTAGTGCCAAAGATTACAGAGTTAAGAAGTGAAATATACTAACAACAACATTGTACCCTGAGATGTTTCACCCTGGTGAAAGAAATTAAACCTTGTATGGGAGTGGATAAACTTTTAGAATGAGATAACTGTTCTGGCCATATCTTTAGTAGTTAACAGGTGTACCCTGGGAATTCTGGGGTTTGTGGGCTTGCCTGGTGGCCATTAAAGCTTCTGTCTCTTTCCTGTATTTCCTCTCTCTTTCCTGGGCCTCCCTGTCTGTATTATAAAAGACCAAGGTGGCCACTTTCAGAAGGTCCTCTAATGTACTATCCGGTCCCAGGGCCCGTTTCTGCAACTTCCTCCTGATGTCAGGAGCTGCCTGAGTAATAAATTTATCCTTTAGGGTTAGCTGTCCCTCGACTGAATCAGGAGATAGACAGGTATGCTTTACCAAGGCCTCTCTTAGTCTCTCCAGGAAGGCAGCAGGATTTTCATCAAATACCTCGTCGATCATGGACAACTTAGTATAATTGAGAGGCTTGGTCTTAGTCCTACAAAAGCCTTCCATTATGCACATCTGAAAGCGTCTCCTCTTCCAGTCTTCCACCTGTCATTGGGATCCCACTTAGGGTCATTCACTTTTACTGCTTCTCTTCCAGTTGGATAATGTTTGCTCCCTTCCCTGATGCCATATGTGATACAAAGCTCATTCCCAAATCTCTTTACTGCTTGCAGAGCGGCCTGCTTCTCAGTGTCCATCAGGGTCTGATTCAAAAGTAGCATAACATCTCTCCAGGAGAGTTTAAATATATGGGTGAAAGTCTGGAAAACCTCTATATATCTATAAGGGTCATCTGAAAGCTTGCCAAGATCCCCCTTGGTTTGCTTTAAGTCCTGTAGGAAGAAGGTGACCTGGACCTTACTGGGCACAAATTCACTGGGCATTTGTTGGAGGGGCAAAAGTGAGACTAGTTGAATGTTGAAGGTGTACCTCAACACACACACACACACACACACACACACACACACACACACACAGAGTTCCTTGGCACAGACTAGCATAGTGTTTGCTTTGGTTCTAGGCATTGTCTCTGTTCAATCATTAGCTAATGACTAAGCTAACCGGGCAGAAACATCAAACGTTACATTCAGGAAAGAATGGAGACTTTATAAAATTAGATCAGAAAAATCTTTAAACAAACAAACAAACAAGTAGTAATACAACAAATGCAACAACAGCAAACTCTGTAGAGGGAGGAAATCTGGTTTCTAAATTGCAACATTATAATATTCAAAATGTCTAGATTTCAGCAAAAAATAATGAAGCATGTAAAGAAAAAAGAAATCATGACCCATGCACAGAAAATAATAAAAAGAAACTGTTTCTGAAGAAGCCCAGACATTGTAATTAGCAGAATAAGACATGTCTAAAAAATAAAGTATAAGAATGATGTCTCAGCAATTTGAGAATATCAGAAGGAGAAATTATAGAAATAAATAGCAATTCTGCAGGTTAAAAATACTGACTTGCAAGGTTTCCGTTGAGAAGTCTGGTAATGGACTTATGGGAGATCTCTTACACGTGATGTTTCTTTCAGAATTCTCTCTTTGTGTTTGACCTTTGACAATTTGATTATAATATATCTTGGAGTATGTCTTTTTTGAATTGAACTTGCTTGGGATGCTTTGATCGTCTTCAATCTGGATGTTCATATCCCTCTCAAGATTTGGAAAATTCTCAGATAATATTCCATTGATTAAGCTTACTGCCCCTTCCTCTTTTTCTTCTTTTGGTACTTCCATAATTCATATATTTGTATGTTTGATGGTGTTCCATAAGTATGCATAAAACACTTATGGAAAAATAATCTCAACAATTTTGAGATTATTTTTGGCAGGTGGAGCATCCTAAAACTAGAAGTCATCACCTTCCTCTTCAAGTGACTGACTTCTTAACTTAGAAATCACCACCACAGGATGCATAGAAGACTGAAACAAAATGTGGCTTTGTGAATACAGTGTGGGCTTTGGAGTCAGAAACTCTGCCATTTGTTGGCTGGGTAACTTCTAGTGTCTCTCTCCATCTCAAAGAATTTCATCGTACAGTTTATTAGGGATTAAACAAGTTTGTGCTTATAAGGTACCCACTATAGAACTTTGTAGTCAATAGACACTCAATAAAAGGTGTTATTACTCTTCCTTGTTCTCCACAGTGGCTTATGAGATCCCATTTACTGGCTCACTCTTCCTAGCACCATAGACCTCTGGACTGGATTTCTTCTTGCTATCTAACTCCAACAACTTGACTTCCTTTGTTCACCTTCATTTGTTTCAAGGCTCTTCTTTTTTTAACTTTTAGTTTTAAGGGTACATGTATGTAATTGTTTGTTATATGGGTAAATTGTGTGTTGTGGGGGTTTGGTGTACAGATTCTTTAGTCACCTGGGTAATAAGCATAAAACCCAAGAGATATGCTGTCTCCCTCCTCCTAGCCTCCACCCTTAAGTAGGCCCCAGTGTCTGTTGTTCCCCTCTTAGTGTCCATGTGTTCTTGTTGTTTAGCTCCCACTTATAAGTGAGAACATATGGTATTTGGTTTTCTGTTCCTGCTTTAGTTTGCTTAGAATAGTGGTCTCCACCTCCATCCATGTTGCTGCAAAGGACATCATCTCATTATTTTTTATGGTTGTGTAGTATTCCACGGTGTATATTTACCACATTTTCTTTATCCAGTCTGCCTCTTTTTAAATATAGTCATTTTTCTCATTTTTAATTATCAAACATTTATAAAATGCTTATTCTGTGGAAGGTTCTCTGCCTTAAGAGTTACAAACATTAGGCTGGGCACGGTGGCTCACGCCTGTAATCCCAGCACTCTGGGAGGCCAAGGCGGGTGGATCACCTGAGGTAGGGAGTTTGACACCAGCCTGACCGACATGGAGAAACCCCACCTCTACTAAAAATACAAAATTAGCTGGGTGTGGTGACACATGCCTGTAATCCCAGCTACTTGGGAGGCTGAGGCAGGAGAATTGCTTAAACCCAGGAAGTGGAGGTTGCAGTGAGCCGAAATGGTGCCACTGCTCTCCAGCCTGGGCAACAAGAGTGAAACTCTATCTTCAAAAAAAATTTAAAAAAAGAGTTACAAAGATTAATGATATACAATCTCTGGCCTTAAAAATCTCTGAAAAACTAGAAATAATTCTAAAGCCCAGAAAGAGTGAGTTCCCTTCCAGTATCCTATACAAGTTCAAGGTCCTCCAAAGCATTATTAAATCTTCCTAGCCTTTTGATCCTCTGCCTTTTCTCCTGCCTCACTAATGTTCTAAGTCTCTGTTATGACACAGATTCTAGAACCTTCACAGGCCACACTCCCATCATTTGCTTAGGTCTGATCAATCTGCTCCACACAATTTCTCAGTGATCCTCTGCATCTCTGCCTACAAGGGCCTCCCTGACACCCAAGTTCATATTGCTCAGAAACAGTGAACTTGAGTTTTTCGTTTTATCTTGATCTCTCTCTGACAAAGAAATCCAGATGATGCGAGACCTGATGAAGACAATACATGGAAAATGACAGTCTTGGGTATGGACTAACTCCCTCTTTGAGGCTTCCTCAACTCTAGTAGTTCAGGAGTCTCCTCTTAGGGACTTAGGGACTTTAACACAACTGCTTTATCTTCCTTGCCTGCTTCCTTTTCAAATTCAATATTTTTTCTTTCACTCTTATTGATTCCTCTGGAAGCCTGGGGGAAACAACCCACAGTTAACTAAGCTCTAGGCTGATAGTGCTGGTTTCTCCTTTGGTTTCTAGAGTTTAAACTGAACAAAGAAAATAACCATCCTCCGTAGCACTAGGAAAAATTCCTTAGCCCATTATCTCACTTCCTGTAGCATGGTCACTCTATATAATCTGCCTCAACTCAGAAATAATGATTTCCTCTCATTTTCCCTATTAATAGGGTGGACCATCTTCTAACTGCCCTATAGACAGGGCATTTCAGACACTAAAGGAAGAAAAGGAATATACAGTAGTACTGAGTACACCATCTAGTTATCCTTTCCTCCCCAATGAGTTATTTAACACTAGAAAAAAAAATTCACATAATAGAGGGCATATTGACTACTTGCTGTTCATTTTAGAGGTACATTAGAAGAAAATCTCCAAAAGTTGATTTGGCAGGAGAATTTTCTCACAGGACCAAACACCTAGAAGACTCAGTAGACAAATGCCTAATCTGCCCTGGTTGGAGGTGTGTTATTATATCTTGAGATGGATTCACCTATTGTTCGTTTGAAGTAGTCTTAATGTGGGTGTAATCTACTTTCCTAGTCTTTCAGAGCTCAATATTCTTCAGAGTTTTTACTTTCACAGGCAGTTTTATGGTTGTTTTTTTCTTCTTTCCTTTCTCTCTCTCTCTCTGTTTTCTTTTTTTTTCTCCCCCGATCCTTCATAGCCACTGCCCTTTATAACCATATGATATTGTCTAAGATTTTTCTCTCCTATGACTGCAAGACTCTATCTTACATCAATTGAATGCAGATCAATGACACATAAACAAACACAAGTTAAGCAATCCCAGCATATTTTATCCTACTAACCACAATAACAAACCTCGCAAATATCCATCTTATCATCAGGAGGTTGGCAAGTGATGACTGAAAGGTTTTTGTGTGACAAGAAATTTCTGTCCTTTGCTGTGGCTTTCATTAATAAAACCACCTTCAGTCAGCACCCTTCAGTCAAGGTGCTGAAAGTTTTTTGATCACTCACTCATAAAAATGTTTTGAGTATGCATTGCCTATAAAAGTATATTTATAAATCTTATTTATAGCCATATATATATATATATATATATATATATATATATACACACACACACAGAAAATCTTGCAACTTTAAAGGTATGAGTTAAAATTACACAGAAAATAGAAGTTCTAATATTTTCCCCATACCCCAGTGGATAGCTTCGTAGACCACTGATTCCCTTTAACATTCTTCCTGCCTGGGGAGTAAAGGGTTCAACTGAGGAGGAAATCTGTCAGATTTCCAACTCTAAACCAAGGGTACACAGCATCTGAGGTTCTTAGTATACGACCAAAGAACCAATGTAAGAGCTAAAAATGGGCAGGGGCGGGAATGTGAGGACAGTAATATGCGGCAAATAAAAGAATAAAGGAGTTGAAGTAGCAGAAAGGGGAAAGAAAAAAAAGTCTATCTGGTGGATAGTAAGAGGTGATCAGAAGTTGTTTCTGGTAATTTCCTGGTCTAAATAAGCATGTTTACAGGTGAGTTTTTGTTTTCAGAAATAACTTTGGCTGTCATCCTGACTCTACTGGGACTTGCCATCCTGGCTATTTTGTTAACAAGATGGGCACGACGTAAGCAAAGTGGTGAGTAATAATGAGTCAAAATGAAGATTTCCTGTGAAAACCATGGAGGGAGGGATGCCAAGATTCAGTCTGAGTTCATCTCACTCATCAAACAGCTAGAGACTTTGCCAATATTCTGGGAATCTGTTTCAATACTTGAGTCAAAGAATCTCTGACCTATTAGTGATTGTCCCTGCACTTTTAACTCCCAAGGTTTACATTATCAATAATGTCAAAGAAAAAGTCACAGGCCGGGAGCGGTGGCTCACGCCTGTAATCCCAGCACTTTGGGAGGCCGAGGCGGGCGGATCACAAGGTCAGGAGTTCCAGACCAGCCTGACCAAAATGGTGAAACCCTGTCTCTTCTAAAAATACAAAAATTAGCTGGGCATGGTGGCAGGTAACTGTAAGCCTAGCCGCTCGGGAGACTGAGGCAGGAGAATTGTTTGAACCCAGGAGATGGAGGTTGCAGTGAGCCGAGATCACGCCATTGCACTCCAGCCTGGGTGACAGTGCAAGACTCCATCTCAAAAAAAAAAAAAAAAATCACAGAGTTTAGCAAAAGTAATAAGAATATTTTAAAAGAAAATTACCTGAGCTCCAAGGGAAATTACCTGAGTTTAAAAAAAAAAAAATAGAAGTGAGAAGACAGTATGTTGCTAAACACCAGTATCTAGTATTATATAAAAAGAATTGGAGACTTTTAGTGACTTAATTTGGGGAGATGATAAGAAGAGACAAATACAGAGTAGTACTTGTCGATGAAATAGAGATGGAGCTCATAAAAGCTAAGACCTATTTCTATGCCATAAGGTCTCTCTTTCCTGGATTTTTCTGTTTCTCTCCCACAACTTTCTAATCAGCTGTATTCCCTCCCTGTTTCCCATCCTCAATGCCTGTGAGCCCTCAAAGCATAAGTAGTGTGAAAAGATAGGTAAAACAGGGCTGATGGGAGATGTGGAAAATGGGTGAGAACAACAATGCATTATATCAGGAGGACCACCTTGGTAAGCAAGAAGCATAGCTTAGAGTGAGAAGAGTTTGATCAGAGGAAGAACACTTCTCCTAAGTAACTAATAAAAACATTTTGCCTAATTCTTCCACAGAAATGCATATCTCCAGATACAGTTCAGAACAAAGTAAGTACTTATACTCATGAGAAAAATAAATATAGTATTATAGAATTTTCACAAGTCAGGAATGAAATCTGTCTTGTTTACAGTTGTGTTTCCAGAACCTTGCATAGTGCACCATTGCATGAACTGAACTGCTTCTAAGTGAGTGGGAGAAATCTACCAGAGATTTCTGAGCAGTACTGAATGCCAAACTGGAGTTGGGGAGAATTAATTAATACTGGGTAGGCCTGCATAATTCTGAGGCTCCCTTCAGATGCTTCCTGTGGTCTGAGAGCAGCAACAGAGAACTGTTCCAGTTCAGGCACTGGAACAGATGGTTCAGTAAAAAGCCTAAATCCATTCATGAAGACGGCCTTAGTGAAGTGGCCGGACCGAAAAATATAATGTATCCTAGAATAACGAGAGTGAACACAGTTAGGGTAATTATGATTGAGAAGAGTACCAACTTCAGGATGTGAAGAATTGAAGAAGACTTTCCATGGAAAGATCTGGAGAGATGCCAAAGTTGTTAAGAAAGATAGCACAGGATTGGTATGAGGCAAAAACCAGGAGACTAGCTGCTGAAGTATCAAGAGGTAAAAGAAACTCTGAAACTCCTTCTGACTATCATTTAGCCTGGCTAATATTATAAAATTGGTGATTGACACAGTCACTTATCATCGTCAGCTCTTGTAGCTTATGCACAATTCCTAGTTCCTGCAAAGTAAATTAATTCACATCATTATTCACCATTAGGAGTTCATGTTTACATTAGTTCTCAGAGTCTTAAATAAAGCCTCATTAATAATCAAGAAGCAAAATCATGTGCTCTCCCTTTTTTTCTAGGTGCTAGACTTCTGGACTATGAGGATGGTAGAGGTAAATAGATTAGGAACTACTAGACAGTTAATGAAGGAATATACTCTTTAGAGTGTGAATCAACTCATCTCCATTTGAGCATGATTTGTTGAGTCAGCATATCTTTCGTTTTTATAATATTCAAATGCTTATCACTCCTCTCTCTCTTTCTCAAGAAAAATTGTGCATTTTTCTCAGAAAAGGTAAATAATTCTCCTTCTTAAGACCATCAAAAGAATTCATTTCCATCTTCTGTCTACTTCCAAGATATTAGAAAGGTTAAGGAACCGCTCCGAAACAATTTCCTGGATGTTTAAAATGTGGATAAAATGAATATGAAATGGAATAGTATATGTGAAAATACACTTTGAAAGCCATACAGTAGAAGAGGTAAACAAAGCTTATCCCCATTTAAGAAGATGAAATTTATGCTCAAAAGATTGAGACTTACTCAAGTTCACCTAGCTGAGGAGGGAGCTGGATATCAAATTCAGGTTTTGAAACGTGAGAGTTATGAGAAGACGGCAATGCGCTGTCTACTTTTTTGAAGGGACACACCAGTACCACTAATTTCAATGTACCATGGCTATCCCTAACCCTCACGCCCCAACACTCAATGTTCTCTTTCAGTATCCACTCACCAGGGCTGCCTATAGATGTTCCCTCGGCTGTCTCTCTCTCTCTTTCTCTCTCTCTCTCTCTCTCTCTTTCCTTCCCTCTTTCTCTCTTTCTGACTAGTCCTATCTCCAGAACTCAACAAGAACCACTAGAGCTACCTCTCATTCTTGCTGGAAGCCACTAAAGTTGTCCACACCAGGCCCACCAGCTACACCAGAACTATAAGGTTATGAGATTGTGGATGTGGAAATAATTACACACACACACACACACACACACACGCTACAAGCATATAGATCCCTGAGAGTTGAGGAAAGAAAAGAGAAAGTAACTCAGTCACTTCGCTTGCTGTCCATGCCCCACACTTGGACTCTTGGTCCATCCTTCTCCTTCTTACCTCTATGATTCATCTATCATGAACAACAAGAGTGAAGAGCACAGTGCCATGGCATTCCCTCTTTATTTTCTGAAATGGAACCTAAAGAAAATGGGAATATCTGGGAAACTAGCAAATCTTTTAGTAGTTGGATTGAGACTAATGATAAACTTTTTTTTTTTTTTTTTTTTTTTTTTTTGAGACGGAGTCTCGCACTGTCGCCCAGGCTGGAGTGCAGTGGCGCAATCTTGGCTCACTGCAAGCTCCGCCTCCCGGGTTCACGCCATTCTCCTCTCTCAGCCTTCTGAGCAGTGACCACAGGCACCTGCCACCACGCCCGGCCAATTTTTTTGTGTGTTTTTAGTAGAGACGGGGTTTCACCGTGTTAGCCAGGATGGTCTCGATCTCCTGACCTCGTGATCCACCCGCCTCGGCCTCCCAAAGTGCTGGGAACATAGGCGTGAGCCACCACGCCCGGCCAGATAAACTTATTTTTTAATGAACTGTTGGTAAACTTAATATGTTTTTTTCTTTCCTAAAAGATTTTTCTTCTCAGAGATCTAAAAGAGGAAGAGGTAAACAGATTTCTATCTAACAAAAAATAATATAGACTCACTTGTTGAAGTAAAATCTCATTATGTTTTTATCTTCTCTTTTAGGATCCCGACATGCATATTCAACACAAAGTGGTAAATTATTGTATTGCTAAGAAATTAATATAGGAGTCTGTTTATGAGAAATTAAGAATCTTATAATTTTTCTTCAATTCTCTAGACACTTCATGTGATAACCGAGGTAAGTATATGTAGAGATTTTTGTAAAATTAAAGGAAAATCAGGCTTCTTCCTGCCACAACATAAAAGGCTATAAAAACTGACCAAAATTTAAAAAAGAAGAAGAAGAAATCAAAGTAGTTACAGAATATTCTGAGAAATGTTCACAAATGTTCACCATCACGCTATGAGGCACCATTTTCCCCAAAGCTATGCAATTCCTCTCCTATCCAACTCCTAATTATTTAACAAAAGTAATATGAGAGAAAGGCATCAGCAAAATAGTAGAATAGGAGCTTTCTTCCCACACAGAAGCATCAATTTAGACAACTATCCACAGATGAGACAATACCATTGTGGGAGTCCAGGAGTCCAGCAGAGAAGTTCCAGCACGCTGTCAGGTTATAAAATCCTAGAACAGATGTATTAAAGAGGGTAAGAAGAACAGTTTCACTTTACCCACATCACTCCTCCCCCAAGGTGGCACAACTCAATGCTGAGACAGACCCACTTGGCCCACAATTTCTCCCACAGAAAAAATGTGCAGAACTTAATGAGGGCCCACATCCCCCAGCCATTCAGGATGCTGTCCGATAAGCCCACTTATTTCTCACTCCACCCAGAACACTGAGATGATCAGCATAGTTGAATGGTTAGGAGAGGCTGGGAGCAGGGAAAAGAGACTGCAGAACCCACTCATCAGAAAGCCTCATCAGAAAGCCTGCCATTTGAGATGCGTGACCTATGCTCCTTGCACTACTGACCCACAGGCACGCCTTTCACACATTTCACTCTCCCATCTAGGCTGAGTCCCCAAATGAGCCACCATGGACAACAAAAGGAAACATCTCACAGTCAGTTTGACTTTGTAGGATCGGAAAAAAGGACACAAACTTGAGAATTCCAGAGCACCACCCTAGGGAAAACAAAGGGAAGGCTCTCAGAACCTGGACTGGCTTTGCAGGATTGAGACAAAGCACAATCTTAGAAATCCCATCTACCCTGGGTGTGGTAGTTCATGCCTGAAATCCCAGCACTTTGGGAGGCCGAGGCAGGAGGACTTCTTGAGACTAGGAGTTCGAGACTGGCCTGGGCAACATAGTGAGACTCCGTCTCTAAAAAAAAAAAAAAATCAGTTGGATGTGGTGGTGCACACCTGCAGTCCCAGCTACTCAGGAGTCTGAGGTGGGAGGATTGCTTGAGCCCAAGAGTTTGATGCTGCAGTGAGCCACGATCATGCCACTGCTCCACTCTGGGTAGCAGAGTGAGATTTTCTCTCAAAAAAAGGGAAAAAATCCCACCTGTGAAGTAGGCACAAACAAATATTGAACAGGGTGACTGTTTCTTCAAATGTGAAAACACAAGACAAGACTTCAAGGTCATAAAAATCAAGGAAACATGACACCACTAAAAGAACACAATAATATTTCAGTAACTAACCCCCAAAAATGAAGGTTTGCCTAAAAATCAATCCACCAGTTGCCTGACAAAAAAATCCAAAACAATTGTTATAAGAAAGCTCAGTGAGCTACAAGACAACACAAACAATATAATGACATCAGGAAAACAACACAAGAACAAAAGTAGAAGTTCAACAAAGAGAAAAAAAAACAAAACAGAGCCATACAAATTTTGGAGCTGAAGGGTGCAATGCCTAAACTAAAACAAAAAGGAAATAGAGAGCTTCCAAGATGATGGATCAAGTACAAGAAAGAATAAGAGAAGTCAAAGACCAATATTTAAAATTATCTAGTCAGAGTACAAAAAAAAAAAAAAACCACAAAGAAAAGAAATGAAGAAATATGTACAAGATTTATGGGACACCATCAAGGGAGCTAACTTTTTGCATTATTGGAGTCTCAGAGGAAAAGAGAAATAAAATAGAATAAATGCTTATTTAAGGCATAATTGCTAAAAACTTTCCAAATCTGTGAAGAGATATAGACATCTCGATATATGAAACTCAAAACTCTCCAATTGTATTTAACCCAAAGAAGACTTCTCCAAGACATTATGTCAAATTGTCAATAATCAAAGTTAAACAGAGAATCTTGAAAGAAGCATATCACATTTAAAGGTACATCAAAAGGATATTAGCACTTCTATGCAGACATTTTCTAGGCCAGTATATAATGGGATGATATACTCAATTTGCTGAAAGAAAAAAACTGCCAACCAATAACTCTTTACCCGTAAAGCTGTTTTTCAGATCTGAGAAAGAGATAGTCTTTATCAGACAAACAAAAGCTGAGGGAGTTTATCACCAATAGATCTGCCTTACAAGAAATGCTAGAGAATGTTCTTCAAGCTGAAATGAAAGGCCAATAATTAGTAAAATGAAAACATATCCAAGTATAAAATTCACTGGTAAGGTAAATATACAGTCAATTCAGAATATTCTAATACTGTAATGATGGTATATAAATAACTTTTAATGCTAATATAAAAGTTAAAAGACAAAATATTAAAAGTATATAATTTGTTAATGAATATACAATTTTTTAAATGTAAATTTTGACACTGAGAATGTAAAAAGTAGTGAGAATAATATGTAGAGTTTTTGTATGTAATCTATTTTAATAATCTAAGTTATTATTAGCTTCAAATAGACTGTTGAAACCATGTTTTATGTAAGCTTATGGTAACCACAAACCAAAAACCTATACTAGATACACAAAACAGAAAGATATTAAAGCATACCACTACAGAAAATCAGCAAATCACAAAGAAAGACAGGAAGAAAGGAAGAAAGGATATACAAAACAGCCAAAAAACAACCAAGAAAATAACTATATTAAGTCCTTAACTATCAATAATTACTTGAACGTAAATGGATTAAATTTTCTAATGAAAAGACACAGAGTAGCTAAATGTATTTAAAAACAAGTTGCAACTATCTGTGCTGCCTGTAGCAGACACACTCCAGCTCTAAGGATACATATAGAATGAAAGTAAAGGGATGAAAAAAAGATGCTCCATGCAAATGGAAAACAAAAGACGGTAGGGGTGGCTATACTTACATCAGGCAAAATAGACTTTTAGTCAAAAATTATAACAAGAGACAAAGGAGCTCATTATATAATTATAAAGGGCTAATTCATCAAGAGGATATAAAAATTATAAGTACATATGCACATAATGTCAGAGCACCTAAATATATAATATTTACATAACTGAAGGGAGAAACAGCAATATAATAATCGTAGCGGACTTCAGTAACCCATTATTGACAATGAATAGAGCATCCACACAGAAAATTAACAAGGGAGAAAATAAAGTTACCAAGAATACCCAATAGGGAAAGGATAAATGTTATTAGGAAAACCGGATATCCATATGCAAAAACAAAAAGAAATTGGCCCTTATCATATACCATACACAAAGATCAATTCAAAATGGATTGAAGACTTTAATGTAAGACTTGCCACTATAAAACTCCTATAATAAAACAGTGAAAAGTTCCATGACATTGGTCTTTGCAAGTTGTTTTATATGACACCAAAAACACAGTAACAAAAGCAAAAATAAGTGGTATCTCGTCAAACAAAATTGTTTCTGGACAACAAAGGAAACAATCAACAAAATGAAAGCCAACTCACAGAATAGGAGAAAATATTTGCAAACCATATATCTGATAAGTGGTTAATATTTGTCTTAATCTGTTTCTGTTGCTTATAACAGAATATCTGAAACTGGGTAATTTATAAAGAAAAGAAATGTATTATTATTTCTTACAGTTATGGAGGATGGAAAGTCCAAGGCTGAGGGGGCGCATGTGGCGCAAGAGAGCCTTCCTGCTAGTGGCGACTCTCTGCGGATTCCTGAAGTGGTACAGGGCATAACATGGCAAGGTGGCTAACATGCTGTGCTTAGGTCGTTCCTCTTCTTTTTTTTTTTTTTTTTTTTTTTGAGACGGAGTCTGGCTCTGTTGCCCAGGCTGGAGTGCAGTGGCGCGATCTCGGCTCACTGCAGGCTCTGCCTCCCGGGTTCACGCCATTCTCCTGCCTCAGCCTCCCGAGTTGCTGGGACTACAGGCGCCTGCCACTACGCCCGGCTAATTTTTGTATTTTTAGTAGAGACAGGGTTTCACCGTGTTAGCCAGGATGGTCTTGATCTCCTGACCTCGTGATCCGCCCACCTCGGCCTCCCAAAGTGCTGGGATTACAGGCTTGAGCCACCGCGCCCGGCCCGTTCCTCTTCTTATGAAGCCACCAGTTCCACTTGCCTGACAACTCATTAATCCATTAGTGGATTAATCCATTTATGTGGGTAGAACCCTCATGATATAATCACCTCTTTAAGGCCTCACTTCTCAATGCTGTCACATTGAAGATTAAGTTTCAACATGAGTTTCGGAGAGGACATTAAAACCACAGCAATATCCAAAATATATAAGGAACTCATACAACTCAAAAGCAAGATACAACTCAAAATACAGCTGAAACAAATAAGCTGATTTTAAAATGGACTAAGGTTCATATCTGTTCATGAACCTTAGTCCATGAACAGACAATTCTTAAAAGAAGACATTTACGCAGCCAACAGACATATGAAAAAATGCTCATCATCACTGGCCATCAGAGAAATGCAAATCAAAACCACAGTGAGATACCATCTCACACCAGTTAGAATGGCAATCATTAAAAAGTCAGGAAACAGGTGCTGGAGAGGATATGGAGAAATAGGAATGTTTTTACAATGTTGGTGGGAGTGTAAACTAGTTCAACCATTGTGGAAGACAGTGTGGTGATTCCTCAAGGATCTAGAACTAGAAATACCATTTGACCCAGCCATCTCATTATTGGGTATATACCCAAAGGATTATAAATCATGCTACTATAAAGACACATGCACACGTGTGTTTATTGTGGCACTATTCACAATAGCAAAGACTTGGAACCAACCCAAAAGTCCATCAATGATACACCAGATTAAGAATATGTGGCACATATACACCATGGAATACTATGCAGCAATAAAAAATGATGAGTTCATGTCCTTTGTAGGGACGTGGATGAAGCTGGAAACCATCATTCTCAGCAAACTATTGCAAGGACAGAAAACCAAACACTGCATGTTTTCACTCATAGGTGGGAACTGAACAATGAGAACACTTGGACACAGGGTGGGGAACATCACACACTGGGGCCTGTTGCGGGGTGGGGGAAGCAGGGAGGGATAGCATTAGGAGAAATACCTAATGTAAATGACGAGTTAATGGGTGCAGCACACCAACATGGCACATGTATATATATGTAACAAACCTGCACATTGTGCACATGTACCCTAGAACTTAAAGTATAATAAAAAAAAAAGAGAGAGAGAAAAAAACAAAATAAAATAAAATAAAATGGACTAAGGACCTAAATAGACATTTTTTCAGAGAAGACTTACAGCCAACTAATAAATAAAGGTGCACAATATCACTAATCATCAAGGAAATGCACCTCACACCAGATAGGATGCATTCAAAATGTCAAGGGATAACAAGTGTTGGCAAGGATATGGAGAAAAGGGAACCCTTGTACACTGTTGTTAGGAATGTAAAGTAATACAGCCATTATGGAAAACAATATTGTGGTTCCTCCAATAAATTAAAAATAGAACTACCATATGATTCAGGAATGCTACTTCTGGGCATATATTCAAAGGAAATAAAAATCATTATCCTGAAGAGATGTTTGCACTCCCATATTCATTGCAGCATTATTTACAATACCCGGGATAGAGGAATAAACTAGGTGTCCATCAGTGGATGAATGGATAAAGAAAATGTGATACACAGACACACACACATACACACACACACACACAATGAAATATTATACAGCCTTAGGAAAAGAAAGAAATCTTGCCATTTGTGACAACATGGATGAACCTGGAAGACCTTAGGCTAAGTATAATTAGCCACGCATAGAAAGACAAATACTACATGATCTCATGTATATATGGAACCTTAAAAAGTTGAACTCAGCAGAAAGGTGATTACCAGAAGTTAGGGGGTGGAAGAAATGGGCAGAAGTTGGCCAAAGGGTACAAACTTGCAGTTTTATGACAAATACGTTATGTAGACCCAATGTACAGCATGGTGACTATAATGTATTATACACTTGAAATTTACTAAGAGTGTAGGTTTTACATATTCTCATCACAAAATGAAAAATAGAAGTAAGTATTTGAAGTGGTAGATATATTAATTAGCTTGATTGTGGCAATCATTTCACAATGTATACATATATTAGAATCACACACTGTAATACCTTAAATATATATAATTTTTATAATTATACCTCAATAAAGCTAAAGAAAAGAAAAAAATAATCTGAGTAGTCAAGAGAAATTCAACATCCCAGATCTCACAAATGCTAACTACTCATTGAATTAATTCAAGATGGATTAAAGACTTAAATGTTAGACCTGAAACCATAAAAACCCTAGAAGAAAACCTAGGCAATACCATTCAGGACATAGGCATGGGCAAGGACTTCATGTCTAAAACACCAAAAGCAATGGCAACAAAAGCCAAAATGGACAAATGGGATCTAATTAAACTAAAGAGCTTCTGCACAGCAAAAGAAACTACCATCAGAGTGAACAGGCAAACTACAGAATGGGAGAAAATTTTTGCAATCTACTCATCTGACAAAGGGCTAATATCCAGAATCTACAAAGAACTCAAACAAATTCACAAGAAAAAAACAAACAACCCCATCAACAAGTGGGTGAAGGATATGAACAGAGACTTCTAAAAAGAAGACATTTATGCAGCCAAAAGACACATGAAAAAATGCTCATCATCACTGGCCATCAGAGAAATGCAAATCAAAACCACAATGAGATACCATCTCACACCAGTTAGAATGGCGATCATTAAAAAGTCAGGAAACAACAGGTGCTAGAGAGGATGTGGAGAAACAGGAACACTTTTACACTGTTGGTGGGGCTGTAAACTAGTTCAACCATTGTGGAAGTCAGTGTGGCTATTCCTCAGGGATCTAGAACTAGAAATACTATTTGACCCAGCCATCCCATTACTGGGTATATACCCAAAGGAGAATTGAACAATGAGAACACATGGACACAGGAAGGGGAACATCACACTCTGGGGACTGCTGTGGGGTGGGGGGAGGGGGGAGGGATAGCATTGGGAGATATACCTAATGCTAGATGACGAGTTAGTGGGTGCAGCGCACCAGCATGGCACATGTATACATATGTAACTAACCTGCACATTGTGCACATGTACCCTAAAACTTAAAGTATAATAATAATAATAATAAAACAAATCATGCTGCTATAAAGACACATGCACACATATGTTTATTGCGGCACTATTCACAACAGCCAAGACTTGGAACCAACCCAAAAGTCCATCAATGATACACCGGATTAAGAAAATGTGGCACATATACACCATGGAATACTATGCAGCAATAGAAAAGGATGAGTTCGTGTCCTTTGTAGGAACATGGATGGATGAAGCTGGAAACCATCATTCTCGGCAAACTATCGCAAGGACAAAAAATCAAACACCTCATGTTCTCACTCACAGGTGGGAATTGAACAATGAGAACACTTGGACACAGGAAGGGGAACATCACACACCGGGGCCTGTTGTGGGGTGAGGGGAGTGGGGAGGGATAGCATTAGGAGATATACCTAATGTAAATGACGAGTTAATGGGTGCAGCATACCAACATGGCACATGTATACATATGTAACAAACCTGCATGTTGTGCACATATACCCTAGAACTTAAAGTATAATAATAATAAAAAGAAATCAAGGAATAAATTCTTAAAAGTTCATCACATTAAGATATGACTTGTGCAATAAAATTCCAAGGGTGCAAAGAAATACTGCTGTTGTCTACTGTTGTCATTTACATCTCATATTTCTTGGGAAAAAACCTCTCCAGTAACAGTCTACCAGAATACCAGATTTAACCAGTGCAAGAAGCTACCTCAGTGTTAGGAATTTAAGGGTACACGGATAAGCAAAATAAAACTACACACTATAAGAAGGGAGGAGAATTAACATGTACTCAGCACCTACTATATGTTAGTCATTCTGGTGAGCATTTTTTCATTTTATTAATATTGAATATCTACAAACAACCCTGTCAACCACACAAAGATGAGCTACCCAAAAATCCCTCCCTGGCTGTCCAAGGCCTCCAGTAGCCTACAGGTTGCTTTGGTGCATATTAGGAAAAGGTGTTCCTTCCTGCAAGTGAATGCAGCCCCACCCCAGAGACACTGTTGTGGATTTCAGTTCCCTTAACCCTTTGTGCAGTGAGCCAACCTATATAATCATAGCACACGTGTCCTGAAGATATATGAAAGGCATCTCACTCTTAGCATGTCTAAAACCCAAGCCCTAATCCCTTCTACACACTGGTGCTAGCACCTGTATTCACCTAATTGCTCAGACTATCTACCTTGGAATGATATTTAACTCCTTTCCTACTCTCTTCATCCAATCCACCATCAAATCCCATCTCTGATGCTTTCAAATTATACTCCAAATCAAACCACCTTCCACCACCATGACAATCCTTGCCCAAACACCAATATCTCTTGCCTCCTACCTTGTTTCCTTGATACTCCTCTTGCCTTCTTATAGTCTATTCACCTCACCACAGCGAGGGAGATCCTTAATAAGTACCTCTTAAATGAAGAAAGTAATTTACTATTGTTATCCCTAATTTACAGAAGAGAAACTTATGCTTAAAAAACATTAATGACTTGCCCAAGGCCACAGGACTTGGAAGTGACAACCTGGATAGGAATTTAGAATTGTCTAATTCCAAATTTTAGGCAGTCAGAGAGTTTATTCTTATGTAATTTAGTAATATCTTAATTTTTAATTTCCTGTTTACAGATCTTTAGTGTACAAGCCTACAATCTTAGTATCTTTCTAATCTGGGCTCCCTTGCATTCTTAAGGAAAAACTTGAATCAGTAAACATTTTATTGTTGTTTCAATAAGTCATACTTTAAAATTCATAAACCCAAATGACTATTTCTCTGACTTTCCAGTCCCCCTAACATAACCTATAAATCTCAGTCATCCTAAGTTTCTAGGTTCCCACGCCCTGCTAGTCTTCCCTCCATTATTTCTAGACATAGGAATATAAATGTACTGGTCAACTTGAGACTATAGAAATCTTCTGGCAGGAAGATATTAATATTAGGTAAGGTCATTATGTTAGTTTAGGTACATGAAATTTAGTACTCAAAGTTTAGTTTAACTTAAATATATCACATATAAAAGCTGCCATGGTTATTCCAAAATTTTTTTGAAATTAAATTTATTCTTAGTATTTTTCTAGCAAATGTTAAGTGCAGCGCATGAAAGTTTTTATAACAAATTTCAAGTGCAGCATATTAAAATGTTCGGCATTTCAGTGGTATTTTCCATTTTTGTGGCAACTCTATTAACATCTTGATGTATTTTCCCTTTTTTTTTTCATTGAGACAGAGTCTTGCTCTGTGGGCCAGGCTGGAGTGCAGTGGCACTATCTCGGCTTACTGCAATCTCCGTCTCCCGGGCACAGGCAATTCTCCTGCCTCAGCCTCCTGAGTAGCTGGGATTACAGGCGTGTACCACCAGGCCCAGAGAATTTTTGTATTTTCACTAGAGACAGGGTTTCACCATGTTGGCCAGGCTGGTCTCGAACTCCTGACCTCAGGTAACACACCCACTTCGGCCTCCCAAAGTGCTGGGACTACAGGCTTGAGACACCGTTTTTAAAATCCCCATAGAACCATGAGAAACAAGAAACATTATTATAAAACAGAGAATGTGTTTTGTACTTAATTCCCATCACAATGACTGCCAAGTATGGAAGGAGAGCACTCATTTTCAGAAAAGAAGCTGAAAAAAAAATACTATTGTCTTCACATTTCTGAGTAGATCTTTAACTATACTTTAGTGAAATAGCAAATGATATTATGATTCAACATAATTTAAATCAACTACAAAGTATCAATATTACTATTTACTTTTACACTTTTATGAAAACAACAGTGATAACATGACTAGTTTTCCATGTAATTTGCTTTGTCTCCAGATCTTTTAGAAAGTCTGTTTCCATGACATCACTAAGAAACAAGTTTTAGATCATAGGATGCACATTCAATCGCAATCAATATACACATTTGCATTCATTATAATTTGCCATATTGTCACTGAACTTGAATTCTCAGTCAGCTGAGTAAATATTTTGCCATTCCTTCTTTTATTTGACCTCAACTTACCTTATAACTATACATTCTTCTGTTTCAATGTTTGCATGTATAGTTTATTATTTCTTCTCACTACATGTATTTACCTTAATTAAACTCTGCCTGTTTTTTTAATGTCATTAAACTTATAAATTAAGCCATGAGGAGATTTTGTCTCCAGTTTCTTGCCTAACTGGATATTTGAGGGTGTTGACTGGGTAATCCTCTGTAGTGATACCAAAACTACAGAAATAGAATATCCAAATTGATTTTTCTTTCTTTTGTTTATGTTTTCAGAGAGATCCAAAAGAGATTACAGTAAGTATTATCTTGCTTCTTAACAAAAATTTGCTTCCTATTAGTAACATTTCCCTAGATTGTAAATGCTTTGGAGGAAAGAGAAATCCTGTCATATGTCAAGTCATATGAATACTAAGCAATAGATAAAGTTTTCTAGTGCTGGTTTAGAATGATCTGGCTGGGAGAAAAGGAAAACAATAGAAGTGATGAGCAAGAGAAAAGGAAAGTAATAAAGATAAAAGGGAGAGAGAGAAGAAAATAGAGAGGGAAAAAAGGGAGGGAGGAATTAGGGCAGTAGGAATGGCATCTGCCTACTAAAAATTAAACCCATTTTTAGAGATGGAAAGCATATGCAGTAGCTGGTGGGAGTGGCTGTCAGTACCCATCACCAGATCAGTGATGACTCCCGGGGCCTAGACTTTAACTCCTGAGAAGGGGGTGACAGCAACTGAAGCTGATATGTAAAGATTAGGGATCCAAACTCTCATGATTCACCTCATGTTTTCTGTGTGTGTATTTTAGCACCATCAACCAACTCTCTAGGTAAGTGCTTTGTGGTTTTCTTTCAATTCTACTGTCATCTGGTTTGCAAGCCCTATTTTTTCTGTATTTTTTCTCTTTTAAGAAAGTTTTTAAAATTAAGTATAAAAATAATTAACACTTGTATATCACACCTTAGATGTGACAAATTGATAATATTCTTGTCATATTTCTCAAGTTATCATAGACATATTCCACTCCCTTCTTCCCAAAGGCTTATTAATATATTTTAAATATTTAAGTCTATTTACATATATTTATAGTCTCTACCTATCACTGAACAAAATATAGTATCTTTTTTTAATGTTTAATTTTACTAAAATGGCATCTGTCTGATA
This sequence comes from Homo sapiens, assembly GCF_000001405.40. Lineage (NCBI taxonomy): Eukaryota > Metazoa > Chordata > Mammalia > Primates > Hominidae > Homo > Homo sapiens. Next base: position 3,670,709 of record NT_167249.2, on the reverse strand, counting down.
GTATCATTACGATTTGCATTTTTCTCTCAAAATGTAGTTTTGAAATCCAGGTTATACACTTTGTTGAATAATATTCCACCTTATGAATATACAATATTTTTCTATTATTTCTACTACCGATGCATTCTCAATGTTTCCAATTTCTGCTATCACAAATAATGCTGCAAAGACAATCCTTAAGTAGATGGAAAAGAGTTTATCCGGGGTACATACCCTGAAGTAGGATTAGTGTTCACATTGTATATGAGCATTTATGTAATTTATGCATATTTTAAATTTTAGTAGCTATTAATTAAGCTCCTTGGTAGTTACATAGAGGCATACAAAAATAAATAAATATTTCCAATTTCTCTGCATTAGTAACAATCCCAGATTTTGTCATATTTTTCTATTATTGCCACTTGAATACGTATACAATTTTTAAAATCTGCATTCCCTGCTCACTCCTGAAATTGAGTATCTTCTCATAGGCTTACTAGCTAGTGAGGCTTCACCCTATATAAATTGCTTGTTCATTTACTTTACCCATTTATCTATTAGTTATTGATCTGTAGTAATTCTTTATTATTATGAAAGATCAACTTTTATATGTTATGTTAAATATCTGCAATTATCTCATCCAATTCTGTCTCTTAGCTTTAAATTTTTATGCTGTCTCTTGACTTTTAGAAGGCCTCTACTCACTCTCCCCCAGCACCACACAATTTATTGTAATAAAATTTGTCAATCTCTTGTTTTCTTTTAGAGTTTCTGCTTTTTAGTTTCTTTGGCCTTATCTGGGTATCACAAAGATTTTATCTAATACTTTCTCTTAATAGTTTTGAAATTTCCCTTTCTACATATAGAACTTTAATCCAAATGGGGCTTTGTTAATTGTTTTTTGGTTTTGGTGAGTGATTTTAGTAATAATACAGGTGAGATCTAATTTTCCTTTCATCTGGAAAACCAACTAGAGGGATTTCGTCTCATCTTGTTCCAACTAGATTTATTGACTGGTGCATTCTTTCTCTGCTGATTTGTAATGCCATCTTCATCTTATATATTTCGTTTTTCCGTGGATTTTATTTTCTGTTCCAGTGATCTTTTGTCTTTTACTGAACCAATACTCCATTGCTTTCACTACTAAAACTTTATAACATTACAAAAAATAGCACATTATCTTTGTTCTTTTTCAGAAATGTGTTGGCTATTCTTTGACCTTTTCTCTTACACAAGAATTTCATAATTTCTCAAAATCTATGAGTCATATTAGGATTTCATTGAAATTTCATTGAGCCTGTAGATTAATTTGTAAAATCAATTATTCCCATGCATTAACATGGTTGCCTACTATTCAAATTTTCTCATATACCCTTCAATAATGTAATATAATTTTCTTCAGAAAGGTCTTGCATGTCTTTTGCTGCATTAATTCTTATACACATACTTGTTTTTTGTTTCGGATGTTAATACTATCTCTCTACATGGATTTTACAAATAATTATTGTTGGAATATAAGTTATATGTTGTATATTTGAGAGTAGATTTTGTATCTAGCCACCCTGCTGTGCTCTTAGAGTTCTAATAATTTTCAGATTCTTTTGAATTCTATATGTAAAAAATCATGTCATCTGCAAAATCTGATAATCTTGAGTTTCCTTTTCCAATTCTTAAAACCATTTTCTTGTCATAGCTTGGGCTATGTATATCTATGGGTAAAATTCCTTCTCTTTACTTTTGCTTTATTTTTGTTCCTTTTTCTAGCTTGCTGTATGAAACTCTTAATCAATTTCCAGACTTTCTCATCTTCTTTTTTTATTTTATTTTTATATGGGACACCATGAATTTTCATGCCATCCTTACACACGGGCCACGCTAATCTTCTCTGTATCATTCCAATTTTAGTATATATGCTGCCAAAGTGGGCGCTCTTATTTTCTAATATAAGTATCTAAGTAACTTCTAAATGCTGCTGAAACTCATATCCTCATATCCACTCATATCCTCATGACTATTTTTTTACTTCAATTCTACACTCTGATATTAGCATTGTTCTAACACCTTTGTTTTAATTAGTATTTGCCTATTTTTCATCCTTTTATTTTGAACCTTAAAAGTTTGTTTTTGTCTTGTGTCTTTTTTAAATGGCATATTGCTTGACTTTGTTCATATTAACAATGTAAAATTTTCTGTTTCCTAATAGATGAATTTAGTTCATTTTATATTGTGAATTGTTATATGTTTATCTAAATGTTTCCAATTTATATTGTGTTTTCAACTTACAGTACTATGCTCTGTTCTTTCATTTTTAAATCTTCTTTTCTACCTTCTGCTGGTATATTAGAATTCCTTGTTTCTTTTGTTTTACTTAGTGTTTTTCTGGATTTTGTTTTATGTATCCTGATATTTGTAACATGTGTACTATTTAATTTTTCTTTAAAAATTAAAGATAATCGGTATCTTCTTCCAAGACTAGATAATAACTTTTATTTGACCATCTTCCCTCCAAACTACTCTTTCCAAATTCTCCATCTTGTTTGTGGTATTCTTTTTAAAGACAAAATAATTATTTATTTTCACAATTAATTATTACTTAGACTTACAACAATATTTCAGCATTGTTTTTGCTTAACATTATTTGCTACATCCTGTGTCTTTTCTCTTCTATTTCTTGCCCAAATACAATCCTTTACTGGTTCTTTAAACTCTACATGTATGTGAAAAATTTTCTAAGCCTTCATATGGCTGAAAATAGCTTTACTTCACCTTCAGCCTTAAATGAAAATTTAGCTAGGTATAGAATTGAACATTATTTTCCCTCTGTACTTTGAAGATTTATTCCATTTGCTTGTTGTTTATTATTTATTATTGTTGATAAGAATCTATCACTAGTTTGATGTTTGTTCCTAAGTAAATATATTTTCAAGATTCTCTTTATTTTTGTGTTCTGCATTTAATTATAATGTTTATAGGTGTGAGATTAACTTTTTATGAGTGTGAGGTTATCCTGAGCAGGATAAATGAAGTGAATCTCACACCCACAATGGAAAATCCTGAATGCTTCCATTTACTCTGAGCAGGATAAATGAAGTTAATCTCACACTCATAAACATTCAAGAGTTTCCATTCTGTGGACTCAATCTTTCTAATTACAGAAAAATTTAACTTTAATTGCTATGAATTTTGCCCATATTTATATCTATATCTAACAACAAACTGTAGTCTCTACTTCTAAAATTACTATGTATGTAAAGATTTTCCTTCCATCTTTCAGATCTTGTGACTTCTCTTTTATATTTCTTATCTGCACTGATTAAGTTAGCCCCGGATCTTAAAATCTCAGTGGTTTTCCCTAATAGAATTTTATTTCTTACTTATGAGAAGTCCAAAACAGGAATTCCAGATTGGCGGATGGCCCTTCTCTCAGCAGTGTCTTAGGCACTCAAATTCATCTTAACTAATGACTCCACCATCTTCAAATAATGGCTCCTAAGTTCATCATGTTAGTCCACCTTAAGTGAACAGAAAGAAAAAAGCTTGAAGATCATGAGTGGATGACTTTACAAACAAGCCTGGATGACTTTCATATCACTTCTAACAACATTAGATTGGCTAGAACTCAAGCATATAGCCACACCTAACTACAAGGGAATTTTGGGGAAATAGTCAACCACGTTGTATTAGTTTTCTATAGCTGCTCTAACAAATTACCACAAACTTAATGGCTTAAAACAACACAAATTTATTATCTATCAGTTCCATAGGTTATAAATCTGTCATATATGTCTCCCTGGACAACAATCAGGTTGTCAGCAAGACTGCATTCTTTCTGGAGGTTCTAGGAACAAATCTGCTTCCTTGCTTTTTCAGCTTCTAGAGGCTGGCCACATTCCTTGGTTCATGGCTCCCTTCTTCTATCTTCAAAGTGAACAAAAATGAATCAAGTCCTCACATCACACCATTCTGCCCTTCTTCCACTGTAGTACCTCTTTCTCTTACTCTCTTTTATCTCCCTCTCCCACTCTTAAAAATCTTTGTGATTATATTAGGCCCACTCAGATATACCAAAATCATCATCCTATTTTAAGGTCAGCTGATTAGCAACTTTAACTTCATCTGCAATATTAATTCCCTTTTTCCATGTAACCTAACATATTAAACAGGAAGATAATCCCAGGTTCTTACAATGCATGAGGCCTATGGCCTTGATTTCTGCTGGTGATCAGGTGTTTAAGCCTCAGTCCCCCAATAAGGTATCACATGGGTGGTAAAACTTCTCATTCATTACCAAGAATATGGGTTCCTTCTTGATATATTTTTCTTGAATATATTACTTCTCTTTTTAGTTTTCAAGCTCAGCTCTACTTTATAAACTTTAAAAAATACCATGTTCAAAGTAATCACTTAAAGGAGAGGATGAAATATTCCCCTCAATAGCAAGCACCCTTTCAGTAAGCCCCGAGGTTCTAAATACTTTCACTACTTTGACTCTTTAGCTTCTAATATTATTCAAGAACTTCCTGATTTGGTCTCTTGCTATTCTTCACCTCCATAGGGCACAAGTGAATTTTGGAAAGTGGAAACCCCTGTTGAAGCAGTTAGGTGGTAATTGTTTGGTGTAACAAAAAATCTTTTCGAACAAAGGGAAAACAGAAAATTAAGGAGAGAGAGGAAGAGGTGGAGGAAAGGTAGAGAAGGAAAGAACAGAGCAGCAGAATCACCAATGAAAGAAGACTTATAGGGACAGAAAAATGTCCTCAGATTGAGAAACTAGCAATCTCCAAAAATATTTTTATTCTCTTACCAAAATTGAAAGACAGGTTGCATAGATCTTGTAGTCCCACCTTACCACAAAAGTATTGGAATCCATATGTAGATATCCAGCTGCTCACCACATTGCATTGCAATTGATACCAGGAAATAAGTTGTGACTCATTTCTATCCTCTTTTCCACAACCTTTCTGCAATATAGTGTCTATGGCATCTAAGTTCTCCCTGGGACAAACAGAACTCATTCTTCTTTTGATGTGTTTTATTTTAGCACTGTCTCGATCAAGTATTGGTAAGTTCCTTTACTTTTCTTCAATTCTGCTGACATTTAGCCCCAGTTAATCAAGAGGATATCTTCCTAAACTTCCCAGACTTCTTCGCTGCAGCACAGCAGAAGCTTAAGCTTCACATTTCTCCAATTTCTTTGTTCTCCATAACCAGACACTTCAATAATCAGTCAAAAGTAAATGCAAGTTTCTAGTGGTTTATTATGATGACATGAAGAGAGCAATTTCCAAACCTGAAGTGTTGGGAAAACAGAGTAAATAAAGGATAAGAGCAAAAAGTTAGTAAGAAAAATAAGATGAGGATGAGGATAATATAGAATGAGGGATAAATGATATTAGCTGTGTCCTCAGAATTTTAAAGCTTTACATGGCTAGCACGAAAGGGCAGCCTTCCTTGAGGCATCCCCAAGTCAGGCTGGCAGCAATGGAAGAGATGGCTAATTCCCTATCCCCCTGAGCTGCAACTGACACTAAGGGTTTGGTGCTCCCAGGCGTTCCTGGTTCTGATACTCATTCCTGCCCTGTCCCCTGCAAAAAAAAAAAAAAAAAGAAAGAAATGGATAGTTTTTGAGCCAGACAACCACATGAATTTTTTGTTTATATTTACTTTTAGGAGAGCAAGGAGGGAAATTTCATATTTCCAAATTCTAAGTCTCTTTAGTGTGTCACAGAACTAAGGAACATTCCCTAACCCTGCTGAGATTTTGTCCCTCACCTCCTTTTCCTTCCCCATCATTGAGCATTTTGTCTAAAATTAATGAGAACTTCGAAGAATGAGAAGTCCACCGATTAAAGAATAAAGAGAGGATTAAAATGGTTTTAGCTGGCAATCATAGTTTCAGCAAAACAGTAATAAATTCATTAACTTAGGAATAGGAGGGAAGAAGAGAGAGGCTTGTGAAGAGATCAGGGAATGGGAGTAGGGGACAAGGAGAGGTTTGTAATTAAAGCAAGTCATCTTTCTTGACTATTTACAGATATTACACATGAGGAAAAAATGAAATTTAAAGATATTATTTAACTTGACCCAAGGCATATAGCTAGCAAAAGAGTAAAACTGAGGTTCTAAACACTGGCCTTTGGACTCCAAGTCCTGAGGTTGTCCAACTACCCCCAGGACATCATTAAATGTATTTACTCTTCCAATCCAAAGTATTCTTTGGAAATAAAATGTTTGTTCCAAGGAATTTAGAAAATCATGCATATGTTAAAAATATATTACTTCAATTTTTAAAATGTAATTTGAAAATCTTAAAATGTAAATTAATATAAAATATCAGAATTAGTGTGCTAATCCAATACTGTGCCATAACCTTATCCCATGAATAAGGCTGTTTTGTTGTATATACAACTGTGAACAGGTGCCCTTAGAAAGCTATCAAGCTCAATATTTTATTACTTTTATAATTAAAACATGTTTTATCTAGTTTTACTTTGTTTGCATCTAACTTATGGAAAGGGTAAAATATTTGGGAGTTGAAACATGCTAAACAATAAACTCAAATCTTCAGTTTCTTCAGCAAAATCTGCAGAGGACCCATGTGAGACAGGCTTGCCATAAAAACCCTCCAAAGGGGAAATCATTTAGAGCACTGCAGCTGCTATACCTAAGACAACATAAGTATTTCACAGACAGCATAGATTCTAGTGAGGTAAGACAGAAAATAAACACATAAGCAAACAAATACAATGATTTCCCTTTCTAGATAATTCCTACTATGATTACTAGACTATCATAGTAAATTCTACGGAGAAAACAAATTAAGATAATATGATAGAGCAAGACCAAGAAGTGAGGGCCTTTAGCTAGGAGATTAGAAGAAATTTCCCTGAGGAGATATCTGAACTGACTCTGAATGGCGAAAAGCTGGCAGCCACAGGAGGATCTTAGGGAAGAGTATCTCAGGCAGAAAGAACACCAAGTTCCTCAGAGGGGAAGAAGAGTAGCATGTATGAGAGATTGCGGGAAGGCCAGTTGTGAAAGATCGTGGAGGAGTTTGAAAGGTAGGGAGAGGCCAGATCACAAAAAGTCTTTTAGAATAAAATATGGAGAACAATTCTGAGCACCACAATAAGCCATTGTTTTCATCAGGGAAGGGATAAAGCCACATTTATGCTTTAAAAAGGCAACCCTGGCTTCTGGTAGAGAATGAAATGGGAGAGAATGACCATCATATTTATTTATGATGGCAAGAAGGAGAGAGGTACAGAGTAAAGTCTCATATGTGCTTCAAAGACAACAGGAGTTTCTACTGGAGAAGACTGTTCGGAAACAGCAATGGGGAGCAAAAATGACATTTACCTATATTCAGGCATGTATATGGGTATGGATTTTTTCTAAAACAAACGTACAAAAAACCAGACATCACAGCCTCAACAACAGAGTGAGACCCTGTCTCTACAATGAATAAAAAATTAGCCGGCATGGTGGTGTGCACCTGTGGTCCCAGCTACTTGGAAGGCTGAGGTGGGAGGATCACTTGAGCCCAAGAGGTCAAGGCTACAGTGAATTGTGATTACGCCACTGCACTCCAGCCTGGGTGACAGAGTGAGACCCTGTCTCAAAAAAAAAAAAAATCTAAGAGGGCTGTAAGAGACATGGTTTTTTAAAAATGTTATAATTTTTAATTGACAAAATTGTATATATTTATGGTATACAACATAATGTGTTGATATATGTATACATTGTAGAATGACTAAATCAAGCTGTTAACATATCCATTTCCTCACATACTTTTTGTGGTAAGAACACTTAAAATCTACTCTCTTAGCAAATGTCAAGTATAACACATTATTAACTACGATCACCATGTTATACAATAGATCTCCTGAAAGTATTCCTCTCATCTAACTGCAATTTTGTATGCTTTGAGCAACATCTGAGATAAGTATTTTTTTAAAAAATTGAGATAGAATCTCACTCCGTTACCCAGGCTGGAGTGCAGGGTGCAACCTCGGCTCGCTGCAACTCCACCTCCCGGGTTCAAGCGATTCTTGTGCCTCAGCCACCCAAGCAGCTGGGATTACAGGCGTGCGCCACAATACCCAGCTAATTTTTGTATTTTTAGTAGAGACAGGGTTTTGCCATCTTGCCCAGGCTGGTCTTGAACTCCTGGCCTCAAGTGATTTGCCCTCCCCGGCTTCCCAAATTGCTGGGGTTACAGGCATGAGACACCGCACCCAGGCTTGAGATACAGTATTTTAAAAGACAGGAATATTAAAGCAAGACGGTGAAGAAAACGTTTGGAGAAGTTAAAGATACAGGAAAATTTGCTGATATGAATTTCAGACAGCATGGTGTGTTTTAGGGAGTAAGGAGAGGTGGAAGGAACGTCCGATTAGGAATTATAAAAAGCATTATGATAATAAGCATCCTTAAGATGAGGAATTGTCTTTGGATGGTGAGTAAATTAAATGAGGATATGACACATTTTGGGATTAATCTCAAAGGATGATGAGTAATTAGTTATGTAGAGTATTTAGCTGAAAGATGCATAGGGCCACAGGAAGCTATTCATCCCTGAAGCTCAAGATGACGTGTGGTCCTACAGAATGGATGAGGCCCTCTTGAGAGATAATTCTCATAGGCAATTCACTGGACTGTGATAACTCGAGAAAGGGCCTCTCAAACCAGGACCTCAAAGGACTTGATCCTATTATTTCCTTGAAAATCTTGAACTAGCGTAGTGCCCAAGATAGAGGAGACTATGGTCCATTACCCATACATGTATAAAAAGATAAGGACTGCAATCTGAAATGATGATATAATAATATGTGTTGAGCATTATGCTCCAGGCTCTGTCCTAAACATTTTTTCTTCATAATAATCCTAGAAAGTAGATATTATAAATCCTATTTTTAAAATGAATAAACTTAGGCATAAAAAAAAAAACAGGCAGAGTAACACAGCTAGTAAGTAGAGGAACCAGAATTCAAACCCAAGCATTCTAGTAGTTGATGGCCCATTGTACTTAATGAGACCTAATCAAGGGTCCCCTTTCTAAAATGATTTCGGTGAGAATTATATACTTTATAAACCAATTAACTCAGACGGATGTGAATTTTTATTATTATTCCTCAGTGCCAATTCCAGGAACCGTATTTCAGTTTATTTTCTATTTCTCAATTTAGGAAAGAGAAATGAGAGCAAACAGATAATAAGAAGGGAGCACATAGGGAAACTACAGAAAGTTTAATCAAGACTAAGGTCCTCCACCTGAAAAAGAAAAAAAAAAAAAAAGACTAAGGGCCAAGCATGGTGGCTTACACCTGTAATCCCAGCACTTTGGGAGGCCAAAGTAGGAGGATCCTGGAGGCCAGGAACTCAAGACCAGCCTGGACAACATAGTGAGGCTCTGTCTCTACAGAACAATTAAAAGAATCAGTAGGGCATGGTGGCATGCCTGTAGTCCTAGCTACATGGGAGGCTGAGTTGGGATGATCACTTGAGCCCAGTAGTGAGAGGTTATAGTGAGCTATGCAACCACTGAACTTCAACCTGGGCAACAGAGTGAAACCCTGTCCCCCCCACCCCAGCCCCCCAAAAAAAACCTAAGGTCTTCCAAGTTCCCTTAACAGTTTCAGTCTTTACAAAGGCTGAGAAGAAAAGGAAAAGGGAATCACCTTCTCTGCTCATCATCAGTCCTACATGTCATTCTGGGCCTCGGCCACACCACCAAAATATAAGATGCCTAAACAATCCATGAAAAAATCACACTACAGCTGGCATAGAGGATTTGATGCTCCCTGGTGAGGGTAGTGTGAGGGATTTTTTTTCTGATCTTCTTTTCAAAGGGGGATTAACGCTGATGCTTTTAAGCAATTGACGTGCACTTAGAGATGTGGGTATCTAGCACAATTTACAAGGGAATTGAGCAAGTTCTTGGTTGTTTCAGTACCATAAACGCTTGTTTGTCTAGGGACCTTGTCCTCCTTATTTACCTCTTTCTAGGCAGGCCCTATTTCTAGAAAGTCAGCCTTTTTGCTTCTCCTACCAAAACTTACCCTAAGGCTAAAAGGCCCAAGAACACAGGGCTTTAGTTTGTGAATTTAGCCTCATTGAATCATAAAAGTTGAGCAGAAGAAAAATTATTAAACCCTGTCATTGATCGACTGTTGTGGGGTGGGGGTTGGGGGGAGGGGGGAGGGATAGCATTAGGAAATATACCTAATGCTAAATGACGAGTTAATGGATGCAGCACACCAGCATGGCACATGTATACATATGTAACTAACCTGCACATTGTGCACATGTACCCTAAAACTTAAAGTACAATAATAATAAAATAAAATAAATTAATTAATTAAATTAAATAAATGCAGTTCCAAAAGATGGTGAGAATTATCAAACTTTGCATAGTCATTTAACAGTCAATGTAAGACAAATAAGACTAATGCCCAGACTTTCTCCACTGAATATAGTGAGGGTTCATTCTATGGTAGCTTGTACAAATTACTATCAAAGTTAATATCATTAAACCTTCTACAAGTCTTGCCCTAGAATTTAGGTTATTTTACAAGAGAAACATTTTAGAGCTGAACAAAAAGAACAGAAACAAAATGTTGGAGAGGGAAGATGGTCAGTACGTTAAAGAAAAAAATGTTTAAGGAATATTCAGAAAGAAGAGAAAATTGTAAAGAATATGAAGGAAAACGTGCTGAACTTAAAGTCAAGCAAACTGGAAGCTAAAACTGCCTTTAATTTTTTGCATACTCAGGCACAGCCCTTCCCTTTCTCAATCTCGGTTTTCTTTTCTTATAAAACTAGAACCTTTGTAACATTGCCTTTCTTTGGTTCTTGAGGCTATCACATTAGGGAAAGAAGACTCTCCAAACTGAAAAGATGAAAGAAAGAGGGAGGGAGAAACGGAAAAGACAGGAGAAAGGTGGTGAATGAAATCAGAATATTGGAAATATAGTAAAGCTGAATATTCCCCTGAAACTTTCACTCCTGCATAGTGTCTAAGGGGGAAAAGACATGGGATCACTTGCAAGTGTGGCCACTTTATGAGCCTACCTACAGGCGAATGGAAAGTCTAATAACCTGAGGGAGGACACTATTTCTGGGAAGACTTTTGGGAAATTGATGGATTATTGAAACTTTAGACTGACTTGAATAATTGTTATTGTTCTTTAGCTTTACCTCAAGGATCCATGAGTAAGTTTATCTTCTTGTTTCAAACTCTCGTGTTGTTGGGCTCCTATACTAGGCAGAGGACTTCTCCCTGTCTTAACTATTTCCTGTTTCCTGCTATGTCAGGGTGAAAGGGCTTAAGACTCATAATTCTCCACCTTGTCCTTCATTAGCCATCTTAACTGGATCATGCCCACCTTTCTCACATTTCCCCCTCTCTAAGACAATGAGACCTTCCACCTTGCTTAAGCAAATTATTTTATTCTTGCCTTTGACCACATCCTCTCACCCCCTTATTTCTTCAGAAGTCATTTCTTCTCTCTTCTACATCTTTAAATATTTTCCTTCCTTTAATTGCTTCTCCTTAAGGTATAGAACAGGTTTGATTTTCTTCCATCTTAAACAGATCCTCCCTTGACTATGTCCCTCTCTAATCACAGCCTACCTTCAAGGGAGGAAATTATGCTGTACACTCTGACTGTAGGCTTAGGAAAAAGTTATTGCTCACTTCGTATCTGAACTATACACTATTTCTCCATGAATTGAGAATAATATAATAAGACCTACTAAAAAATCACTTTTAAAATAAATTTGCTTGTTAATTATTTTCAATTTACAGAGGACTATTGCCTAGCAGTTAAGCATGCAGACTCTAGAGCCAGGCTAACTGGAGTTGTATCCCAGCTCCCTACTTACTATTTATTTGAACATAGGCAAGTTATTTAATCTCTCATTAAAATTTCAAGTCCGTTACATAACTAATTTCAACAACCAGTTGAAAATTAATCAAATAAAAGAACAGAGAAGAGGCTGGGCACCATGGCTCACGCCCGTAATCATGACACTTTAGGAGGCTGAGGCAGGTGGATCACCTGAGGTCAGGAGTTCGAGACCAGCCTGCTGAAACCCCGTCTCTACCAAAAATACAAAATTAGTTGGGCGTGGTGGTATGCTCCTGTAATTCCAGCTACTCGGGAGGCTGAGGCAGGAGAATTGCTTGAACCTGGGAGAGGAGGTTGCAGTGAGCCAGGATCGCAACACTGCCATCCAACCTGGGTGACAGAGTGAGACTCCATCTCAAAAAAAAAAAAAGAACAGAGAAGTGAGGGAAGCTGGAAAAAATGAATGGAGAAGGGAGGAAAACCAAAGAGGTAAAGTTTAAATAAACCTTCTGAAACTGATTTCAATTGATTGTCAAAAAGAAAAAAAAAAGAACACATTTTCTAAATGAAGGGAAGACTGTGACAGGAATGAGGAGGAGGGAAGTGAGGAAATCGGCAAAAAATCCAAAACAGATAATCCTGACTGGACAGGGTTTTTTTTCTGATCTATGTGCTTTTCCTACAAAAGTTTTCATACTGACTATTACATTTGTGGTTGCATATTAGGGTCACATTTCCTACTAGCAAAGTTGTTTCTTGTTCAAAGATGGAATTAAATATATCATATTTCATTATTTTTTCTAAAAGGTATCAAAACTTCCAGATGCTTCACAATCTGAACAAGTTTATTACTCACAGGTTTTAATTAAATGTGATCCAACCAATACCTATCCTTAAAGTAACGAAAAGGAAGGGATTCACTTGCCCTATCCCAACTCAGGCCGCAACCATATGATACTGATTTCAAAGTGCACTGTTGTTGAAGTATAGATGGTGCTCACTTAAATCTCTTCTCATCTGAAAACGGAGCTCCCAAATTAGCCACCACTAGCCCAGTGCCACCTATAGATGTGTTTTGTTTCGTCAGGATGGTATTATTTTAAATTTTGAATTTGAATGCCTCTGGGTAGGGCATGGACTTTTCACCATCTCTATCCCTTATAACTAGCAGATTCACAATCATGAGACCTGCTGGGCCCCTTAATGCAACTGAGTTTGTGATCGATCCCCACAGAGATAATCAGGAATTCTGTCTGGTATGGAAAATGTGGTACTCTCTAAAAGAACTAACTCTGATGCTCCCATTAGGAAGAATATCCACAGAGACAATGTCCTTAATCCAAAACACACAATATTCAGTATTTTGGCAGGATAAGTACATCGTAAGTTTTTTTTATCTTCTTCTTTACTCTGTAAGGCAACAAGTAAATACCTTCCACTGCCCTGCTTATTTGTCTTCAGCTGGGAAACGCCACAAAATACTCAGTTCAAGAATTTCCTTTCTTGGCCCAGTATGGAGGCTCACACCTGTAATCCCAGCACTTTGGGAGGCCGAGGTGAGGGGATCACTCAAGGCCAGGAGTTTGAGACCAGCCTGGCCAACATGGTGAAACCCCATCTCTACTAAAAATACAAAAATTAGCCGGGCGTGGTGGCACATGCCTGTAATCCCAGCTACTCAGGAGGCCGAGGCACAAGAATGACTTCAACCCAGGAGGTGAAGGTTGCAGTGAGCTGAGACTGTGCCACTGCACTCCAGTCTGGGTGACAGAGAGAGATTGTCTCAAAAAAAAAAAAGAAAGAAAAATTCCTTTCTCCTCATTATTCCATATTACTTTAGGTCAGGAATGGAATATATATGACCTGTGTTACATTTCTGCTCATGCCTTTGCCTGTGGCAGAAATCAGTAATTGATCATGATTCTCTTTCCTGCTCAGCTCACATGTATCCTAAAATTCTTGTCATCTCCAGATAGTCATTAATAATTGATCAAAATTAAATATGCATAACTCAAGTATACTTGTCACTCCTACCATAGGTTAATATCTTAAATCTTAAAAAATTAAGTATATGAAAACTGTCCTTTTAAAATTATCTTTATTTGGTGGTAGGAGTGGCTTCACCTTCTCAAGAAACTGACAGTTCAGTGATTGACGGCCTAAAATACCACATAGAAAAACAGACATCTCTTCCCAAATGCTGAGGGTAGATCCTGTCATTTCTGGGGAAAGCTACTATTTCCCTCCCCAAAACAGCAAAGTAACAAATAAGGGAAAAATAATTATACACAAAGAAGGAAACAAATTATTCAATTACTTTAAGAAAAAAAATTGCAAAATTTTCAACATCTTAAAATATGATTGGTTATTTCTCAAGACAGAAGCAACAGAGATTAAAATGACATAATTAAGGTACTAAGGTACACAAGAAGATAGGGTTGTTTTAAAGATTAAAATAACAGAAATTAATAAATCAAAAATAAAAACAGAATTAAGTGCACATTATAATGCTCTGCTGTCAGGACTCAGAACTTTCCAAAGGACAGTCAGAAATAAGAGGAAAAATTAAAGCAGAAAAAAGTAAAATATAAAGTAGCTTACTACTTTGCCGAAGTGTTTCATTCATTTATAGTTACTGAATATTTCTTTCCATAACATTTCTAATACAACTTTTCATCTTTCCCTTCTGTTATTACTCCTGATTTTTCACTGCAACTTCACAATATAGGTAAGACAGAGGACACAACTTCTGTTTTAGAGATGAGGAAATTAATGTTCAAAACATTTAGTGACTTGCCCAAAATCACAGAGCTAGAGAATAGCAAAAGTCGGACTCAGCTCTTTAACCTCAAGACTGTTTGTACCACACCTGAGGAGGGGGAGGAGGGAATGGGATTGTCTATCTCCATGCCTTCTGAAAGTCTAAATCTAAGTAATGTTACACTTTTCAATTTTTATTATAGGTAGTATAAAATGTTTACAAACAACTGAAGAACTTCCTTGTAAGTTTCCCATATATACAACTCAGTCCTTTTTTTACTGACACCTAATAATTGTACAAATTTATGGGATACATGTGATATTTTGATACATGCATACCATGTGTAATGATTTTGATCTTCTATAATGTGCCTGCTACCAGAGGAATGGGGAAGGTGGTGAGAAAGCACATAAAGATGGAGGAAAGGAGAAAAACTTGCAATTTTACTGTTCTCTCTTTTACCAGTGTGAGGAATTTGAGGCTGATTTCAAGATCCTCTAAGTGACTGATTAATTTTTTCATTTAACAAAGTGGAAATTCTTATAATAAAAACTAGATTAATTAATGAAATTGTGAAAAAGATTCTGGGGCCAGGGAAAATTATCTATAACCTTTAGAAGGATTTGACAGCAGGAAGATAATGAAAATTAAGAATAAGAAAAATAACTGCAGGGAGTATGATTTTAACAGTCTCCTAAGGAAAAAAGGAAAATGCCTACTTACCTTCTTGCTGCCTTTCCATGTAAATCAAATATGTAGTAAATGCTTGATCTGAAACTCCCTGAGATAAACACCCTTGAGTCATGCTCTCTTCAAACTCACCTTTTTTGTTTGTATTTTAGCCAGAACTGCAGGAGCCATGAGTAAGTTCTTTTTCTGCCCTTTAATTCTCATGTGCTTTGCTTTACTAAACTGTTAGAATATGTAAGACACTCATATTCCTAGATTTTTTTATTTCTTTCACAAATTGTCCATTCCTTTCCCCTTGTTTATTCCCTATTCTTATCTTAATAAACTGGGGTGCCTCTGTAAGAAAGTACTATTGCCTTTAACTTTTCCGAAATCTTGAGATTCAACAGCAAAGGGAAAAGAGTGAAGAACAAAAAATGGTCAAGTGAAAGGAAGAAAGATTCCCCTGTGAGAAAACCCAGTAACACTCAAAGAAAGAGGCTTGATGGTGGCCATTCTACTTAAGACCCGCCAAGAAAATTTCAGTGACATGCAGTGAGTCCCAGCTCACTGACCGAGGATCCCAGACTGTCACTGATGTTTGTGTGGGATGTATATCCCCTGTTATGAACAAAGAATAAATCTGAAATAAGTATCCAGATAGAATTTTAAATGAAACTGTAGCATGTATCTCTGGAAGAAGCACTGGTTGGGAATAGAGAATAAGGAATAAGTGAGAGGAAGTTGATTTAAAAAGGAAAAAAAATGGTAAATGGAAACAATGACTTTTATATGATCTGAGATTTTGCCAGCCCTTTATGGCCTTGATGCTTAAAGTGGGTCCAAGGGCCTGCATCAATGTCACCCTGGAGTTTTAGATATGCAGAGTCTCAGCCTATTGCCCACCCCGACCTACTAAATCAGACTTTGCATTTTAATAAGATTCCCAGGTGATTTGCGTGCATACCAAAGTTTAAGAACCATTGCTCTACAGGATTTTAATTCTCTGCCCTGAGAGAGGAAATAAAAAGATGAATGCACTTGGTCCAAATTTAACCAGCTTTTCCAGCCCTGCAGATTCCCCACACCAAGAGTGACCTTAAAGCCAAAGACAAGAAAGATGAAACTCATCAGGGTTTCATTCACTTCTTAACACATTTCTATCCTTCATTTTTGAGGATGTTCAGAGCTTGAGCCCCTGAGACAGGACTAACTCTGAAGGAAGGAGAAAAAAAGTGATTTGATAATTAAAGCTCATGTTATATCACATCCTGTGTCTACTCCTCTTGGAGTATTTACACAAATGGAACATTATTAAAATAATCAAGTCAAACTTTGAGAGCAAATACTGGGTAGGTATCATAAAAGCACATATTAGGCCAAGCACAGTGGCTCATACATGTAATCCCAGCACTTTGGGAGGCCAAGGTGAGAGAATCACTTATAGCCTATGAGGTGTAGAGAGGTGTGGTGGGGTGTGTGTGTGTGTATGTGTATGTGTGTGTGTGGTCATAAAGAAGAAGACTGTTACTGCATTATTAACAAGTATGTGGGTCTAGTGTCTCAATTCCTTTGCCCACCACTCATACCTATAAATGTCTTAAGTCAACCTAGCAGTTTCTATTCCCTTTTACATGGCAGGCCAAGTTACTCTGTTGAATAAGGGCCAAAATCACTACAGAGACAGCAATTCCCACTGTCTCCTTCAGATGAGGCTATAGATTCTAGCTAAGCAAGTTCAAATTAGCCAGCTGGAAGACAGGCAATGGCCTGTGTAATCTCCTGAGATACAAGCAGGACACCCGTCAGGAAAGGGGAAGGAACACTGCCTGACCAAATGTGCGTCTCCACAGTTCCAGCTGGCAGATTCCACCAGTAACCGGGATCCTCCAAGATGAAGAAAGAAGCATTTATAAACTTTATTTGTTCCTCCACTGAAGTGGAAATTTTGCTCCTGGTGTCTACATTTGTGATGTTTTCCCAGGAAGAATTTAAATGCAAACAGTATTTTCTCATTAGTTCTATTTTGTTTTTTCCATATTTTAACTGGAACTATTAGACCTATAAGTGAGTTCCTTTTCTGTTTCCTCTAATGTTCTTTGGCCTTCTGTAGGATATAGGGTCCTCTCCACATCCTAACTGTTACCATTTCTACCCCTGCAGGATTTCTCACTCATACTTCTTAATTGTATTCAAATTTCTGACACCTTCTGATGCCCAAGCAATCAGACACAATATCCTGAATTGCTACTGAGTTTAGGACAAGGGAAAGCCAAATAATTCATGTTTAAAACTGTAGTTTATTTTAATTATTTATATTTATTATTTTTAGTTACTTAAATTTCTCATTTAAGATGGATGCTGAATGATTTGATCTGGTAGGAGGGTTATGCAGCTTCCAGGCTAAGATCATCTGCAGTCCCACAGTAGTTGTTCTCCTCTGGTTGAATTGCTTCATAGTTTCTTTAGAAACAATACTGGTAAAATGAAAATTCTATTAATGTCAAACCACACTTTCCTCCTTTTTGTATTTCAGTGCAATTCACAGCCCCTATTCGTAAGTATCAAGTTTGTTTTTCCACTCTGGTCCCTTTGATATCTGACCTACAAGGTCTTGGGGCCTGATCTGCCCTGCATTTTTAAAAATAATTTCAACTTTTATTTTAGATTCCGGTGGTGCATATGCAGGTTTGCTAATGGGTATATTGTGTGATGCTGAGGTTTAGCGGTGACTTGCTTTTTTAACACTGTCTTTCTCAACTCCCCTGGCATTCCTATTACATAGTTTCCAAAGAGGCCATGCACGAAGTGTTAAGAAATCTCACAGGCTAACATTTAAAAATATAAACCAAAACAGCCCTCTTAGAAATAGTCATAATGATCCATCAGCAAGGGAAGGTACACCTTTCAAATAAACTATGTCTCTAAGGAAACTAGGGGCAAGGGGCAAGAAAATGTAAGAAGAAAAATAGAGGCATAACAGATTAATATGGAGTGAGTCTTTCCCAACCCTCTGAAGATTTTCAACCATCACTGAAAGCAGGAGGAGGCCTCCATTCCTGTAGGTCCCTTATATTGTGCAGGGAGCCTGCCTGAGGCTTGCCATACAAGCAACTCTTGATCTTCCCGTTGTTTCTATTTATGATACTCCCTAGAGCGAGTGTTGGGAAATGGAAATTTCCTTCACAGTGGTGAAGCATACTGATATCTTTTTCTTTCTCCCTCTTTCTCTCTCACAGCCGGAGCTACAGGACCTATCAGTAAGTTTGCTCTCTGATTCTCCACAGTGAGCATTTTACTTTCCTGCAGTATCTTAGGGATCGCTACCTGGTTTCCATGTTGGGATTTCAAGGGTTTGGAGTTCACATTTTCTTCAACCCTTATTTTTCTTCAACCTAGCATTTCAGTAAGTCATGATTAGCTGTGTGAATGTACACTTCACCAATAAAAACAAACTACAAAGTGGAGAATGAACCCTTGCAGATTTCCAATGGCTTCTCAGCATCACACAAGGGATTTTTAGATGAGGAGGCCCTTATATGTACTAGTTTGCCATAGCAAGAAAGTCACCATTTCTACTACTCAACTGCAGCTGAACTTGACAATAGTGATGCAGATTCCTACTAGGGAAAGTATACAAATTAAAGTATATAAATAAAAAGTATATATAAAATATATATATAGCTACTGATTTCTTTTCTCTTTTTTTTTTAGAGCTCTCTCAAAAAACCATTGGTAAGTCATCTGATTCTCAATTATAATGCCTTTTAGTACTTTACTTAGAACATCAATCTATTTTTATTTCAATTATTCATGCCCAAGGACTCAAGGATCAAGTCCTTCTGCCACCTCATAATCTCACCCAGTACTCCAGATTGGATTCATCCAGGTTCTGCAATAAAAATATATTAACTATGAAGCTGAAATGCAAAGTGAAAAATATCCTGCTAGAGATGGTCCTAAGCTGTTTCCACTTCAGCATATAATCTAGCTCTGTAGAGCCAATACTTAATAAAGACTTAGAACCCAGCACCTAAACTTCCTGCTGTGCTTTCCATGCAAATAATTTTTCCATTATTAGATTATCTTCACTTTGTAAAATAATGCAAATTTTAAGTTTCCTTTCTTTATTTTTTTTGAGATGGAGTCTCGCTCTGTCATCCGGGCTGGAGTGCAGTGGCATGATCTCCATTCACTGCAAGCTCCAACTCGTGGGTTCACGCCGTTCTCCTGTCTTAGCCTACCGAGTAGCTGGGACTACAGGCACCCACCACCACGCCCGGCTAATTTTTTTGTATTTTTAGTAGAGATGGGGTTTCACTCTGTTAGCCAGAATGGTCTCGATCTCCTGACCTCGTGATCCGCCCGCCTCAGCCTCCCAAAGTGTTGGGATTACAGGCGTGAGCCCCCGCGCCTGGCCTTCCTTTCCTTTCTAATTGCCCTGAAAAGTTCTCTCCAGAAGAGTTAGGCTCTATTTTCAGCAACTTTTAGCAACCTAGTCACATTCTTTGAGTGATCCCTATAATGTCTTACTACTGTTTTTTTAACCCTCGCGTACATTACTTTGTTGCATCTAAACAACATTCAAATGGCAATGAGTAAGGCAGTTATTATCCCCATATTTAGAGATGAGGAAACTGAGGGTCAGGAGTCATTTCTCAAAAAAATAAGAGGATGGGTTAGTTAATAAAATTAAGACTGAAGTTTTACTAACTCTTCATTCTTTCCACTATCATTTTTGGGTGTTATAACAGGTTATTAACAATGAATAAAATGAAGTTCTAATATTGAGATTAAAGGGTAGTAAAGGCCTAGAGGAGAAAAAGTGAGAGAATGAGTAACACAAATAATAACAGATACAGAATGAAGATGCAGTTTAGAAAGAGATAAATAGGAGAAAATTGAAAAAGAACAAAAGTAGGAAGAAAATTGGAAGCAGAAAGAGTAAGTGAATTGGCACATAAGAGAATAAAGAAGGGAAATGAGTATGTTGAGAAAGAGAATAAAAATAAAGGTACAAAAAGTCACAAATTGAAACCGGAAAGGAAGGAAGAAAATATAGAAAAACTGAAGAAACAAAATTTTGAAGTGATCACCTATCCAAGGATTTAGTAACTTATGTCAAGAGGGCAGGTATCATAAGAGTTCTACTTCAGAATCAAAGATACATATTTGTAGATACAGGCAAAGCAACTATTAAGTTAGCATAATATCTAAATGTGTAACTGGTTTACTGCTCATAGCCAAGGGTATCCAGATCTGGAAAGCCATCTTCCAGGTGTTTTACACAGGAAAAAAAAAATTCAGAGTTAAAAGTTCGAGGATTATTGATCAAAATGTGGATATTTCTCATTCTGAGTGACACTGAAGTGAAGGATTATTAACTGCAATGCCCACTGGGTGAAGATATGGTCTTTTTAGATTCAACTAACCATGCAGACTTAGAAGATTACCATAGCTCTCATCTGGGAACAGTCTACTCAGTAGGACCTAAGGCAGGAAGCACAGTTTGCCAGCAAGGGCATTAACAGCTATCCCTCTGCTGTGGGAGTAGTACTCGCCATGATCTATGCTAGGTCCACATAGCCACCTAGGACCTATTCTGTTTGGCCTTCTGTCAGTTGAATTGGGAGCTGACCTAGCTTAGAAACCCCACAGGTCCACCAGGAACTAAAATCTCCTATAAGAACCCCATACACATTACCTGCAGGGATCCCGTAAGGAATATGACCAAATACATGGGTCACTACACTCAGGGAAGCCCAAAGTTATGGCTTCTTAATACATATTTACAATTCTCCCAGTTCAGATGCAGTCTAACATCAAGGATCATTCTTATGTAAGCAGTGTTGCTAAATAACATAACAGGCTTTCGGCTGGGTGCAGTAATCCCAGCACTTTGGGAGGCTAAGACCAGGGGATCACAAGGTCAGAAGTTTGAGACCAGCCTGGCCAATATGGTGAAACCCCATCTCTACTTAAAAAAATACAAAAATTAGCTGGGTGTGGTGTCGTGCGCCTGCAGTCCCAGCTACTCAGGAGGCTAAGGCAGGAGAATCGCTTGAACCCAGGAGGCAGAGGTTGCAGTGAGCCGAGATCGTGCCACTGCATTCCAGCCTGGGCGACAGAGTAAGACTCCGTCTAAAAAAAAAACAACAACAAAAAAAACATAACAGGCTTTCGATATTTATCAGGTCACCAGGCGATCAGAGCTAGAAAATCAACTGAAGGCCAAATTCTCATTAAAAACTGAAGGTTTTGGCCAGGCATGGGCTCACACCTGTAATTTCTGCACTTTGGGAGGCTAAGGCAGGAGGATCACTTGAGACCAGGAGTTCAAGATCAGCCTGAGCAACAACAGAGCAAGACCCCATCTCTACAAAAATTTTTTTAATTAGCCAGGAATAGTGGCATGCAGCTGTAGTCCTAGCTACTCAAGAGGCTGAGGTGGGAGGATCACTTGAGCCCAGGAGGTCGCGACTGTAGTGAGCTAGGATTGCACCACTGCATTCCAGCCTGGGTGACAGAGTGAGACCTTATCTCAAAAAACAAAACAAAACAAAACAAAAAAAACCAGAAGGTTTTGTTGACTCTTTGCTCACAGACTCTAAAGCTAATCAAAGCAGCAGTCACTGCTCTATCACTCTCCAATAAGCTGGAAGCTGTGAGAAGAAGAAACTAGATTCTTACCTCCTATTCTAATGTCTACCTCTGGAACATATTAGTTGATCAGAAATAAAGATTTTAGTGAAAGAACAGTCCCTTGAGAAAGAAATATCTTCTACTCTTACTGACAGGAAGTGTTTCACCTTTCCCTACCATCAGTAATGTTAATACCTAATAACAAAGTTTTGCCTTTCCCTAGTATCCCTTAGGTTGGCAAGGATCCTATAAAAACCTTCACCTTGGGCTGAAATATTGCAGTAAATGCTAAATATCCTTTTTCCTTTTTTCTATAGTTAATATAGTTGGATTAAGTCTCCCTAATGATCTCATAACTGATATCACTTCCTCTCCCCTGCTCTACCTCTCAAAGCCTCACTTCTAGGATAAAATTAGTGAAAAATACACTCTACAAATAACTGTACTAATATGCCAATTTGAATTTCTTTTTAGTGCAAACTCCAGGACCTATTGGTAAGCTGCCTGTATATATCAACTTATCTCTACTGGCTTCTTACTATGTCTGAAGGAGACTGGCTCCAACTGTTTAAGTATCTGGGTTAAAGAAGTTGAAAATCATATTTCTTAGACTTTCATTTCCCCATATCGTAACTGTTAGGTTTTGGAGGGAAGGCGAGGGTTAAAGAAAAGACACAGAGAGAGTGGCGGCTGTACAGCAAATGTAGGCTTTACGTCCAGCATAAGACCTACAGAAGTGGGGAACCAGCCTAATGCCAGTGCCCACTGCTGCTTACAGGCTGGGGGTACTTATAGGTATAGGCGGGAGGGGTCTGGGTAGTATGGCTTGCTGGCCGGCAGGATATTGATAAGATGTTCCCATGATGAGGGGGTTCTGGCCCTTGTTCCTGCAGAATGTAGTGTTCCTTGCACTTTCTCCCAGCTGAATATGACAGGGATGTTTCTTTAGTTGGCCCTTTGTCCACCTTGTGTTCAGGTGGTTAGGCAGAATGTTTCTCACAGCCCGAACCCCCGTGGAATGTTTCACTTTTACCAAGGTCTTCAAATTGCTGGAGGCTTACAAAATGGTGCAGTTTGGATTAACACTAACCATCTCTCTGGGCAACCAATTATATTTTAGAAAATGGAAATTCCATTACCTTAAAATTCATAATAGATAGGCATTGTTCTAATAATGATTATAGTGGCTTGTCAGTAATCATTAGAATAACTTCCTAAGGCAAAGGTGTAATCGAATCTGGAAAAGAATATAAGAAATGAACAAGAACATAAAGATAGCTGAGAGTGAAACAGAGTGATCTGAGGAAAAACACTGGGGGAATATGGGGAAAGGAATACAATTAAGGATCTCATCTCCAACACCTATAATGAAAAGCAAGAATGAAGTGGTTATGCTAAAACAGGGTTAATAATCTCCTAAAAGAAGATCTGGTTCTTATGGAGAGGCTAGAGTACAGCAGCAGTGCAGTGAAAAATATTTAATCCTGAATACTGAGATTTAGTAATTCCTGAGAAAATCATTTTCACTGCTTGCCTTTGGAAAATATCACTAATAGAGGTGTTTTGGGGCCAGGCGCAGTGGTTCACACCTGTAATCCCAGCACTTTGGGAGGCCAAGGATCACCTGAGGTCAGGAGTTCGAGACCAGCCTGGCCAACACGGTGAAACCCCATCTCTACTAAAAATACAAAAAATAGCCAGGCATGGTGGCGGGCACCTGTAATCCCTGCTACTCAGGAGGCTGAGGCACGAGAATCCCTTGAACCCAGAAGGTGGAGGTTGCAGTGAGCCAAGATCACCCTACCACACTCCAGCCTGGGCGACAGAGTGAGAGACTCTGTCTCAAAAAATAGAAGTGTGTGTGTGTGTGTGTGTGTGTGTGTGTGTGTGTGTGTGTTTAATTTGTTTGTTTCTATTTTTTAGTACAATATCCTGGACCCAATGGTAAGTACCTTATCTATCCTTCTCCCTCCAGGTTCCTTGATCTTCTACAGTGTCTAGAGGGCCTGTTCCCTGTCTCAAATGCCCTAGATGTGTCTCACTGCCATAAGAGCAGTTATTTTACACATGTTTTTATGCTTCCTGATTTCAACCTACTGAGAATTCTCCAGGGCTATTTTTTTTAAAAGAAAAAGAGTAAGAAAATGTCCCCAGAAATAGTCATAATGTCTTCTATAACAATATACAAGAATTTTCTAAAGTAGCAGAGAGAGAATAATAAGGGCAGCTTTCCAGTTCTGAAGTGCTTTGTAGTTTCTAAAGGGCCTACTCAAAGATAATGGAGGAGACAATGAGGAGGAAATGAGAAAAGAAAATCAAATTTTAAGAATAAATACAAAAGGGAGAAAAGACAATAAAATTTAACAGGAAATACTATGCAGGGTCTAGTCTAACCTGAGTTCTCCAGTCTTCTCTCCAAAGGCCTTTCTCTTTCCTCATGTCCTATCCGGCTCACTATCTCCAAACATCCCCAACACACGTGCGCGCGCGCACACACACGCACGACAGAGAGGAAAAGAAAGATAGGACAGAGCACCTCATGGAACAGGATATAACAGTAATTGGGCTGTAATTTACAGGAACTGGCAGAAGCATCACATATGGAAGAGAATAAAATGAAAGTTCATATTGTGACGAGCTAGGGACAAACTAGGGCATCGAACCAACCCCAGGACACGGGAAATTCTGAATCTAGAAATTAAGGGATAGCATTAGAAAGTTTAAGTCAAGCAGGAAGAATTATCAGAGGGCAAGTCACATATATTCAAACAAACATTCCTTCATCTAGCTGAGCTCCTACCATGTATCTGATACTAAGCTGAGCACTGAGGATAAAGTCATGAATAAGGGAGAGAAAGATATGGTTGGTCACTGATGCCATGGAGTTTACAGTCCTATAAGATAACTTGGGAAAACAAACCCAAAATGTGTAGAGGGCAGGCAGCATCCCATACAGCCACACTATGACCATTAAAACTGGATATTTACTGCCCTGAATTCTGGTTCTAACTATCCTTTTTGTGAATGAATAAGAGCCATTTGTTATTGACTATTCCCCTGAATCAAGACTGCTTTTCTCAGTACTCACAGATTGCCAAGACTTATAGCCTTGGAAGTTCTCATAATTATTACAGGGGGGATAAACATAAGCCAGCTCACCTCAGAGGAACTCACTGGGGCTAAAGGAAGGGTCACATCTGGTCCACAGTTCCCTAATAGCCACCATGTGCCAGAGAATCTACATGGATACATGAATTCCCTTTCCCTTTTCTCCCCGCTTGACTCCCTCTCCCTTATGTGTAAACAATTTAAAAATATGATAGTGTATAAATGAAAAATATATTGCTATTTTATTCCTTTCTAGCTTTCCCCTAAGTTATAAGCGATTTGGAGAAAGTGCAAAATGAACTGATTAAAATTTAAATGACTTTAACAAAAATTAGTGGCTCCCAACAGCCCTAGTAAAGAAGAGTAGGAAGAAAGCTTTTCAAGTCAATAAAAATTATTGGGTAGAATATTCACTATTTGGGTAATGGGTACACTAAAAGCCCAGACTTCACCACTATGCCATATATGACATAAGAAATCTGTACTTGTACCTCTTAAATATAATTAATTAATTAAAAGGTTAGTGAACAAGAGTGACTAAAGAAAATGAGGCCAGGGCCAGGCATGGTGGCTCATGCCTGTAATCTCAGCACTTTGGGAGCCCGAGGCAGGTGGATCACGAGGTCAGGAGTTCGAGACCAGCCTGACAAACATGGTGAAACCCCGTCTCTACTAAAAATACAAAAATTTGGCCAGGCAAGGTGGCTCATGCCTGTAATCCTAGCACTTTGGGAGGCCAAGGTGGGTGGATCACTTGAGGTCAGAAGTTCAAGACCAGCCTGGCCAACATGGTGAAACTTCGTCTCTATTAAAAATACAAAAAATTGGCCAGGCATGGTAGCGCATGCCTGTAGTCCCAGCTACTTGAGAGGCTGAGGCAGGAGAATCACTTGAACTTGGGAGGTGGAGATTGCAGTGAGCCGAGATCTCACCACTGCACTCCAGCCTGGGTGACAGAGTGAGACTCTGTCTAAAAAAAAAAAATACAAAAGTTAGCTGGGCGTGGTGGTGCACGCCTGTAATCTCAGCTACTCAGGAGGCAGAGGCAGGAGAATCGCTTGAACCCGGGAGGTGGAGGTTGCAGTGAGCCGAGATCGTGTCACTGCCCTTCAGCCTGGGCGACAGAACGAGACTCTGTCTCAAAAACACACACACAAAAAAATGAGGCCGGGCGCAGTGGCTCACGCCTATAATCCCAGCACTCTGGGAGGCCCCGTGGGCCAGATCACTTAAGGTCAGTAGTTCAAGACCAGCCTGGCCAACATGATGAAACCGCGCCTCTATTAAAAATACAAAAATTAGGCCCGGCGCACTGGTGGCTCACGCCTGTAATCCAGCACTTTGGGAGGCCAAGGCGGGCAGATCACGAAGTCAGGAGATGGAGACCATCCTGGCTAACACAGTGAAACCCTGTCTCTACTAAAAATACAAAAAAATAATAATAATAATAAGTCGGGCATGGTGGCGGGTGCCTGTAGTTCCAGGTACTCGGGAGGCTGAGGCAGGAGAATGGCATGAACCCAGGAGCCAGAGCTTGCAGTAAGCCGAGATCACGCCACCGCACTCCAGCCTGGGTGACAGAGCAAGACTCCGTCTCAAAAAAAAAAAACCTACAAAAATGAGCCAGACTTGGTGGCAGGTACCTGTAATCGCTTGAACCTGGGAGGCAGAGGTTGCAGTGAGCTGAGGTCATGCCACTGCACTCCAGCCTGGGCAACAGAGCAAGACTCTGTCTCAAAAAGAAAAAAAAAAAAAAGAAAGAAAGAAAATAAAAGAAAAAGAAAATGAGACTGACAAAAGTACATATAAGTTTAAGACATTATGAACCTCTAGAAGTGTTTCAAGCATTTACTGTTCCTAAATGAAATGAGAAGGAAGAACAAAGCCTCACTTTACCACTTTATAGCCAATCTCCTGCCTCAGACCAGCAGAAACAGGTCTGAGGCTACAAAGCACAAAGTAAGGCACGTAAGGCCGGACATGCACTGAGCTGTCAGATTTTAGGGCCCCCCATATCCTCTCTGCAGTTACCCTCTTTAAGCCTATCAAGGGAGAACTGAATTCACTTGGTTCTACACATGTTGATTTCTCCATTTTGTGTTCCTTCCGTTTTTTACCACCAGATGAAACTTCAGAAATGACTGGTTAAGTTCCATGTCTATTGTATGATAGCTGCCTTTGGCTTCCTATAGGGCCTGGCATACTTTTCCTCTTTGCTCATTTCTGTCTTGTGTGTGTAGAAACTCACATTTCTTCATTTCTTTTGCTTATTCCTCTATTTAGCTGCTGCTCCACTCCTATAAGGAATGAATAAAGGAGAATACCAAACCCAAAATAGAGAGATAAAGTTCGGAAACTACCCGAAGTTTATAGTGACTTGTCAACAAGGGAAGGGAAGGATATTTGTATGAATAAATGAAAGCTTTCACAGGATGGCAGAAATAGGGAGAAGAAAGGTAAAGGCAGCACAGTTTAAAGAAATTACCAATCCCCCGCAGGATTTCCAGCAGTAACCACTCACTGCAAAAAGGGAAGAGATCAATCATCTCCCTTTCCTGCAGCCTCCTATACTAAGCAGAAGGCAGAATCCCCACAAGGCATGATGGCAGGTATATTCCCCAGCACAGCGCTCTATGCCCTTGCCCTAAGAAGGATGTTTCTTCCATTGCCATTTCTGATATTTCCTTTCAGGAAAGTAGTACGAAAACTAGCTCCTCTTTCAGCAGGCTGTACACGTTGATTTATCTTTGTTTTTCAGCTACAGGATCCTCTTGTAAGTTTGACCATTTCCCTTCATGAGTGAAACTCAATTATCTCCAGCAGTGTCTAACATATCTTAAGCCAAAATGTATGCATCCACATTGTGATATGATAATGTTCCAATTTCCTTGGTCCCTTATTTTTCCATTACTCAGAACACAAATATATATTTTTTTCAGTGTCACGATCAGACTATTACATTTAGCAATAAACAGCATGGGTGCAAAAAAAAATCTACATTAAAACCCTTTGTTGGAATGCTTTACACTTTCCACAGAACAGAAACTAAAATAACCTGTTATACAATTAGTCACAAATACAGTCCTCGAGTTTTTTGCCCATACACATGAGTATTTGTCTAAAACATGTCTTCTTTGTACCAGCTAGGCCCTGCCACCACTGTGCTTGGCTGAGTTCACAAATCTGTTGTAACCTGTAGCTTCCCTGTCACTTCTCTGGCTCTCCTCTCCTGCTAAGCTTTGTTTCCTAATTAAAATCTTCTGCCACTGCCATAGCTACTGCTGCTACTGGAACCACAATAGCCACTTTGGTTTCATGGTTTGGCAAAGTATTGGCCTCCACCACCATAGAGGCCACAGCTTCTGCCTCCAAAGTTTCCTCCCTTCATGGGTCCAAAATTTGAAGACTGATTGTTGTAATTGCCAAAATCATTGTAGCTTCCACCACCTCCAAAATTGCTCCCATCATTACCAAATCCATTATAGCCATCCTCACTGCCACCATATCCACCACCACCACAGCTGCCACCAAAGCTACCACAACCACTGAAGTTTCCTCCATGATCAAAGTTGTCATTCCCACCGAAACCACCTCCATGACCACCACCAAAGTTTCCAGAACCACTTCCACCTCTTTGGCTGGATGGAGCACTAGCCATCTCTTGCTTTGACAGGCTTTCCTAACTTCACAGTTGTGGCCATTCACACTGTGGTATTTCTGAATGACAGTCTTATCCACGGAGTCATGGTCATCAAAGGTTACAAAGGCAAAGCCCCTTTTCTTGCAACTGCCTCGGTCAGTCATGTTTTCAATCACTTCAATTTTTCCATACTACTCAAAATAATTTCTTAGGTGATTTCTTCAGTGTCTTCTTTAATGCCACCAGCATATATCTTTTTCACAGTTAAGTGGGCACCTGGTATTTGAGAATCTTCTCTTGAGACAGCTCTCTTTGGTTCCACAGCTCTTCCATCCACCTTGTGTGGCCTTGCATTCACGGCTGCATCCACCTCCTCCACAGTGGCATATGTGAAAAATCCAAAGCCCCTGGAGCGCTTGGGTTTGGATCTCTCATGACCACACTGTCCGGGAGTGTCCCTCACTGCTCAAAATGGCTCCTCAGGCTCTCATCAGTTGTTTCAAAGCTCAACCCTCCAATGAAGAGCTTCCTCAGTTGTTCTGGCTCTTTAGGAGACTCTGACTTAGATAAGACGGCCAGGAGAAGAGAGACTTTAATGATGCTTCTTCCGTGGCATCCATGGGCAGAAAGGCATAAATAAATTATTAATAAGTTTCTAGAACATTCACTGACTCGCATAAAAAATAAAGACCTGAGAAAAAAGTTTTTACATGACTCTAAAGAATGTTAGGAACTTTCCATGCAGAAGGAAAAAAAATGACAGAAAAATGATATAGATCCATTTCTGCTTTCTAGATAAGTCATCTATACAGGCAATTAGTCAGTTATTTATTTGTTTCTCTGTGGTGCATTTATCAAAGTCCACTGATGTCTATTGGAACTTGAGTTGCAACATGGAACTTGAAGTTCTATTTTCTCAGCCTTTTGTTTTTCCATTATCCAGAATTCAACCAGCTGATAATTAGTTTTCTGGAAATTTCTAGTGCCTTTGATTTAAAAAAAAATGTTCAAGCAAGTATATCACTAGTAAATTTACCAATAGAAAAAAAAATGAGTAGGAAAAGAAACAAGAAAGGGGTAACAAAAAGTATCTTTGCTTGTTTTTCAGTCAGATCGCATCCTCACACAATCAGTAAGTCTATGTGTTCATTGAATTCTCTCCTTTAGGACTCAGTTGGTCTCTAGTGGAGTCCAAGAGTCTTTATCTGCCCATATTGGGATACAAAGGGCTTGAGATATATCTTGGCCTCTTGCTGTCTCATTATCAAAACCTCTCTGCATTATTCATGATGTACTGGAAAGTTTTAAGACTATCAATTTACAATCCCCTGCAGGATTTCAAGCAGTTACCAGTCACTGCAAAAAGGGAAGAGATAAGTCAGAGCAGAGAAAAAAATTTTACAAAATTTCAAAGCCCATCAACAAGAGACTACCTTAAAAAGGGAAAAAATGGTAGGAGAGAAAGGAGTAGATAAGAAGTTTCTATAACCCTTTTTCATTTGAACCTCCTGCCATATCTGGTCTCTTTTTTCCACATTTAAATTCCAAAACATCTAAGAAAAATTTGTATCACCTTTTAGAGACTTTAGAGGATTTAAGCCTAAACTTTAAATAACAACTTTAAGTTGTTATTTCCTCCGTGTTTTGCTTTCATGTGACACATCATTCTCTCACCTTTTAAATAACTCTATGGAAAAAATCAAACTTACTATTTTATTAAAAAATAAAGGGAAGGGGAGAAAGTTTATCAGCAGGTCAAAATGATATATTACAAGGGACTTAACAAACTGAAAGACAATTTGAGCAATGGGGAAAGAAAAAGGAGATAATTGTTTCTGGTCTAGTTGCAAGCTGGATTCATTTCACTTGCCATCAGTATGTCCATGTTTTCACCACCGTAGGATTCTGGAATCTCTCCTTTCCCTGGTACAGCTAAGATTTCCAGGCTTGGGGTGCATACTACTTTAACCACTTACTTTCCTATCATCAAAATTCCATGAAGTTATTAATGATTTTTTGAAAGTTCACATTCTGCTGATTCATATTAAAAATAAATGAATACCAAAGGGAAAGTTTTCCCTATTGTTATAATGACCTACCAAGAAGAAACTCTCTACATAGAAAGGAAAATATCATGGGAGAAAAAACAGTTGCTAAGATACCTCTCTGTTTTTCAGCTGGTCCACCTTCAGCACCCCGCGGTAAGTTCCATTTCTTTTTCTACTCTTTTCTGTTGTTGTTCTTGTTGTTCCCTGCAAGGCTTAGAGACCTGTCTCTACCCTGCTCATTTCTAACTGTGTGCAGCTACCTGACTCAAAGCTTCCAGTTTCCTCTGCCTTCTGCTCATCCAGCTTCTCCCTGAGAAAGAAGTTATATTTACATAATTTCAAACATATATTTACTTTGTATCTCCTCTAGAACTATTTAAGTGCTTTAATTACATTACCTCATTTAATCCTTAGAATAATTCCACCAATCCCTTTGTAAGAGATAAGAAACTGAGCCAAATACTTACTCAAGAATACATAGTCATAGAATCATAATTTAGACCCAGAAAGGTGTCCAAGTTTCTCCCCTACACAAATATACCTCCCTAGAGGGAACCTTGTTTCCTTCAAAGAAATCTTCACCAATATCTAATTTGGTTTTTAGGTCCACCCATGGCACCCATAAGTAAGTATAACATCTCTTTTTCTTCTTTGGTTCTCTATGGTCCCCTTCATTTCACTTCTGTCAAAGTGATTTGAGTTTCCCATTCTTCTCTTGCTTCCTTATTACCCTGCTTGCCCTATAATTTTTTTAAAATACTAATTAAAAGCGGGACTAAGCTAGCATTCATCAACAATAAACTGAACAATACTATGAAATATTATTTCATAGTAGGAGGAATTTTCAGGGGGGTGGAGAGAGAAAGAGAGAGAGAGATGAAATCCAAAATGATGTCTAAATGGAGAGAAACCTTCAGTGTTCTTTCAAACATTATAGTGCAAGGATCCAGTGGTCTTTTCCCAACACTATGCCCAAAGCTGTTCAGGTCCAATAAGTGGAGAGGGCCTTTAAGGAAACTCTACCTTTGACTTCGTCATTACATCATCACTGCTAAATCTTACATCTAGTTTTGCATTATAAAACTAATCTAAAACCAAATAATCTATAGGGTGGTTTGGAATACCTCCTTCACTGCCCACCCAAGTCCTCCCCTCACAGACTCCAGCAAAATATATTAGATAATACTATGTGTTTTCTATTTGAGAAAAATTAAATGGATTTCTGTTTGCTTATTTTTCAGTAATTTCACAGAGAACCGCAAGTAAGTACTCTACTTCTCAGCTGGTCATATGTGGGGACTTTTCTTATCTTAGTTGTTTCTATTTCTAAGTGCCTCATATTTCTCATATTCATTTGCTTCTACATTACCCAAAGTCTTCAAGATTAGGACTGCAAGTCAACCTTTTTGATTCGTAACTGTAGTATTTCCCATTATTTTAGTTCTAAACTCAGCTTCCAAGGTAACACATACCAACAGTGACTCAATATTTAAACCAGGTCAAGCACTAACAATGATGATATTTAATATAGAATTCGTGAAACCGCCTTTCACACTATGTCCTACCTTTCCAAAATGCAAATTTGGTTCTCATATCTCAGTTACAAATGATTTAAGCAAACCTAACATCGCTGGGATTCCTCAGCCTGAAATTAAATCACACTAATATTAAAAACCAAAGTTCCTGTCAAGGTTAAAAATGCAGATGCCAAAAGAGCCCAGGCAGGTCAGTAAATGAGTGAGATGAGGTGAATCTCCTGGAAACTGTGTAAAACTGGGAGGACACATATAGTCTGAAGAGGGTAGCTGCTGCCTGCTCCAGCCAACCTCTTCATGCAAGAATTCAGATTCAGAGTTGCCAAAGCATCTCACTTAATCCAGATAGTAGGTAAAATTTTCCAAGTTTTAAACATGACAGACATCTGGGTTACTCTAACAGATTGCAAACATACTTACATACTCCCCTCTAGTTCCATCTAAACACACTCTGGATACAGTTTTCATAATAACATTTTACTCATTTCAATAATGTTAGGACAAAGGCATTGGTATTTGAGAGAGGAGAATTGGAGCTATTAACACAGAATTAGCCAGTGTCTCTCCAAAGTCCTCATCCACACATCTTTCTGAAGCCTGAGCAAAGAGGCTGATCGGCTAAGTATTCTCACGGCACAGATAAAAATACAGAGACAATGGTTCCGACCCAGGGATGAGGCTGCAAAATCCATATGCCCATGTTTGGGAATAGGCCCTATAATTGGGCACAGGGACCAATGCCCACCTGAAGTCAGGAGAAGGGATTACTGGTCTCACAGCTAGAAATTACAAGCCAAAATCCAAATTGAAGGCATAGTGTCCTTTTCAGAGAAGTCATCAGAGAGTATGGGCAGGAAAAAGATGTAAAAATCCAAGACCCAATAGATATATAGGGTCTTGGATCCTATATATCATCCTAGTAGAGGGGATGAAAAAAAGCACGCAAAAGTAACTAGGGATTATACCACCTGCTTTTTGGATAGCTAAGTGTTGGCTGGCCAATCCCATTACTGGGTATAGACTCAAAGGAATATAAACCATTCTATCATAAAGACACTTGCACAGTTATGTTAAACACAGAACTATTCACAATAGCAAATACATGGAATCAACCTAAATGCCCATCAATGGTAGACTGAATAAAGAAAATGTGATACATATACACCATGGAATACTACGCAGCCGAAAAAAGAATGAGATCATGTCCTTTGCTGGAACACGGATGGATCTAGAGGCCATTACCCCTAGCAAACTAATGCAGGAACAGAAAACCAGATACCACATGTTCTTATTTATAAACGGGAGCTAAATGATGAGAACACATGGACACACAGAGGGGAAAAATAGACACTGGGGCCTGTCAGAGGGTGGAGGGTGGGAGCGGGAGAGGATCAGGAAAAATAACTAGATTTAATATCTGGGTAGCAAAATAATCTGTACAACAAACCCCCATGACACAAGTTTACCTATATAACAACCTTGCACATGTGTCCCTGAATTTAAAATAAAAGTTTAAAAAGTGTTACCGGGCAATATCTATAAATGAAAAATATACAGCCAAGCTTAAGCATAAAAAAGGTGGGTAAGATTTCCAAGGAGCAGAAATTGAATATAGGAACACATTGCAAGAAGAAGCTAAAGTTAAGCTCTTGGTGGGAACAGTGAGGGGATGAAAAAATAGAGATGACAGCTTTGCCTCAGGAACAAAGGTAGGGTTTCAACATCTGCTCCCAAATGACAGCAAAAGCCTCAAGATACAACATGCGGAAAACTGAAATTAGGCCCCTCTGAGTAAAGCCGGTAGCAGAAAATATACTGCCTCCCCATGCACAGAAGCCAAAATATCTTCACCCATCTGCCCCAGGCATGAAAACAGAGCCACCCACACAGGTCCAGAGTTAGATCTGTCCAGGGTGCAGAGCCCTGCTGGAGGTGTGCTACCCATGCAGTGTGCATAATATTCCAAGTCAAAACAGCTGAGATCTGGTTAAGTGGCAGTGTACCCAGGAAGTTAGGACAATAGCCACCAAGAAGAGAGCCACAACCCAGGGTATTTATATCATAGAATATCCATGAAAGATAGCCCCCAAGGAATAAGAAACTACTAAAAGTTATGAAATCTATGAGAAAATCCAGCACCATGTGAGTGGTGAGTGATACCTCACAAGCCCCAACAAATTGGAGAATTCCAACCCAGAGAAATATAACTAGAGCAATCTGAAGAAGACTAAAATAAGGAACCTAACAGCACTGAACAAGTCAAACACTAAAGGAAAAAAAAGAAAAAGTCTTCAAAGATATTAATGCATTTTAAAAATATATGTATTCAACAAATATATATTGGCCTATTGTAGGCCAGGCATTATCCTAAGCACTGAAAATATAGCCATGAGCAAGACAAAGTCCTTGCACTTAAGGAGTTTATATGTTGAGATAAAACAGGCAAATAATGCCAAGTAAACATATACTAAATGTCAGGCAGATAAATTCATGCAGAAAAATAAGAAGAGTAACAGACTAAAGAAAGATGGTATAGAAGGGGGAGTGTGCTTCAGGCAAAAGGAACAAGTACAACATGCACAGGCCTGCTATGGAGGTGCAAAACAGCCAGCCAGGCTAGAAAGAAGGAGGCAGAGCAGGAGGTAGGGCCAGAGCGACAAAAGCCAGATTATGTCGGGCCCTGCAGTCCTTAATAAAAAATTGCAGATTTCATTCTAGGTGTCATGAGAGGCAACTGAAGGGCTTGAACAGGGAAATGATAGGGCCCACTTTATAATTTTAAAAGATCACTCTATTATTGTGGAGGATTAACTGGGGTGAGAGTGAGGGCTCAAGAGGGCAAGTAGGAAGACCAGTTAAGAGGCCTGAAATTAAGGTGAGTGTGGCAAGGAGAGAGTGATCAGAGTGGAAGTGGGAAGAAGGTCTTCAGATTTTATTTATTTTGGGGGCAAAGCCAACAGGGCCTGCTGTTCGACTGAATGTGATTTTAAGGGAAAAAGAAGACCCCAAGGGTTACTCCTAGATTTGGGGTCTAAGAAACTTGACGAATGAGACTATTTATTCATTTAGGTAGCGGAGAAGAGCAGATTTATAGGATGCTATTGTGAGTTCAGTTTTGCATATGTTAGGTTCTAGATGCCTGGGATATTTAGGACTAATTAATTAAATAATCTGACCTTAGCAGGCTTCAAGCATGTTTTCTGGAAAATATCTCCTCTCTGTCCCTTAATGATGCATT
Organism: Homo sapiens; assembly: GCF_000001405.40. Lineage (NCBI taxonomy): Eukaryota > Metazoa > Chordata > Mammalia > Primates > Hominidae > Homo > Homo sapiens. The sequence goes on along the minus strand of NT_167249.2, from coordinate 3,635,237 downwards.
AGAACCCATAATTTTATCTTTTTTATCTTTGTAAATAACAGCTTTATTGAGATGATATTCACATATGACATAATTCACTCATTTAAAGTGTGGAATTTAATGCTTTTTAGTATATTCACTGGGTTGTGCAACCATCACCACAATGAATTTTAGAACATTCTCATCACCCCCCAGAAAAACTCTGTTTAGCAATCACTTCCCACTATCCCCCAACCCAAAACCCTCTCCACACCATAGCCCCAGGCAACCACTAATCTTCTTTCTGTCTCTATAGATTCAGCTGTTCTGGACATTTCATATAAATGGAATCAAACAATAGGAGGTCTTTTGTGCCTGGCTTCTTCCATTTAGCATAAGGTTCACCAGGTTCATCCACATGGTAATATGCAGCAGTACTTCAGTTCTTTTTATGGCCAAATAATATTTCATTATGTCTTTGGTTGGCTTTTTTTAGCTTTCCTTTATTTACTTGTAAGGAAATATTATGATAAGTAGTATCAACTTGCTTTCTTTATTTTTATTTAAGTTTTAAGTTCAGGGATACATGTGCAGTTTGTTATATAGGTAAACTTGTGTCATGCAGGTTTGTTGTACAGATTATTTCATCACCCAGGTATTAAGCCTAGAACCCCTTAGTTATTTTTCCTGTCTGTCTACGTCCTCTCACCCTCCACCCTTCAATAAGCCCCAGTGCCTGTTGTTTCCTTCTGTGTCCATGTGTTCTCATCATTTATCTCCCATTTGTAAGTGAGAACATGTGGTATTTGGTTCTCTCTTCCTGCATTAGTTTGCTAAGGATAACGCCCTCCAGCTCCATCCATGTTCCTGCAAAGGACATGATCTTGTTCCTTTTTATGGCTGCATGGTATTACATGGTGTATATGTACATTTTATTTATCCAGTCTATCGTTGACGGGCATTTAGGTTGATTCCATGTCATTGTTACTGTGAATAGTGCTGCAATAAACACACGTGTGTTTCTTTATGATAGAACAATTTTTATTACTTTGGGCATATAGCCAGAAATGGGATTGCTGGGTCGAATGGTAGCTCCGTTTTGGGGTCTTTGAGGAATTGCCACACTGTTTCCCACAATGGTTGAACTAATTTACGTTGCCACCAACAAGGTAAAACTGTTCCTTTTTCTCCACAGCCTCCCCAGTATCTGTTATTTTCTGACATTTTGATAATGGCCATTCTGCCTGGTGCGAGATGGTATCTCATTGTGGTTTTGACTTGCATTTCTCTAACAATCAGTGATGTTGAGCTTTTCTTCATATGTTTGTGAGCTGCATGTACGTCTTCTTTTGAAAAGTGCCTATTCCCTTTTTTTGCCAACTTTTTAATGGGATTGTTTTTGTCTTGTAAATTTGTTTAAGTTCCTTACAGGCGCTGGATATTAGACCTTTGCCAGATGCATAGTTTGCAAAAACTTTCTCCCATTCTGTAGGTTGCCTATTTACTCTGTTGACAGTTTCTTTTGCTGGGCAGAAGCTCTTTAGTTCAATTAGATCCCATCTGTCAATTTTTGCTTTTGTTACAGTTGCTTTTGTTGTCTTCATCATGAAATTTTTGCCCATTCCTATGTCCAGAATGGTATTGCCTAGGTGGTCTTCCAGGGTTTTTATAGCTTTGGGTTTTACACTTAAATCTTTAAACCATCTTGAGTTAATTTTCGTATGTGGTGTAAGGAAGGAGTCCAGCTTCAATCTTCTGCATATGGCTGGCCAGTTATCCCAGTATCGTTTATTGAATAGGAAGCCCTTTCCCCATTGCTTGTTTTTCTCAGCTTTGTTAAAGTTCAGATAGTTGTAGTCATGTGGCCTTATTTCTGGGCTCTGTATTCTGTTGCATTGATCTATGTGTCTATTTCCTACTAGTGCCATACTGTTTTGCTTACTGTAGCCTGGTAGCATACCATAATTTTCTAATCATGTTAAATTATTAAAAACACTCAGGCCAACCCCTCTTAAAACCCTCTCCTCTCCTAGTGGCCAGTCTCAGGCACACTGACTCAGAATAGGGAGGAGAAATTTTTTTGTATTTTTAGAACATCACAGTGTTCGCCAGGATGGTCTTGATCTCCTGACCTCGTGATCCGCCTGCCTCGACCTCCCAAAGTGCTGGGATTACAGGTGTGAGCCAAGGCGCCTGGCCTACCCTACTCATTTCTAACTCTGTGTGCAGCTACCTGACTCAAAGCTCCCAGTTTCCTCTGCCCTCTGCTAATCTAGCTTCTCCCTGAGAAGGAAGCTTACATTTACATGATTTCAAACACATATGTACTTTGCACCTCCTATAGAATTATATAGGTGCTTTAATTACATAATCCCATTTAATCCTTAGAATCACTCCACTAACCCCTTTGTAAGAGATAAGAAACTGACCCAAATACTTACCCAAGAATGCAGTCATAAAGAATTGGAGCTTTTAACAGAGAATTAGCCATTGTCATCCAGAGCTGTGTGACTACCAAGATTCTCCCCAACACAAATATCTCTCCCTAGAAGGAAACTTGCTCCTTTCAAACAAATCTTCACTGATATCTAATTTTTTTAGGTCAGCTGGCAGCACCTATAAGTAAGTATTACATGTCTTTTTCTACTTTGGTTCTCTTTGGTCCCCTTCACTTCACTTCTGTCAAAGTGATTTGTGGTTCCCATTATTCCCTTGCTTCCTTATTACCCTACATGGTCTATATTACAGAGAATCTTTTTAAACACTAATTAAAAGAGGGACTAAGCTAGGATTCATCAGTAATAAACTGAACAATATTATGAAATAACACGTAAGCAGAATTATTGAGAGATGAAATCCATAATGATGTTTAAATGGAGAGAGGCTTTCAGTGTTCTCTCAAACATTATAATGCTATTCAAAGGAAACAGAAAGATATGGCAGTCTCTACCCGAGACTATACCCAAAGCTGTTGGGTCCAGTAAATGAAGAGGGCCTTTAAGGAAACCCTACCTTTGATTTCATCACATCATCACTGCCTAATCTTATATCTAGTTTTGCATTGTAAAACTAATCTAAAACTAATCTATAGGGTGGTTTGGAATGCTTCCTTCTTTGCCCACACAAGTCCTCCCCTCACAGACTCCAACAAAATATGTTAGATAATGCTATGTTTTCTCCATTTGAGAAAAATTAAATGGATTTCTTTTTGCTTATTTTTTAGTAATTTCGCAGAGAACTGCAAGTAAGTTCTTTATTTCTCAGCTGGTCATATGTGGAGATTTATGTTAGATGTTTCCACTTCTAAGTATCCAAAAGATTGAGACTCATATTTCTCATATTCATTTGCTTCTACATTACCCAAAGTCCTCCAGATTAGGACTGCAAGACAAACTTTTTGATTCATAACTGTAATATTTCCCATTATTTAGGTTTTTTTGTTTTGTTTTGTTTTGAGACAGAGTCTCACTCTGTCACACAGGCTGGAGTGCAGTGGCGTGATCTAGGCTCACTGCAACCTCCACCTGCCGAGTCCAAGCAATTCTCCTGCCTGAGCCTCCCAAGTGGCTAGCAATACAGGTGCAAGCCACCATGCCCAGCTAATTATTGTATTTTTAGTAGAGACAGGGTTTCCTCATTTGGCCAGGCTGTTCTTGAACTCCTGACCTCAAGTGATCCGCCCGCGTTGGCCTCCCAAAGTGCTGGGTTTACAGGTGTGAACCACCACGCCCAGCCCCATTATTTTAGTTCTAAACCCAACTTCCAAGGTAACACATACCAACAGTGACTCAATTTTTAAACCAGATCAAGCGTTGACCATGATGATATTTAATATAGAATTCGTGAAAGCACCTTTCACACTGTGTCCTAGTTTTCCAAAATGCAAATCTGGTTCTCATATCTCAGTTACAAATGATTTAAGCAAACCCAATATCAGCCGAGATTCCTCATCCTGAAATTAAATCACATTAATATTAAAACCCAAAGTTCCTGTCAAGGTTAAAAACGCAGATGCCAAAAGAGCCCAGGCAGGTCAGTAAATGAGCGAGTTGAGGTGAGTCTCCTGGGAACTGTGTTAAACTGGGAGGACACGCATAGTCTGAAGAAGGTAGCTGCTGCCCAGCTCCAGCCAACCTCTTCATGCAAGAAGCATCTCACTTAATCCAGATAGTAGGTAAAATTTTCCAATTTTTAAACATGAAAGACATCTATGTTATTCTAACAGATTTCAAATATGCTTATATATCCTCCTCCAGTTCCTTCTAAACACACTCTGGATATAGTTTTCATAATAACAACATTTTATTAATTTCAATAATGTTAGGACAAAGACATTGGTATTTGAGTGAAGAGAAATGGAACTGTCAACAAAGAATTATAAGTGAGTGTCTCTCCAAAATCCCTATCCACATACCTTTCTGAAGCCTGAGCAAAGAGGCTGATCAGCTAAGTATTCTCACTGCACAGATGAAAATACATACTCAGTGGTTGAGACCCAGAAATGAAGCTGGAAATTCCAGATGTCTATGTTTGCACATGGGCCATATAATTGGGAACAGAGACCAAGGCCCACCAAAGTTCAGGAGAAGGGATTATTGGTCTCACAGCTAGAAATTACAAGGCAGAACCCAAATTGAATGCATAGTGTCCTTTTCAGAGGAGTCATCAAAGAGGATGGGCAGGGAAATAATGTAAAAATCCAATACCCGAGGGGTAGGGAGAAAGAAAAAAGGAATGCTAAAGTAACTAGGGTTTATAACACCTCATTTTTGGCTGGCTAAGTCTTGGCTGGAAATATTTTTAAATGAAAAATGCACAGTCATACCTAAGCATAAAGAAGGAGGGTAAGAGTGATTTCCAAGGAGCAGAAATGGAATATAGGAACACATATAAAGAAAGGAAAGCTAAAGTTAAGCTCTTGGGAGGAATGGTGAGGGGATGAGGAAACAGAGGTAGCAGCTTTGCCTCAGGAACAAAGGTAGGGTTTCAACACCTGATCCTAGATGGTGGACAAAGCCTCAAGATACAACATGTAGAAAACTGGAATTCCACCACTTGGAGTAAAGCCAGGAGCAGAAAACACGCTGCCTCCCCACGCGGAGAAGCCAAAATATCTTCACCCATCTGCCCCAGGCATGAAAACAAAGCCATCCACACAGGTCCAGAGTTAGATCTGTCCAGGGTGCAGAGCCCTGCTGGAGGTGTGCTACCCATGCAGTGTGCATAATATTCCAAGTTAAAACAGCTGAGATCTGGTTCAGTGGCAGTGTACCCAGGAAGTTAGGACAATAGCCACCAAGAAGGGATCCACAACCCAGGGTATTTATATCATAGAATATCCATGAAAGATAGCCCCCAAGGAATAAGAAACTACTAAAAGTTATGAAATCTATGAGAAAATCCAGCACCATATGAGTGATACCTCACAAGTCCCAACAAATTGGAGAATTCCAACCCAGAGAAATATAACTAGAGCAATCTGAAGAAGACTAAAATAAGAAACCTAACAGCATTGAACAAGTCAAACACTAAAGGAAAAAAAAGAAAAAGTCTTCAAAGATATTAATGCATTTTAAAAATATATGTATTCAACAAATATATATTGGCCTATTGTAGGCCAGGCATTATCCTAAGCACTGGAAATATAGCCATGAGCAAGACAAAGTCCTTGCACTTAAGGAGTTTATATGTTGAGATAAAACAGGCAAATAATGCCAAGTAAACATACAGTAAATGTCAGGCAGATAAATTCATGTAGAAAAATAAGAAGAGTAACAGACTAAAGAAAGATGGTATAGAAGGGGGAGTGTGCTTCAGGCAAAAGGAACAAGTACAACATGCACAGGCCTGCTATGGAGGTGCAAAACAGCCAGCCAGGCTAGAAAGAAGGAGGCAGAGCAGGAGGTAGGGCCAGAGCGACAAAAGCCAGATTATGTCGGGCCCTGCAGTCCTTAATAAAAAATTGCAGATTTCATTCTAGGCATCATGAGAAGTAACTGAAGGGCTTGAACAGGGAAATGATAGGGTCTACTTTATAATTTTAAAAGATCACTCTATTATTGTGGAGGATTAACTGGAGTGAGAGTGAGGGCTCAAGAGGGCAAGTAGGAAGACCAGTTAAGAGGCCTGAAACTAAAGGTGAGTGTGGCAATGAGAAGAGTGATCAGAGTGGAAGTGGGAAGAAGGTCTTCAGATTTTATTTATTTTGGGGGCAAAGCCAACAGGGCCTGCTGTTCGACTGAATGTGATTTTAAGGGAAAAAGAAGACACCAAGGGTTACTCCTAGATTTGGGGTCTAAGAAACTTGACGAATGAAACTATTTATTGATTTAGGTAGTGGAGAAGAGCAGATTTATAGGATGCTATTGTGAGTTCAGTTTTGTGTATGCTTGGTTCTAGATGCCTGGAACATTTAGGACTAATTAATTAAATAATCTGACCTTAGCAAGCTTCAAGCATGTTCTCTGCCATGTGTCTCCTTCCTATCATTTAATGATGTCTTAGAACCCATAATTTTCTAGTTATGCTAAATTATTTAAAATGCTTAAGCCATCCCCTTTAAAACCCTCTCCTCTCCTAATGGCCCGTCTCAGGCACACTGACTCAGAATGGGGAGGAGAAATACAATGTGCTTCCCCTTCCTGTCCACTCTCCTTGTTGCTATAATTCCCACCGTTGTTATAATTCCCACTGTTGAGGCTGAGAGGATGGATTTGGGGCATGCAATCTCCTTCCTCTGTTAGTTGTAGGTTCTTTTCTCTGAGAACCTGAGACTGACTGTCCTTTGATGTCATCTAGAGCAGACACCCAAATGTCTTGTACAATACATATTCCAGTTCTTTGGAGGAACATACAAGAACTCGACCATGCCTAGTCCCTGATGTGGGAGTACTGACTCTAGTCTTGCCAATTCCAGAGCCCCTCAACTCCCTCTCGAGCAATACACTTCATTGCTCGTACTGCAGAGATGCCCTTACCAAGTAGGCCACCCACTTGAGTGACATACTAGCAAGAAGGCTCAAGCCAGGATGTATTTTGCACTGCCCACTGAACCCTCAGGAGGCTCAAGAATCCTTATCACAGAACAAGGACACTCTGCACTACTGTCTCTCTCCAATTTTATTTTCCTTCATTCAGATAGGCACAAAACAAATCAACAAATCCACTATTCAACCAGGAGATGGGTTGCCACACATCCTTTCTCACAGATACCCCCAATCACTGTAAGCAAATCTCAAAGTGCTACTCATTTGCCTTCAGAAAAAGAAAGCGCTATTCTTCCTCCCCTACAACACCATTCCTTTGTTAACTACTCACAACTCTAAAGACTCTTAAATCTCCTGCCCTTTACAGTTGTTTGCTTATGTTGTCTTGGAAAAAGGGTGACACTTGAGATAGGAGAGCTAATTTGGCCATCATGTCAAGGCCGGCGAGCAGCACCTCTGCACTGCACAGCCTCAAGAATCCTTTCCCTTTTAATTATGGAGCTGGCAATGCTGCAATCCCTCCTGAGGGCTTGTCTCACCTCAGTTTGCTGAGGAGGGTAATGGGAAGTTATAACCTCTTTTTCCTCAGCTTTGTGATCCTACTTGTCAATTTGGGAGTAACAAGAAAAATCCCACTAAACATTCTGCCCCCCATCCAAGCATATACTCTATATCAAAAGGCAATTAAATATTTGAGTCTGAAGATTTAGGGAGAGATTGGGTGGGAAATAAATTAGACAGTAATCAGCATATAGGTAACATTTAAGACGATTGGACTAAATTAGATAATCAAAGGTATATGTAAAAATGAAGGGGTAAGGATTAATCAGTTTTAGAAGTTTAGAATGAGAAAAATCTAACTATGCATATAGAGAAGTAGTGAGCAGGGAGAAAGAAGGAGAACCAGTAAAGGGGGGGTCTCGCAGCACTCAAGAGAAGATAGTATTTCAATATGGAAAAAATAAACAACAGCATCAAAAACAGCTAAGCAATGAATTTTTGGAGTAAGAACTGACAAGGAATTTTGCAAAATGAATGTCATAAGTAACCTTGATAAGATAGGAGGGAAGAAATGCCTAAATGGAGGAGGTGAAGGAGATAATAAAATTTTAAACGGTAAGGCAGCTGATACGGCATATGACAGCTAGTATAGCATGAAAAGGCCACGAAAGGCTGGAGTTCTGATAGGTTGTGGCTTACCTATTGGGGAATAAAAGAAAGACTATCCTTTCTAAAAAGATTAAAAATATATATATATATATATGTATATATATTTGAGAGATAGTTTGAAGAAAGAACAGGCAGATTTAAAAAAGAACCAAGCTGAAACCTTGAAAATAAGAAAGTTATTAGAATTGAAACAATGATTAGATAATATATAAATTCTAATGTAACTATATGTAAATAATATTTAAATATTATTAATCACAGTTTAAAAGAGTAAACTGGAAGACAGAACTGAGGAAATCTCAGTTCAAAATAGTACATGGAAAATATTGAAAATCTCAGCTCAAAATAACACACAGAAGATATTGAAAATATGAAAAAGAAGAGCTGTAAATAGAATGAGGTCAGGTGTAATGGAATTTGATAAGAGAGAATTAAAAGAATAAATGTCAGGTAATAATTTTAAATGTAATAATTAATAACATTCCAGAAGAAAAGAGACATAAATCCTCAGATCATAATGGTCCACTGAAAGCTGAAATTAGATAACTTTAAAACACACAGACAGATATATACACACACACACACTTACATGTGCCAAAACTCATCGTAGTAAGCTGACAGACATTAAAAAGCAAATCATAAAGACAACCAGAGAAGCAGATCACCTGCAAAAAATCATGTTAACACTAGACATCTCATTAGCAATAATATGTGCCAGAATACAACAGAACAAGAATGAAATCCAAACAAGAATGAGATCCTATCATTTGCAACAACCTGGATGGAAATGAAGGTCATTATGTTAAGTGAAATAAGCCAGGCATAGAACCACAGACTTCACATGTCCATACTCATTTGTGGGAACTAAAAATTAAAACATTGAACTCATGGAGATAGAGAGTAGAATGATGGTTACCAGAGCCTGGGGAGGGTAGTCAGGAGAGAGAAAAATTGGGAATGGTTAATAGGTACAAAAATAGTTAGATAGAATGGATAAGATCTAATATTTGATAGCACAACAGGGTGACTATAGTCAAAGGAAATTTATTGTACATTTTGAAACAACTAAAAGAATATAATTGCAATGTTTGTAACACAAAGAAATGATAAATGCTTAAGGTGATATTCAGTTAACCCTGATGTGATTACTACACATTATTACACATTGTATGAGTGTACCAAAATATTTCATGTACCTACTTGCACCTACTATATACCCATAAAAATTAAAAATAAAAAAATTTTAAAAAGAATACAACAGAACAATATCATCAAAAGACTGAAGGAAAATTACTATAAACCCATAAGATACAATCAGCAAAATTATCATTTATGAGTGAGACTGAAATGAAGTCATTTTGTATATTCAAGAACATAGAAACTCATTAAACACAGGTCCCCAGTGAAAGAATTATCAAAGGGACATACTTCAGGGAGTTTACTTTTGAGTAAAAACTCAAAAAGAAGTTAGAACCAAGAAACATATGTAAGAAAACAAATCAACAAAACATGACAGTAAATCTAAAATGTTGACTATAAAGAAAAAAAAGAGAAGGAAGAGAAGAAGGAGAAGGAAAAGCAGAAAGAGGCTGAGCACAGTGGTTCACACCTATAAGCCCTGCACTTTGGGAGGCCAGGGCAGGTGGATTGCTTGAGCTCAGGAGTTGGAGACCAGGCTGGGCACCATGGTGAAATCCTGTCTCTACAAAAAATACAAACATCAGGTGAGTGTGGTGGTGCATGCCTGTAGTCACAGCTACTCAGTAGGCTGAGGTGGGAGGATTGCTCGAGCCTGGGAGGTCAAAGCAGCAGTAAGCCGTGATCATGCCACCGCACTCCAGCCTAGGAGCAAGACCCTGTCAAAAAAAAAAAAAAAAGCAGGAAGAAAAGAAGGAGAAGGAGAGAGTGAAGGAGAAATATATTAGTGTGCTTTAAAATGAGTAGACCTAAAGCATTAGGGAAAAAAACCTTAGAGACAAGGCTAATGATTATGAACTAAGATAATTTGACAAAAGGTCAGATGTACTGATTAACTTTTCATCTTATTAAATATATACATTTGAATATTTATGGCAAAAATAAAAGACAACTATTAATATAATAGAAATGCGACATACATCTTCTGAACCCATAGGGAAAATAAAAAGAAGAAAGAAAACTATATTAGTCCACAAGAAAGCAAGAAAAAAGAAAAAGAGAAAGCAAATAAAAAGCAAAATTTTTTTTTTTTTTTTTTTTTGAGACGGAGTCTCGCTCTGTCGCCCAGGCTGGAGTGCAGTGGCGGGATCTCGGCTCACTGCAAGCTCCGCCTCCTGGGTTCACGCCATTCTCCTGCCTCAGCCTCCCAAGTAGCTGGGACTACAGGCGCCCGCCACTACGCCCGGCTAATTTTTTGTATTTTTAGTAGAGACGGGGTTTCACCGTTTTAGCCGGGATGGTCTCGACCTCCTGACCTCGTGATCCGCCCGCCTCGGCCTCCCAAAGTGCTGGGATTACAGGCGTGAAAAAGCAAATTTTTTTAAATGAGGGTTAAAAAAGTCTAAATATGTTGCTTAGCACAATATTATACAATAGTAGATTAAACTCACAGATTAAAAGCTAGAAACTCTCAGATGTAATTAAAAGAATTAAATTTTTTTAATTTTTCTATTTTCCTATAAAAAAATAAGAAAAATAGCTAAACTCTATTAAGAAATATACCTAAAATAAGGTGACACACAGAAAAATTTAAATGAAGGAATTTTAAAACATACCAGGCAATTGGCCAGGTGCGGTGGCTCATGCCTGTAATTCCAGCGCTTTGGGAGGCCAAAGCGGGTAGATCACTTGAGGTCAGGAGTTCGAGACCCACCTGGCCAACATGGTGAAACCCTGTCTCTACTAAAAATACAAAATTAGCCAGGCATGGTGGCACATGCTTGTCATCCCAGCTACTTGAGAGGCTGAGGCTGGAGAGTCACTTGAACCTAGGAGGCAGAGGTTGCGGTGAGCCGAGATTGCACCATTGCACTCCAGCCTAAGTGACAAGAGCGAAATTCTGTCTCAAAAAAAAAAAAAAACAGGCAATTAACAACAAAACAAAACTTGATATAATTGTGCAAATATCAGATAAAATATAAGTGAAAGTTGTGAGCTTATAGCATAGCCTTTGAAATACATAAAACAAAAACTGACAAAATAGCAAAGACATCTGTAACTAAATAAAGATATTTTAATAATATTTCTCTCATAAAATAAACAGACAAAAATTAGTAAGGCTAGAGAGGCTTTGACATAATTTTAGAAAGCTTTATCTAGTAATGTACACTGAACATTCCACCAAGCAAGCACAGATGGAAAAGATTACCTTGACCACCAATTCCTTCAACTAGAGCAAGCCTCAACTAATTTCAAAGTACACTTCAACATAATATAAATCACATTTTCTGAGCACAAGGCAACAAAACAGAAATAAATAACAAAAAATATTAACATATACATATTTAGAAACAAAAAAGCATACATCCAAATAATCCACAGGTTACAAACAAAATTGTGAGAGAAATTACAGAATATATAGAAATAAGTGAGTATAAAATCATTACTTGTCAAAACACTTAGGATACAACCAAAATATCATTTAGAGAGAAATTATTATGGTAAATGGTTTTAATAGAAATTATTCATTAATAAAAATTGATGAACTAAACATGAGCTCAAGATGATTAAAAAAGGAAAAATCTCAAGAGTAGGACACAATAATAAAAATGTCCTACTTTTATTAGGCAAAAATTAATGAAATGAAAAGTATTTAAAAATAACAGAATAATTTTGATTATTTTGAAACAAAATTAAAGAAAAGGAAAAGCACTAACAATACAAGGAACAAAATAGAAATGTGGAGAGAAAGCAAAATTTCCTCAAAATCATAAGAAAATGCACTAAAAAAATGGAAATACTGCAAAATGAATACTTTGTTAGCCTAGCCAAATCATCTATTTTGCCTGAGCACTTGACATTAAACATGACAGTCAGAAAAACCTTGTATCATGAGATAAACTGAGGATGGCAGGAGGTGAAAAAAGAAGGAAAGAAAACCAGAAGGAAGGGAAGGAGAGAAGGAGGGAGGGAGGGACAGACAACTTGCTTTATATGTTCTTAAATTGAATAATAGTTCCATTTAGCACTGCAACCTAAAATAAAGGCTTAAGTTCATATGCTTTACATTGCTGGCTTCCTAATGGAAACAATTTTAGTGCTGATTTTTACAATATTGATACACATAAATGTAAGTAACCAAACCCAGGTTTGGCTGCTTGCAGCTGAAAAGCCAGACATGAGAGACAAGGGTTGGTGGGATGAAAAGCAGATTATATTGGAGAGTCAGCAAACCGAGAAGATGGAGAACCAGCATTCTAAAGTACCACCCTTCTAATGTCTTTCAGGCTGGCTGGAGGGTTTCTATGGGAGGGGGGATATGGGGAAATTATGCGCAGGAGTTAGAATCAAGAGATGACTGAGGAACACAGAGATCTGGATGCCAGCAAGAGTCAGAGGAGGTTGGGAACGTCTTTGTCCTTGGTCAGGTCACAATGCTCCCGTAAATCTTTAACAAAACATAATTAGTTGTTTACATAATTCCCCCTTAGTCGTACAGTTAGTTTCAAAAATTCCATGATTGCTGTTTTTGCATTTTATCTTAGTGTTCTAAAATTGTCCTAACTTACATGCAGGAATGGGTGAAGGTCCTTTAAACAAAAAAAGAGTTCATGTTAGTTATTTTGCTGTTTCACTGTCATACAAATGTGTTATGACCCTTGCCAATATATAATTATGATGGAGAATTATTTTTCCACCAATGAGAATAATTGGCAAACTGACCAACTTTATAGATTATGCCCCTTAAACTCCTGCTATGTCTCTTATTAAGTGAGCCAGTTCTTCTGAAGACAGGACTTGCTTGCAAGCACTGCAACTTAAAAAAGAAAAGAAAAATGTTTCTCAGTTCCAATTTGCCTCCAGTTTTTATTGACAATACAGACCTTTAAAAAACATATGACCTGGCCAGGCGTGGTGGCTCATGCCTGTAATCCCAGCACTTTGGAAGGCCAAGGCAGGAGGATTGCCTGAGGTCAGGAGTTCGAGACCAGCCTGGCCAACATGGCAAAACCCCATCTCTACTAAAAATACAAAAATTAGCTGGGTGTGGTGGCACACACCTGTAATCCCAGCTACTTGGGAGGCTGAGGTAGGAGAATCGGGCTGCTTTTCTTCATGGCCCAATAACGAGATGCAGATGAACTGAGAAAGAAGACAGTTTTTATTTATATAAGTAGGTACAGAGAGAAGGCCTGGAAATTTTTGCCAGACCAACTGAAAATTACAAAGTTTTCCAGAGCCAATATACCTTCTAAGCTATATGTCTACGTGTAAGTGTGCATTCATCTAAAGACATAAGTCATTAACTTCTTCTAATGTGTGACTAAGATGTGAGTCCTGAAGGCTTTCCTCTAGAGCTTCAGTAAATTTACTTAATCTAAATGGGTCCAGGTGCTGGAGTGATTACCCTTATCTCGTCTCCTGCTAAATATGGAGTTCCTTCAGAAGACCCCCAATAAACTTGTTTGTGAAGGCCTGGGGAGTTTCTTCAGACCCCCCAATAAACTTGTTTTAATCCTAAACGGGTCCTGTTAAGAATTCCTTCGTAATCTTGTCATGCTTCAAGGCCCAGGAAAGGCCTAGGCAAACTCTTGGTGGGCTTGTTACATTCTAGCCTGGCTCTATCAGCTTTCAACATTTAACTTAACCACTCAGTCAGTGCTGAAACAGTTGTTATGGAGGCCTGCGTTAGCGAGACCTGCCCTGCCACAGTAAGGCAAAGAGTAAGTAAACTTAGTAATGGAAATCTAGAAGGAGAATACAATGAATGGTGAAGAAGAGAACAGATATTTTGAGATTAGAGACTGAAATAGGAAAAAAAGTAAAAGAAGCAAAACTTAAAATAAGTATTACTAACTCTTGAAGAGTTTTAAATTCTCATAAAAACTGAAAAGAAAAAGAAAAGGTGCTAAACTCAACTACATTTTAATTACAAATAAACTTTCTGTACTGTAAAAAAAATACAGTGAGAGCTGGTATAATGGTAGAGATTTGAAAGGAAGAGAAAACATGAAAAGACAAAAAAGACGATGAAGAGAGAACATAAATTAGTAACCTTTAACTATTAGCCAGTCTCCTGAAAGAATGTGACCTAGTTTAAGAATGTTTAAAAAAATATTTTATTTCATTAGAAAAAGTGGCCTTCACTTATATAACCCATCATACGTGCCATTCAAAATGGCCTGGATATTTAAGTTATTAAAGTGGAGTTAAAATTGACTTAATAAGAGATAGCATATTCCTAGAAGATTTAATGTTTCCCAAAGGTCTGTTTTCTGGTGTTCCAAGTGGATTTTCAATAGGAACTCAATACATAATTTAAAAAAAAACTGATTTGTTTTATTTTATTTTTAGCAATTGGTCCAATAGCAACCAGTAAGCTCCTACTGTTTTTCTCAGTTTCCTCTGGTCTTTTGTAGCATCTCGATTCCTTTATTTGCACTGACACTTTTGTTGTTTTTGGTTTCTATTTTGGTTTAGTTTGGGTCTTTCTTTCTTTCTTTCTTTTGTTCATTCGCTCGTTCTTTCTTCTTCCTTCCTTTCTTTCTTTCTTCTTCCTGTCTTTGTCTTTTAAATAAGTCAAAGGCCCACAGAAACAAGAAACCACATAGAAAGGACCAAAATCAATTTGTTCTTCTGGTTAGAGAGTTAAGTTGCAAAAGAGAAGCCAGAGGAAATAATGCTGGGAAAATATGCTGGGAAGACTATGGAAATAATACACTAAGAAGTTTGTATCACAGTCTGAAGCCACAGGGTCACAAGATGAAACTCCAAAAGATAAAAGGTAGAAATAATAAAAACTAGAAGATGTAGCAAATGGGAGTAGAAGAAGGGACAGACTGCAAAATGCAAACAGAGAAAACACTAAAATAGAATTCAAGATAAAAAAGAAAGATTGATCTTTGCCTTTTCCTCCATAAAGTTTATTACATCTAAACTTGGACCACTAGTGCTGCAGAGATTAAGCCTTTTCTGACTTCCCCTCCTTGAAAGAATTGGGACTTGCCTCTCATAACAATCAGGCAAATCACAGAAATTTATTTTGTGTAGGTCTAAATACACCAATTTTTTCAAAAGATTACCAGAGTACATTAAAAACATGACCTAACTATATCCTATCTACAAGAAAGTCACCTCAAATTTAACAATAAAAGTAAAAAGAATGAAAAATATATGCCATGAAACATTAATTTTTTCAAAAAAAAAGGCAGATGTGGCTACATTAATATCACGTAAAGTGGACCTAAATGCAAAGAAATTTACCAGGGACAAAAGAGGGACATTATATCATGATAAAAATATCAATGCATCAAGAAGACAAAGAAATTCTACATATGTATGAACCAAACAACAGTGCTTCAAAACACACTGGGAAAAAAAAAAACACGTACTAGAACTGAAGAGAAACAGAAAAACCCACAACTACAGTTGGAAAGTTTAATGCCTCATTCTCAGCAATTGCTATAACTACTAGATGGAACATGAAATAGGTGAGAGAATTAGCCAGGCAATATCTGAGGGGGGAATATTTCAATCAGAGAAGACAACAAGTAAACCACCCTAGGGTAGGAACATTTCCAGACTATTTGAGGAAAAGCAAGATAGCAAGTACCATATAGCTGGAACAGAATGAAAAGTGACATAAAAAGAAGCTATAAGAGAGATTTGGAGGGACAGATCTTCCAGGGCCATCTTTGAAAGCCACTGTTGTGATTTTGACTTTTGTTAAACCAAGATGGGGAACCATTGGTGGCTCTTAAGCAGGAGTCTTGCTGACACTTTAAAAGGGTCCCGCTAACTGCTGTACTGGGAACTGACTGGGAGGCAAGGGTGAAAGCAGAGAGCTCAATTAGAGAGACAACAATAAGTTGGACCACATAAAGGTGGTAAAAACTGTCAGGTTCTTATAACACACTAAGGGATCTGTTGTCTCATCATATTTCATTGTATTCTGCTAGAAGTCTTTATGGTACCCCAGAAAAAACAACTAGGGAATTGGGAGTAGGAAAGAACTGTACTTCTGTTCCAAAAATGCTGCCATTAACCTATTTTCTTGTTTTGATTTTCAGGAATACCTCAAGTTCACACTAGTAAGTTCCTAATATATTTTTATTACATTAGTTTCTTGTAGGGCTGGGGTGAGCAAATTTTTTCTACAAATGTTTTTAATGTTTTATGTTTGTTTTTGTTTGCTGGGTTTTTGTGTTTTTTGGTTTGTTTGGTGTTTTTGGTTTTGTTTTGTTCTGAGACAGGGTCTTGCTCTGTCACCTAGCCTGGAGTGCAGTGGTGTGATCATAGTTCACTACAACCTCCACTCCTGGGCTCAAGCAATTCTCCTGCCTCAGCCTCCTGAGTAGCTGGGACTACAGATGTGTGCCACCATGCTTGGCTAACTTTTTTTTATTTTTTGTAGAAACTGAGTCTTGCTATGTTGCCTAGGCTGGTCTCAAAGTCCTGGCCTCAAACGATCCCCTTGCCTTAGCCTCCTAAAGTGCTGGGATTACAGGTATAAGCCACCATGCCCAGCCAAATATTTTAAATTTTATAAGCCTTAAAGTCTCTGTCACAACTACTCAACCCTGCTGTTGTAGCACAAAAACAGTCATAGACAATATATAAAAGAATGAGCATGGGTATGTCCCAATAAAATACTATTTTAGACATTGAAATTTGAATTTCATACAATTTTCATGTGCCACAAAATATTATTATTATTATTATTATTATTATTATTATTATTATTATTATTATTTCAACTATTTAAATATGTAAAATCCATTCTTACCTCACAGGACATGCAAAAATAGCATGTCCTAGATGCTATTTTTATTTGGAAAACTAGATTTATATGGAAAAACTAGATTTATTCCATGGGCTGTATTTTGCCAACTCCCATTTTTAAATACCCTAACTCCACATATGTATCTCTGGTAAACAATCCTGGTATATGTTTCTTACAGTTTCATGCTTTCTTATTATTCTGTGCTTTTTTTTTTTTTTAAAACAGCGTTTCACTCACCCAGGCTAGAGTGCACTGGTGTGATCATGGCCCACTGCAGCCTTGACTTCCTAAGCAATCCTCCCACCTCAGCTTTCTGAGCAGCTGGGACTACAGGTGCTTGCCACCATACCCAGCTAATTTTTTCTTTTTTTTTTTGCAGAGATGGGGATCTCATTATGTTGCCCAGGCTGGTCTTGAACTCCTAGGCTCAAGCCATCCGCCTGCCTCACAGCCTTCCAAAGTGCTGGGATTACAGGCATGAGCCACGGCGCCAGCCTATTTTGTGCTTTCTATGTTAGGTTTATCAAGTAACATCAACACAAGAGATATACCTATATTTCAGTACTTGGTAACAACTGTATCTTAAATATTTCGTACCAGGCCAGGCATGGTGGCTTACACCTGTAATCCCAGCACTTTGAGAAGCCAAAGCAGGTGGATCGCTGGAGCTCAGGGTTCCAGACCAGCCTGGGCAACGTGATGAAACTCCGTCTCTACAAAAAAACACAAAAATTAGCTGGGTGTGGTAGCACGCACCTGTAGTCCCAGCTACTCAGGAGGCTGAAACTGGAGGATCGCTTGAACCCCGGAAGTGGAAGCTGCAGTGAGCCATGTTCATGCCACTGCACTGCAGCCTGGGAGACTGAGACCCTGTCTCAAAAAAATATATTAAAAAAAAATTCGTATCAATGTCAAAAAATAATGTTAGCACACATCTTCTAAGCAAGACCATTATATGTCCTATATTTTATAAATTGTAATCTTGACATTCTAGACAAAATTGATAATGATCAATGATAAGTAAAGGTGATTTAAAGTAGCTTATCACAAGGTCTTTGTAAACTACACTGGGCAAAGAGAAGGGGGAAGGGAAATGAAGTTTCTTCACATTTAAATAAATGAAATTTAGTTGTTAATGACACAGATCCCACTCAATGCAGAGGTTTGGGGACTGGGAAGAAGGGAATGCCCAGTACCTACTGAAGTGTTTGCCTTTATCTCTTTCAGTGGACAGTTCTGGAAAAATCAGTAAGTTTGGATCATTTCCTTGCCTTACCTATTTCTGTGCCTAGGACCTTTAAGTTCTTTTTCCCAAATGTTCTTGTGTTACGAGTTCCTCTACCTTACAGCAGTCAATATTTCTTCAATAAGTGATTTCCTCATATTTCAATTTTAATTCTTCTTATCTATTTTCCTTTTGTAACAAAGTATAATGGTCTTGTGTTTGATTCTAGTTATTTACTACCAAAGATTATTGGTAGCATATATTCCCAGCTAATCTATCACAACAGAGCCTATTTCCTCTGTGCTATAATCTGGCAACTAATAATTTTTACTAAAAAAGAAAATCCTCTAAGATTGACAAAAAGAATATGTGTCAGGACTAGATGTGATTTTGGTAATTGATCAACAATATACATTTTTCAAACGGACCAGAACAGTGAGCAAAAAACTGTTTTGCAGAAGACATATGAAAGACTTATCAAAGAACAAAGAAAGGCAGGAAATACAATAGTTTGAATTTCAGTAGAAGTGATTTTACCTACCCAAGATTTCAAATGCCTATATTAATTAAATGGCATCCTAAAGATAACCCTCTGTGTGGAGTGCGATATGGAGCATTGGCCAGCAACACTCCTGAGGATGAAACAGAGTTTTGTGCTCCCTCCAAGTCCTGTTTCTAAGTTCACCTAGGAAGGATACTATTGGAAGGTGGGTTTCTCTTGAGTTAGAAAATCCTCACTGATCTTTCTTTTGTGTTTTGTTTTTAGCACTGACTCCTGTGGGTAAGTTCCATATCTATTCTCAACTCTGATATTTTACATTGCTTTTAATTCTTTTGTGACCTGTCTGTTTCTACTCCCAAAATAGAGGCCTGTGCTTCTAAGGCCAATTTGAATGTTCCTATCTTCCAGAAACTTCCAAGGTTCCCCCCCGCCCTCCACTTTTCTTTTTGAGACAGGATCTCACTATGTTGCCCAGGTTGGTCTTGAATTCCTGGGCTCAAGTGATCCTCCTGCCTCAGCCTCCCAAAGTGCTGGGATTGCAGGTGTGAGCAACTGTGCCAGGCCCCAAGTTTTTAAATAACTACAATTTAAGAGATTGCTGTAGAGAAGATGAAGCTCATATGAAAGGGTGCCACAATCTCTGGCCATCTTCTAGGCTCTGAAAAAGAATCTCCTCCCTGATTCTCAGGAAAACATAATGAAAGGAAGATTGGTTTCTGAATTCCATTAGTTATTTGCTGGGAATTTAGAACTTTTTTTTAGTTATAGGTGAAGTCCCTCTGAATCATATTAATGGGGGAAAAAAACTAGTTAAAAACAAAATACCATCTCCTTTCTATTGCCTTCTAAATAACTACCTTTGAAAGACAGTAGGTATTGAGCATTGACTATGTATTTGTGCACTGTGCTAGGCACTTACAAAAGTAACATCTCTTATTCTTACCATATGCCTGCCTGGTAGGTATTATTATTCCCCATTTTACAGATTAGGAAACTAACTCAGGTATTTACCCAAGGTTAAAGAGTTGGTAAACATTGGTGTCAGGATTTAAACCCAGGATGTCCTATCTCCAAAATACACACTCTTCCCACTCTTCCCATACTAACACATTGCCTCCTATACTGAATCACAAATGCATTTTTTGTGATTAGTCAGGAAACTTTATGGAATGTTTGCAAATACAAATATACATCTACAGAAAAGCTGGATAACTAAATGTACACAAAAGGATCCTTTTAAAAATAGAAGACCGCATTTAAATCAATGTTTGACTTTTTTAACTGTTTTCTGGATTCAGATTTATCTCTATTGGGATTACTTAATATATGACTCAGCTCTTCAAGCAAGGAAACCATACAAAACAAAGTAGAATAATAACTTTTGTTTAATTCTGTAAACATATGATCAAAAGAAGCAAATAAGACTTAAACCTAGTGAGACATGTTTCAAGCATTTCAAACATTCCAAACACTGACACAAACACAAAATATGTCCTTATATTTAATCGTGTTTAAGCCTCATTCTTCTTTCTCAGTTCACACTAGAAAGAGAGTGGGTTTGGAGGGAAAGGAAGGCAGGGAGATGAAGTTGAAAGGGGCAATTAATTAATTTTTTTTTTTTTGGACAAAGTTTCGTTCTTGTCGCCCAAGCTGGAGTGCAATGGCACGATCTTGCCTCACTGCAACCTCTGCCTCACGGGTTCAAGTGATTCTCCTGCCTCAGCCTCCCAAGTAGCTGGGATTACAGGCATGTGCCACCATGCCCAGCTAATTTTGTATTTTTAATAGAGACAGGGTTTCACTATGTTGGTCAGGCTGGTCTCGAACTCCTGACCTCAGGTGATCTGCCCACTTCAGCATCCCAAAGTGCTGGGATTACAGGCGTGAGCCACTGCACCCAGCCGGGGAAATTAATTTCTTTTGATTCATGGTACAAGAAACAGTATGCATTCAGAATAATTATAATGCGCCAACATCCCTCAAATGCTCTCCTCACATAGAAAAAGTGATAGGACTGTGATCTTGTGAGTTTCTCTTACAAAAAAAAAAGGTGGGCTCTGATGATTGATGTTGTATGTCAACTTGACTCAGAAGAACCCTGACTAATACAAGGGCTCTGAGAAGGGATCACAGGCCAAGTCTCTTCCCAGAGGTAATAAATTTTTAATGAATACTAATTTTTTAAGTTGCCAGAGAAAAATCTGTTTAATCTTTTAAAAAATTTTTTGTAAAAGACATATTCTTATTGATATACTCTTTCAAACACAGTTTTCCCAATTGATTGTTTTTCTATTTTTTTTAAAAAATAGAGATGGGGTCTCACTATGTTGCCCAGGCTGGCCTCGAACTCCTGGCCTCAAGCGATCCTCCCATCTCAGCCTCCCAAAGTGCTAGGATTACAGGTGTGAGCCACTGCATCGGCCCCAGTTGATATTTTTAGAAAAAGGAGGTTAAGGTTTAAGTCAATGTTCAAAGAAAGGTTTAAGATAGATTAAACCAACAAACATCATCATCCCAGCAAACTGAGTCTCTTATTTCTCACCTCCTCATTCAACTAATAAGTATATGATCTTTTAAAATGTAATTCATAGCCTGAGAACTATAATGATTTATCCCTCTGATACTGAATAGATCTTTTACAGTCTAGATCCAATTGTGCTCTCCCTGACAACCACTGGATTAAGAACCTAAGATTAGTTTCCTAATAAAGCCCACATTCTATTTTCTATGTTAAGTATCATTTAGATAGAATTGTTAATGTGATAGCTATTTCATGATATCTTTTAGCTTTAACAAAAATTAATCCAATTTAAAAATTTTAATAATTACTTTTTATTCAGCTTGAATATATTATGATGATCCCCAAAGTCTTGATTAAATCTTTTGATTGTATTAAAATTTTGTAGTATGGGCTACTGCCTGCAATAAATGTACTTGCAGCCAGGGCTTCCAAGTCTTTATATTATGAAGATTTACACTGTATGTGTTAGATGATTATGAGGTCCAAGAGAAGGAAAAGATGTATGAACTATCTTGAAATCTGGGAGAAGGAAGAAAAGAACTTAGAATGTGGTGGAATAATGATTTGTGGCTTACTTCTGCAATGCAAAGTTGAAATAAAAGTGAACCTCACTTTATGGGATAGCTAGATTACTCAAAAATAAATCCTGTAAATCTAATCTATGTTAATTAAATTCAAGATTTAAAAGATGACAGCAAATATATTAAAATAAGGGTATGAAGATTCTATTAGAAGTAACTAGAGGTATTTTTCAGTGTAGTGGGAGAAAGAATAAAAAGTTTTTTAATTCTGTGAAATTAGGAAAGGTGTAGCTAGAATAAACACTGGGTGCTTCAGGAAATCCTATAATACTTAATTTTGGTTTACAAAGCCTATATAATTTAGAAGGTAAATTTAGGTTAAAATGAGTCATGAAGTATTACACACAGTAGCAAATAATTACCCCCAAGGGATAGTAAAACTAAAAATATTCATAGCTTAAGGAAAATCAGCTTATGTGAGGAGTACATTCCATGAAATTCTTAAGGTTAGAAACTTCAGCGGAGCATGATCTTACCATTCCACACCACCATACCCCTAAACAAAACAAAACAAAACAGTGTCCACTGGTAGCACTGTCGAAGATCAAAATATTCTGAACTATTTTTCTCAATTTAGCAATGCTTGAAATATATTACCACTGATTTTCATTAGGAAACTGAAAATTGATTGTCTAGAATAAAATGTCAGTAACCATATTTTAATGAAGAACTCTAGGTGGGGACATATACAAAAAGGTTCAGAAAACATTACTGTAATTTTCCTAATGTTATTTTTATTTGGATGTCAACAGCTGAAAATAATAAAAGAAAACACTGAACTACAACAACTCTTTTGATTTATAATTAGTTTCTTATCTAATACAGGTGTGCCTCATTTTTATAATTGATAAAATTCTGAAGTTATGTGTATGCCAATTTTTCAAACATCAAACCCTAAATGTAAAAAACGAAAAGTCCAATAATTCACTTTTAAGCAAGAAATTTTCCTGTAATTGGCTGGGTGTGGTGGCTCACGCCTGTAATCCCAGCACTTTGGGAGGCCGAGGCAGGTGGATCACCTGAGGTCAGGAGTTCAAGACCAGCCTGACCAACATGGAGAAACCCCATCTCTACTAAAAATACAAAATTAGCCGGGTGTGGTGGCACATGCCTGTAATCCCAGCTACTTGGGAGGCTGAGGCAGGAGAATCCCTTGAACTCGGGAGGCAAAGGTTGCGGTGAGCCGAGATCGTGCCATTGCACTCCAGCCTGGGCAACAAGAGCGAAACTCCATCTCAAAAAAAAAAAAAAAAAAAGAAATTTTCCTGTAATACAATTAACCACTCCTGTAAATTATTTGTTGGAAACTAAGAATGCCTTGTCTTGATTGAATTAGAGAGTTTTTTCCTGTACTATCTCATTGGGAAGTAGTAATGGCCAATATTTATTGACTACTTATGTCCCATGCACTGTACCAAGTGCTTTTATTTAGATAACATTATTTAATCTCATAACACCTCTTTGAGGTAGCTACTACTATTGCCCCCATTTTACAGACAGAAAGTAAAGTTTGCCAAAGGTCACCCAGCTAGGCAGGTGCGGAGGCAGGATTTGAACCAGTCTGTCTCCAAAGGCTATGTTACTTTAACATTTGTCTACAATATTTAGTAACTCTACAAAGTGAGCAGATCAAACTAAATATAAAAACAGTGAATCTTTGAGGATTAACTGATTTACCTTAATAAACCCATTAAACCCAGCTAGCAGGAATAATAAACCTAGGTCTTCTTTTTTTTTTTTTTTTTTTTTTTGTGTGTGTGTGTGTGAGATGGAGTATCGCTCTGTCACCTAGACTGGAGTGCAGTGGTGCAATCCCAGCCCACTGCAACCCCTGCCTCCCGGGTTCAAGCGATTCTCCTGCCTCAGCCTCATGAGTAGCTGGGGTTACAGGTGTGTGCCACCATGCCTGGCTAATTTTTGTATTTTTAGTAGAGATCAGGTTTCACCATGTTGGCCAGGCTGGTCTCCAACTCCCAACCTCAAGTGATCCGCCCACTTTGGCCTCCCAAGGTGCTGGGATTACAAGTGTGAGCCACTGCCCCCAGCCCAAGTCTTCTGATTCAGCTTTTATATTCAGTATTCTTTCTACTATAGTAAATATTAAATATTAGATTTTCTCAAAGCAAGACATCCCTCTGCTCCACGGCAAGAACCCACACAATTCCTTGGTGGCTCAGATATTTCTTTTACTTAATTCAGGGAACCATATTACTTAAAAAAAACAAAAGCAAATAAAAAATACCTAGCAGAAGCCAATAAATTCAGGTTTGTTAAATCACACAGGAATTGAGACGTAACAGCTGATTTACCTGAACATGATCAAAGGACCTGAAATTTTTGCAGAGTTTGCAGATATTGCAAGAAGTAGTCTACAGTAATGATCAAAACTGAACACTGGAGTCTGACTACTCAGATTCAAATCCCAGCTCCACCACCTACTGATTACATAACCTTATTCATATTCATTTAAGCATTCTGTGCCTCAGTTTCTTCATCTGTAAAATGAGGTTAATAATACCCTACCTGGTTGTTGTGAGTATCAAATGATTTAATACATAAAGTGCTTAGAGCAGTGAGTACTTGGTATGTGGTAAGCACTTAATAATTATCAGCTAGTACTGTTATTACTTTTGCATAATAAGATATGCTTTTATTCAATATGGAAAGCATTTTTGAGTTTCCTTTTTCTGTCTTGAGAAATATAATTATTGCTTCCTCCCACAATTTTTCCTTAAAACAAATTCTATTTCTTTTCAGAATACATCCTCTGTTAGCCACTAAGCATTATTCATTAGCCATAATCCACTGAACAAATGTCAGTTCATTTACAGTACATTTTACCTTTTCTCTCATTAATCTTCCAAATTATTGAAAATAGTCCAGAATTTTATCGATACTTTTATAATTTTATGTACAGAGAACCATCATTTTAGATAACTTGAGATTCAGAAAAATTTTAGTTTGTCAGTTTTAAGACAAAAAAGGAACCAGTATCAAGGGGAAAAAAATAGAAATAAAGAGAAAATACTTGATATCTAAATCACGCCCTTTTGTTGTATGCTCAGTTATATTAACAGGTTACATGGATGAAGAACTTGCAAAAAAACCTTGTTCCAAAATCCAGATTCTAAAATGTGGAGGCACTGCAAGGTCTCAGAATAGCCGAGAAGAAAACAAGGAAGCACTAAAGAATGACATCATATTTACGAATTCTGTAGAATCCTTGAAATCAGCACACATAAAGGAGCCAGAAAGAGAAGGAAAAGGCACTGATTTAGAGAAAGACAAAATAGGAATGGAGGTCAAGGTAGACAGTGACGCTGGAATACCAAAAAGACAGGAAACCCAACTAAAAATCAGTGAGATGAGTATACCACAAGGACAGGGAGCCCAAATAAAGAAAAGTGTGTCAGATGTACCAAGAGGACAGGAGTCCCAAGTAAAGAAGAGTGAGTCAGGTGTCCCAAAAG
Organism: Homo sapiens; assembly: GCF_000001405.40. Lineage (NCBI taxonomy): Eukaryota > Metazoa > Chordata > Mammalia > Primates > Hominidae > Homo > Homo sapiens. The sequence goes on along the minus strand of NT_167249.2, from coordinate 3,609,904 downwards.
GACAAGAAGCCCAAGTAACGAAGAGTGGGTTGGTTGTACTGAAAGGACAGGAAGCCCAGGTAGAGAAGAGTGAGATGGGTGTGCCAAGAAGACAGGAATCCCAAGTAAAGAAGAGTCAGTCTGGTGTCTCAAAGGGACAGGAAGCCCAGGTAAAGAAGAGGGAGTCAGTTGTACTGAAAGGACAGGAAGCCCAGGTAGAGAAGAGTGAGTTGAAGGTACCAAAAGGACAAGAAGGCCAAGTAGAGAAGACTGAGGCAGATGTGCCAAAGGAACAAGAGGTCCAAGAAAAGAAGAGTGAGGCAGGTGTACTGAAAGGACCAGAATCCCAAGTAAAGAACACTGAGGTGAGTGTACCAGAAACACTGGAATCCCAAGTAAAGAAGAGTGAGTCAGGTGTACTAAAAGGACAGGAAGCCCAAGAAAAGAAGGAGAGTTTTGAGGATAAAGGAAATAATGATAAAGAAAAGGAGAGAGATGCAGAGAAAGATCCAAATAAAAAAGAAAAAGGTGACAAAAACACAAAAGGTGACAAAGGAAAGGACAAAGTTAAAGGAAAGAGAGAATCAGAAATCAATGGTGAAAAATCAAAAGGCTCGAAAAGGGCGAAGGCAAATACAGGAAGGAAGTACAACAAAAAAGTGGAAGAGTAAGGATAAATTTTTTAAAGGCCCATAAGACAAGTGATTATTATGATTCCCATACTCCAGATACAAACCATATCCCAGCCATTGCCTAAACAGATTACAATTATAAAATCCCTTTCATCTTCATATCACAGTTTCTGCTCTTCAGAAGTTTCACCCTTTTTAATCTCTCAGCCACAAACCTCAGTTTCCAAATATTTGTTTCATAAGTTAAGACGTATATGATTCCGTCAAGAAAGACTGGATACTTTCTGAAGTAAAACATTTTAATTAAAGAAATATATAGTAATTTCCTTTGACAAGTATGTCTATGATAGCCTTTCCAACCAATCAACCAGTAACTCCTCATGGCAAGCCTAATGTTTGCAAGGCACTGGTCTAGCAATAAGGGGTGTACAGAAAAACACAAGTCAAAGCTCCTGCAATCAAGTAGCTTATAACATATATAGTGATATATGTATACATGGCAATTTTTTAAGTAAAATCTAAGTTACAAAAAGTTTAGATGGACAACATAATCCATCATGGGATGAGAAAGTAGAGGTGGTAACTTCATGGGGAAGGGAGTAGTGGTATACAATATGTCACAGCAGATGGATAAGGTGTTGATATGCTGAGTGAATTACAAAGAGTAAAAGAAAGGTAAAGGGTTAAAGGCTGTCGTGCCATGCTCCAGGTGCAGTAGGCAATTTTGCTGTTACGGAAGATTCATGGGAGGCATCCTGGGGTATAATTTTGAAAAGGAGAATATAAAAGGATTTGAAAAACAAGCCAGGAATTTATATTTTACTCTTCAGGCAGCTGGAAGCATTCTACAATGTTTGAGACACAGAGTGAAATGAATAAGGTTGTATCATTTTAAAAATAAGGTTGTATCATGTGATTGTGAAAAATAAGATAGAAAAAGAAACATCATAGATAGTAAATCTAATTAAGAAGTACTTGGAGTAAGTAATGGAAAGAGAATAAATAGGAAAAAAAATCAAAGAAGAATCATTACTTCATGATGACTGACTGCATAGGAGTAAGGAAAAGTGAAAAAAACAATGGTTTCAAAACTTTTGAAACTAGGTAACAAACAAACTAGGAACTAATTTGGGGGACAGGGAGGGAACAACAAATTGTTTTAAGGGGATAAGCAATAACATTTGTCATTCAAGAGATATCTGGAATTAGATGAGTACAGGTAACAATTGAAGCAATAAGAGTGAGTTCTTCAAAGGAGGAAGTACAGGACTAACGAAAGCAGAAGTCCAAGGACTGAGTTTGTTATATGTAATATATTGAAGAAATTTAACTAAGGGATAGGAAGATAGAAGGAAAACCTGTATAGTGGAATGTTCCAATAATTAAGGAAGATGAGAGTTTTGAGAAAAAAATGACTGAGACTTCAAGGAAAATAAGGACTGAAAGAACACTGTAGTTGCTATTTGGAGCTGACTAATGAACTTCTAAAGAGCACTTTCCAAAGAAAGGAAGCTAGGAGAAGGAAGGTAAGCAGGAAGAATATAGAGATACAAGTAAGTAGTTGTGGGATGTGCCTTTCAAACATCCAACAGAGTTAACTTATTTTAGTCTATTTTAAAATAATCATTTTTAGAAATTTTATTTTTATACTGTTCAATACTGTGCTGGTTAGCCCACACCCTGAATATACATTTAGTTCAATCATGGGATGTGGATAAACTAAATGCCTTCAGGAGAGAAAGACTCAAGTGTGCAGGAAGTTGCAGAATTCCCCTGGGAAGACAAATATGAGGAAACAATGAGAATTACTTTCAAATAGTGAAAGTTCATAAGGGATTAGAATATTTTGTATAGCCCCAAAGAAATGAGATCAGTGAATGGAAGGTACAAAGTAACAAATTTTATCTTAGTAATAAGGAGAAGTGGAGGTCCAAAGAGTTTAAGCAAGAGTTTAAGGCTCATTCAGTGAGAATGCCATAGAGGAGACTCAGGAAACAGCTGAGTAATTGGAATAAGTTATCTTTATGGTCCCTTCCAAATAGACTTCCTGAGAGTCTATAATTCTAGTTATCAAATTCTTTGGACTAACTAGATGTCTTCCAAGGAAGCTTTTCATACTGATATGCTATTCTTTGGAGGCGTTTGATGAAAAAAGGAGAGAAACCAGACATTAGTCTCTGCCCAAAGTATAAAATGTTTCATAAATGTTTCAGGCTACCCAATCACAACCTTAAAAGAGTATCTCCATAACTTCTAGCACAATCTAATCCACTGTATGGCTGTCTACTGTGTTCTCACAGCCCTGCCGCAGGTATGGAAGCCTATGTTAATTTTAGAAGTCACAGAATCCTCAGGTCTTTGATGAGCTGCACAGGTTTAGCAAAACTGAGTTGCCAGAGAGAGAGAGAGTGAGAGAGAAGAAGACAGATATTAAACATGGATTTTAATATTGTAAGTTGCTTTTGTCATCTGTGGAAAATACACATTTAGAGATTTTACCAGCCTTTGTTGGCATGTCTTTTACATACATTATGCTGTTATCAGGGAACATTTTTGACCAGAAAGATTTTCACATAGTTAAAAGTATTAGATTTTCATCATTCTCATGTCATTTTTCCTATAGCCCCTCTGGTCCATGTGACAGCTAACTAGTAGGTTGTTTGTTTGCTTGTTTGTTTTTCCTCACTCTTCACCCAGGCTGGAGTGCAGTGGCATGATCTTGGCTCACTGCAACCTCCTCCTCCTGGGTTCAAGCGATTCTCATGCCTCAGCCTCCTAAGTAGCTGGGATTACAGGAGTGCACCACCAAGCCCAGCTAATTAGTGTATTTTTAGTAGAGATGGGGTTTCACCATGTTGTCCAGGCTGGTCTCAAACTCCTGACCTCAGGTGATCCACCGCCTCAGCCTCCCAAAGTGCTGGGATTACAGGCGTGAGCCACTGTGCCCAGCCACTACTAGGTTTTAGAAGGGTATGACTAATTCAACTTCTCTCAGATTTCTGGTAAGAAGCAGGGACCTTGTCAAGGCAATTACTAAAAAACAGTAGATAGGCTTCAGCAACCCAGCTCAGCTGACTCCATATCTGTGTGTATGTCCCACTGAAGCAAGAATTCAGAAGAGATAGATCTATAGAAACCTCCCTGTATCTTCTCCATAACTTCTAACTTGGGGTCAAAACATTTGCACTCCCACTAGGTCTTTGAAGGCAAGTAAATCATACAATAGAATACTCCAACTATAAAAATTCTGTGGACCATTTTCTAAAGGCCACTGAAAAACTGACAAATTTAAAGCAATTGTTAACCCTCCTGTAAAGATACACATGTGGAAATCTTAAAGGACCCCAAACAAAGGAAGGGAGAAAGGACAAGCTATCAAAATGACACCATGTTTAACAAAATGATGAAAATTTTAAGAAAATACATAAATATATACTTCTAAGATAGTGGCAATATAAAAGCAGGAATGTGAAACTTACCTTAAGAAATCAATAGTAAATTTTGTTTTGCAAATCAACTAATACAAATGTCAAATGTCCTGTTCACAAGAATGGAATAGAAGTCAATTCAATTAGTCATTTTTCATTTAGGAGCAGAACATAGGAAAGAAAAGCAGAAAGGTGAGTTTAGAGATAATGAAGCTGAATGAGAAACACAAAATATTAGGAAACAAACAATTTATGTAAAATCAGTTAATGCGGCTCCTATCCCAATTAAAGACTCCCTGAGTTAGTAGTGCATTAAAAATGCAATTTCCTGGCTGGGTGTGGGGCTCATGTCTGTAATTCCAGCACTTTGGGAGGCCGAGGAGGGTAGATCATGAGATCAGAAGTTCAAGACCAGCCTGGCCAACATGGGGAAACCCGTCTCTACTAAAAATACAAAAATTAGCCAGGCGTGGTGGTGCACACCTGTAGTCCCAGCTACTCAGGAGGCTGAGGCAGGAGAATTGCTTGAACCCGGGAGGCAGAGGTTACAGTGAGCCGAGATCGTGCCACTGCACTCCAGCCTGGGCGACAGAGTGAGACTCTGTCTCAAAAAATAAAAATAAAAAAATGCAATTTCCCATTTTCCCCTAAATATCTCTCACCCTAGGTTATAACTGACATATCAAGGAAGTGAATACAGGGAACCGAGAAAGGGGACAAGATATAGAAGGAAAAAACAGGATCCAAAGGAATAAAAGAATAAGCTGAAAAATTGATCAAAATATTCAGTTTTATATTTGATGAGATTCCTTTACTCTCCCCCTTAAAAACAATCAGGAATAGGAAAAAAACAACTAGTGTTCCTACACTCTACTTGAGAAGTTCCAATTGTGGTTTTGAAGAAATACAAGCCTGTAATCTTAGTGTTTCAGGAATAAAGACACTCTTATCTATCATCATCCAGAAGCTTGAGCACTTGCCAAGACCGGGAAGTCAAACCTGAGATGCCACACTACAGATTATACACGTTGTAAGCTAGGTCTCAATAAATTTTCTATTCAAATCTTTATTAAGTTTCTCTCTTCAAAAATTAAAAACTCACAGTGTTAAGTTTCTATGAATCTCTCCACATCTTAATCCATGTTTATATAAAAATATATGCAAATATGAGTATATGTAGGAATTTTTTTCTAAAAATAGGGTCAAACTATATACATAATTCTGCAACTTGTCTTCTTTGCCTAACAATACATCATGGGCAACACATCAATCTAACATTTTAATAGCACAGCATCCAGTAGTGTGAATGAATTACTGCTTATTCAACCATTTCCTTAAAGATAGACATTTAGCTTGTTTCCAACCTTTTGCCTTTGGCTAAATGATTCTGCCATTGCCAAATGATACTGCAATACACATCTCTATATATGATCAGGATTTTATTTCTCTAGGATAGATTTCCAGAAGTAGAACTGCCAGATCAAAAGAAATGTGTATTTTAATGTTAATAGATATTACCTAATTCCTTTTCCCCAAATTTGTAATAATTCATATTCCTACAGGAAGATATGAGAGTCCTATCTTCCCCATACTTGCACTGGTGCTGGAAGCGGTAGCTATTTTTAATCTTTGTCTATTGAGAAAAGTGGTATCTAACTGTTTCTTTAATTGTATTTTCCTGACTACTAGTGAGACTGAACATTTTTTCATAAGTTTAATCGTATTTTGAATTTTCTCTCCTGTGATTTAATTGCTTTTCAAACTGGTGGTTTGCCCTTTGTCTTACTCAGTTTTATGTGTTTTTGCATATTAAGTTTTTATCTGCCATTTGTGTTGAAAATGTTTTCCCAATCTACTCATTCTTTCTCTACATCCAATTCATCAACCTGTACCCTAAAATTATATCTTGAATCTGACTACTACTCATCTCCTTCATCAAGAAGTCCAAACCATCGCCATACCTCACCTGCATTGCTGTGCCTGCTTCCAAACTGAGCTTCCCAATCCCACTCCCCACTCCCAACGGAATCGTGCTTTCAAAATATAAATCAGATGAAGTCACTTCTCTACTCAAAACTCTCCAAAGACCAACCCCCATCAGCGTAAAAATTGCAAAGTTGTTTTTTTGTTTCTTTGTTTGTTAGTTTGAGATAGGGTCTCGAGCTGTTGCCCAGGCTGGAGTGCACTGGCATGATCACAGCTCACTGCAACCTCAACCTCCCAGGCTCAAGCAATCCTTCCATTTGGCCTCCTGAGTAGTTGGGACTACAAATGCACGCCACCATGCCCAACTAATTTTTTATTTTTTAGGTTTGCTAGAGATGAGGTCTTATGTTGCCCAGGCTGGTCTCAAACTCCTGGGCTCAAGCAAACCTCCCGCCTCAGCCTCCCAAAGTGCTGGGATTAGGCTGAGCCACCAGGCCCAGCTTCATGAAAGTTCTTATCCTGGCCTTGAAGGCCTTACAGTATCTAGCTTCTGGCTTCTCCTCTAGCCTCATCACCCACTCTCCATCTCCCTTCCATTGATGCAGCCACACTGGCCTCCTCATTTCTCCTCATGCCTGCCAAGCATGTTCTTGCTTCAGAATCAGCCTGAACACTCCCCCTCAAACATATGCACTACTCAATTATTTTAAGAAATATGCTTAAATTTGACTACCCTAAGTAAAACAGTACCCCCCATTCTCTATCTCTTTGCCCTGATGTATCTTTATTACCAGCATTTATCACCTGACATCATATATTTATTTTTGTTTATTGACTTTCTGCCCCACAAGAATGTAAACTCTAAGGGACTTTGTTCACTGCTGAATCTCCATGCTTAGAAAAGTGCCTCGCACATAGTAGATGCTCATCAAAGATTTGTTAACTGACATGAAGTAGATTAAATGAAGGTACATTTTACTATACAAAAATATATTTCATCTAGTCAAATATGTCTGCCTTATCCTCGGAAACTTCTGGGCTTTCTAAAGGGTCTCTTTGGAATGCATATACATGATTAATGAGAATGTAAGTTAGTTCAGCCACTGTGGAAAGCAGTTTGGATATTTCTCAAATAACTAAAAGAACTACCATTTGGCCCAGCAATCCCATTACATATATATATATAACACTCAAAGAAAAATTATTCTACCAAAAAGACAGGTGCGTTCATATGTTCATCGCAGTGCTATTCACAATAGCAAAGACACGGAATCAACTTAGGTGCCCATCAGTAGTGGACTGGATAAAGAAATGTGGTACATATATACCATGGAATACTACCCAGCCATTAACAAGAATGAAATGTCCTTTGCAGCCACACAGATGCAGCTGGAGGCCATTATCCTATGCTAATTAACACAGAAACAAAACCAAATACAGCTTGTTCTCACAAGTGGGAGCTAAACATTGGGTACACATGAACATAAAGATGGGAACAATAGATACTGGAGACAAGAAGAGAGGGGAAGAAGAGAGGAGGATGAGGGTTGAAAATCTACCTATTGGCTACTATGCTCACTACCTGAGTGACAGGATCATTCATATTCCAAACCTCAGCATTATACAATACTCACAGGTAACAAACCTCCACATGTACTTGCTGAATCTAAAATAAAGTTGAAAAAATAAAATAAAATAAATAAATAAATAAATAAATAAATGGTCTCCTTGACTACTATGGTACACATATTTATAGTCACTTAATTTTTTTCTCTTTTATAATTTTTATTTTCTATTTCTCTTCAATTAAATATTTAATCCATTTTGTTTATGGTGTGAACAGAGGTTTCACTTTTTTTCCTTCTTGACAGATATCAAATTATATCAGTAGCATTTGTAGAATCAATTATTCTTTTTCCCCTAAATCATGCATTCTCAACAGGGGCCACATTGCCCTCCAAGGGTCAAAAACGAGTTCTGGGTGGATCAAGAAATCCAATGATTTATTGCGATTTATTCTTTTCAGGTATAAATCACAGATGTTCAGTATCCTAAGACTTTGCTGAAGTTGCTTATCAGCTTATGTATAAAGTACATAAGCAGATATATAGACAATAAAATACACAAGCAGATATACAGTATATTGGTAATATTACAATTTTGTAAAGTGAGGCAATTAGGATAAAAACGTCATATCATACTGCTTTGATTATACAGGGTATATAGAAAGTTTGAGTATCTATTAAGCATGTCTCATTCTGCTCTTTGTTCTTTGTTTTCTTGGCTCTTTTGGAATATGTTCCACCACATGAACTTTAATTTTACCTGACTCCCCTCTAAAAAAAATAGCATTCTGGCTGAAAATGAGTTAACTATTTGGAGATATTTGACATTATTGTTATTACTGAAGTCACTTCACCCAGAAATGTTGTATGAGTCTTCATTGGTTTAGGTCTTCATATTGGTGCTTTCACAAGACTTTACAATTGGTGCTTTCTGAAAAGTTTACAGACTTCTTCATATTAGTTCTTGTTATATTTACTCCTAGGTACCTATAATGTTTTGTTGTCATTGTAAGTGTGATTTTTACATTTTTTTAATTAATTTTAACAAGTGTAGAGAAAAGTAATCTTTGTATTTATCTTGATTAATGTGACATCAGACTCTCATATCATTACTAATAATTTTCTGGCCATTTCTTGGATTTCTTAGTATACTGTGTAAAGAGATACAATTTTGCTTCATACAATTTACATTTATGCATTTTTAGTATTTGTTCTGTGTGTATAGAATCCAGCTTTTTCCAGGAGAATAATTTCTTTTATTAATTTTAATGATATTCTTTCTTTCTTTTTGTATTATTATACTTTAAGTTCTGGGATACATGTACAGAACGTGCAGGTTTGTTACATAAGTATTCACGTGCCATGGTGGTTTGCTGCACCCATCAATTTGTCATCTAGGTTTTAAGCCCCACCTGCATTAGGTATTTGTCCTAATGCTCTCCCTCCTCTTGCCCCTCACACCCTGACAGGCCCTGGTGTGAGATATCCCCGTCCCCGTGTCCATGTGTTGTCATTGTTCAACTCCCACTTATGAGCAAGAACATGCAGTGTTTAGTTTTCTGTTCCTGTGTTAGTTTGCTGAGAATGATGGTTTATAGCTTCATCCACGTTCCTGCAAAGAACATGAACTCATTCTTTTTTATGACTGCATAGTATATATGTGCCACATTTTCTTTATCCAGTCTATCATTGATGGGCATTTGGGTTGGTTCCAAGTCTTTGCTATTGTAAATAGTGCTGCAGTAAACATACGTGTGCATGTGTCTTTATAGTAGAATGATTTATAATCCTTTGGGGATATACCCAGTAATGGGATTGCTGGGTCAAATGGTATTTCTGGTTCTAGATCCTTGAGGAATCACCACACTGTCTTCCACAATGGTTGAACTAATTTACACTCCCATCAACAGTGTAAAAGTGTTCCTATTTCTCCACAGCCTCTCCAGCATCTGTTGTTTCCTGACTTTTTAATGATTGCCATTCTAACTGGCATAAGATGGAATCTCATTGTGGATTTGATTTGCATTTCTCTAAGGACCAGTGATAATGAGCTTTTTTCATATGTTTCTTGGCCACATAAATGTCTTCTTTTGAGAAGTGTCTGTTCATATCCTTTGCCCACTTTTTGATGAGGTTGTTTTGTTTTCTTGTAAATTTGTTAAGTTCCCTGTAGGTTCTGGATATTAGACCTTCCTCAGATGGATAGATTGCAAAAATTTTCTCCCATTCTGTAGGCTGCCTGTTCACTCTGATGACAAGTTTCTTTTGCTGCGCAGAAGCTCTTTGGTTTAATTAGATCCCATTTGTCAATTTTGGCTTTTGTTGCCATTGCTTTTGGTGTTTTAGTCATGAAATCTTTTTTGCCCATGCCTATGTCCTGAATGGTATTGCCTAGGTTTTTTTCTAGAGTTTTTACGGTTTTAGGTTTTCTGTTTAAGTCTTTATTCAGGTAATTTTGTATAAGGTGTAAGGAAGGGGTCCAGTTTCAGTTTTCTGCATATGGCTAGCCAGTTTTCCCAACACCATTTATTAATTAGGGAATCCTTTCCCCATTGCTTGTGTGTGTCAGGTTTGTCAAAGATCAGATGGTTGTAGACATGTGGTGTTATTTCTGAAGCCTCTCTTCTGTTCTATTGGTCTATATATCAGTTTTGGTACCAGTCCCATGTTCTTTTAGTTACTGTAGCCTTATAGTATAGTTTGAAGTCAGGTAGCATGATGCCTCCAGCTTTGTTCTTTTTGCTTAGGATTGTCTTGGCTATATGGGCCCTTTTTTTGGTTCCATATGAAATTTGAAGTCGTTTTTTCTAATTCTGTGAAGAAAGTCAATGGTAGCCTGATGGGAATAGCATTGAATCTATAAATTACTTTGGGCCATATGGCCATTTTCACAATATTGATTCTTCCTATCCACGAGCATGGAATGTTTTTCCACTTGTTTGTGTCCTCTCTTATTTCCTTGAGCAGTGGTGTGTAGTTCTCCTTGAAAAGGTCCTTCACATCCCTTGTAAGTTGTATTTCTAGGTGTTTTATTCTCTTTGTAGCAATTGTGAGCTCACTCATGATTTGGCTCTCTTTGTCTATTATTGGTATATAGAATGCTTGTGATTTTTGCACATTAATTTTGTATCCTGAGACTTTGCTGAAGTTGCTTATCAGCTTAAGAAGTTTTGGGGCTGAGACGATGGAGTTTTCTAAATATACAATCATGTCATCTGCAGACAGAGACAATTTGACTTCCTCTCTTCCTATTTGAATACTCTTTATTGCTTTCTCTTGCTTGATTGCCCCGGCCAGATTTTCCAACACTATGTTGAACAGGAGTGGTGAGAGAGGGCATCTTTGTCTCGTGCTAGTTTTCAAATGGAATGCTTCCAGCTTTTGCTCATTCAGTATATTAGCTATGGGTTTGTCACGAATAGCTCTTATTAGTTTGAGATATGTTTCATCAATACCTAGTTTATTGAGTGTTTTTAGCATGAAGGGGTATCAAATTTAATCGAAGGCCTTTTCTGTATCTATTGAGATAATCATGTGGGTTTTGTCATTGGTTCTGTTCATGTGATGGATTATGTTTATTGATTTGCGTATGTTGAACCAGCCTTGCATCCCAGGGATGAAGTCGACTTGATCATGGTGGATAAGCTTTTTGATGTGCTGCTGGATTCAGTTTGCATGTATTTTACTAAGGATTTTTGCATCAATCTTCTTCAGAGATATTGGCCTGAAACTTTCTTTTTTTGTTGTGTCTCTGTTAGGTTTTGGTATCAGGATGACGCTGGCCTCATAAAATGAGTTAGGGAGGAGTCCCTCTTTTTTTATTGTTTGGAATAGTTTCAGAAGGAATGGTACCAGCTCCTCTTTGTACCTCTGGTAGAATTCGCCTGTGAATCCGTCTGCTCCTGGGCTTTTTTGGGGGGTAGTAGGCTATTAATTATTGCCTCAATTTCAGAACTTGTTACTGGTCTATTCAGGGATTCAACTTCTTCCAGGTTTAGTCTTGGGAGAGTGTATGTGTCCAGGAATTATTATTATTGTGTGGGAGTCTAAGTCTCTTTATAGGTCTCTAGGAACTTGCTTTATGAATCTGGGTGCTCCCGTATTGGGTGCATATATATTTAGGATAGTTAGCTGTTCTTGTTATATTGATCCCTTTACCATTATGTGATGCCCTTCTTTGTCTTTTTGATCTTTGTTTGTTTAAAGTCTGTTTTATCAGAGACTAAGATTGCAACCCCTGCTTTTTTTTTTCTTTCCATTTGCTTGTTAAATATTCCTCCATCCCTTTATTTTGAACCTATGTGTATCTTTGCACATGAGATGGGTCTCCTGAATACAGCACACTGATGGGTCTTGACTATTTATCCAATTTGCCAGTCTGTGTCTTTTAACTGGGGCATTTAGCCCATTTACATTTAAGGTTAATATTGTTATGTGTGAATTTGATCCTGTCCTCCTGGTGCTAGTTGGTTATTTTGCATATTAGTTGGTGCAGTTTCTTCATAGTGTCGTTGGTCTTTATATTTTGGTGTGTTTTTGCAGTGGCTGGTACTGGTTTTTCCTTTCCATATTTAGTGCTTCCTTCAGGAGCTCTTTTAAGGTAGGCCTGGTGGTGACAAAATCCCTCAGCACTTGCTTGTCTGTAAAGGATTTTATTTCTCCTTCCCTTATGAAGCTTAGTGTGGCTGGATATGAAATTCTGAGTTGAAAATTATTTTCTTTAAGAATACTGAGTATTGGCCCCCACTCTTTTCTGGCTTATAGGGTTTCTGCAGAGAGAGCCAATGTTAGTCTAGTGGGCTTCCCTTTATAGGTAACCTGACCTTTCTCTCTGGCTGCCCTTAACATTTTCTCCTTCATTTCAACCTTGGAGAATCTGAAGATTTTGTGTCTTGGGGTTGCTCTTCTCGAGGAATATCTTTGTGGTGTTCTCTATATTTCCTGAATTTGAATGCTGGCCTGTCTTGCTAAGCTGGGGAAGTTTTCCTGGATAACATCCTGAAGCTTGTTTTCCAACTTGGTTCCATTCTTCCTGTCACTTTCAGGTACACCGATCAATCGTAGGTTTGGTCTTTCCACATAGTCCCATATTTCTTGGAGGCTTTGTTCATTCCTTTTCATTTTTTTTCTCTAATCTTGTCTTCACACTTTATTTCATTAAATTGATCTTCAATTTCTGATATCCTTTCTTCCACTTGATCAATTTGGCTATTGATACTTGTGTACACTTCACGAAGTTCTTGTGCTGTGTTTTTTCACCTCCATTAGGTCATTTATGTTCTTCTCTAAACTAGTTATTCTAGTTAGCAGTTCCTGTAACCTTTTATCAAGGTTCTTAGTTTCCTTGCATTGGGTTTGAACATGCTCCTTTAGCTCAGAGGAGTTTGTTATTACCCACTTTCTGAAGCCTACTTCTGTCAGTTCGTCAAACTCATTCTCTGTCCAGTTTTGTGCTCTTGCTGGAGAGGCATTGCAATCATTTGAAGGAGAAGAGGCATTCTGGTTTTTGGAATTTTCAGCATTTTTGCACTGGTTTTTCCTCATCTTTGTGGATTTATCTACTTTTCATCTTTGATGTTGATGACCTTGGATGTGGTTTTTGTGTGGGCATCCTTTTTTTTGTTGATGTTGATGTTATTGCCTTTTTTTTTTTTTTTTTTTTTGAGACAAAGTCTCGCTCTGTTGCCCAACCTGGAGTGCAGCGGCGTGATCTGGGCTCACTGCAACCTCCACCTTCCAGGTTCGAGTGATTCTCCCACCTCAGCCTCCCAAGTAGCTGGGACTACAAGTGCGCGCCACCATGCCCAGCTACTTTTTGTATTTTTAGTAGAAACAGGGTTTCACCATATTGGCTAGGCTGGTCTCAAACTCCTGACCTTGTGATTTGCCCGCCTCAGCTTCCCAAAGTTCTGGGAATAAACCACCATGCCCAGCTGATGTTATTGCTTTCTGTTTTTTGGTTTTCCTTCTAACAGTCAGGACCCTCTTCTGCAGGCCTGCTGGAGTTTACTGGAGGTCCACTATACACCCTATTTGCCCGGGTATCACCAGTGGAGCCTGCAGAACAGCAAAGATTGCTGCCTGTTCCTTCCTCTGGAAGCTTCATCTCAGAGGGCACCAGTCTGATGCCAGCCAGAGCTCTCCTGTATGAGGTGTCTGTCAACCACTGATGGGAGGTGTCTTCCAGTTAGGAGGCATGGGGGTCAGGGACCCACTTGAGGAGGCAGTCTGTCCCTTAGCAGAGCTCAAGCACTGTGCTGGGAGATCTGCTGTTCTCTTCAGAGCTGGCAGGCAGGAATGTTTAAGTCTGCTGAAGCTGCTCCCACAGCCGCCCCTTCCCCCAGGTGCTCTGTCCCAGGAAGATGGGAGTTTTACATATAAGCCCCTGACTGGGGCTGCCTTTCTTTCAAAGATGCCCTGCCCATTGAGGAGGAATCTAGAGAGGCAGTCTGGCCACAGCTGCTTTGCTGCACTGCAGTGAATTCTGCAAAGTCCGAACTTCCCAGTGGCTTCCTTAACACTGTGAGGGGAAAACCACCCACACAAGCCTCAGTAATGGCGGGCGCCCCTCCCCACACCAACCTGGATTGTCCCAGGTCGACTTCAGACTGCTATGCTGGCAGTGAGAATTTCAAGCCAGTGGTTATTAGCTTGCTGGGCGCTGGGGGAGTGGGACCCACTGAGCGAGACCACTTGGCTCCCTGGCTTCAGCCCCCTTTCCAGGGGAGTGAATGGTTCTGTCTTGCTGGGGTTCCAGGTGCCACTGGCCTATGAAAAAAAAAATTGCAGCTAGCTCGGTGTCTGCCCAAACAGCCACCCAGTTTTGTGCTTGAAACCCAGCACCCTAGTGGTGTAGGCACACAAGGGAATCTCCTGGTCTGTGGGTTGCAAAAACCATGGGAAAAGCATAGTATCTGGTCCAGATAGCACAGTCCCTGGTCCGGATAGCACAGTCCCTCACGGCTCCCCTTGGCTAGAGGAGGGAGGTCCCCAGCTCCTTGCACTTCCCAGGTGAACCAACAACCCACCCCACTTCTGCTCACCCTCCATGAGCTGCACCTACTTTCTAACCAGTCCCAATGAGATGAACTGGGTACCTCAGTTGGAAATGCAGAAATCACCCGCCTTCTGCATTGGTCTCACTGGGAGCTGCAGACCAGAGCTGTTCCTATTCAGCCATCTTTCCCAGGAACTTCCAGTATTCTTTATTTCAAATAGTAATTTCTGATTTAAATTCTATTTTAAATAATAGCTTTTTGGTTAATATTTTCCTCTGCTTTGTCTTTCTCTATTATTTTACTTTTCAGATTCCAATAAGTCTTGTGAATAGAAAATAACTGGATCCTTTTTCCCTGTCTTAGAGTATAGATCTTTTAAGGGGCAAGTTTAAACCATTTGTATTTATGATGATTACTGATTTACTCAGTTTTGTTTATGACACCTTACCAAGTGCTTTCCATATTGCATAATTTTACAGTACTATTCCACTGTCTTTGCTATTGTTGTCTGATATTTTCATTCTGCTACATTTATGCACCCCAAAATTAGTCATGATAAAATTATTTTTATAGTCTGTGTTTTTCAGATATATTCATATATTTACCAATATTGCTCACTATTTCTCTTTGTATCTTAATCCTTGCTTTGTGGTTTGATTTTTTTGTTTTTTGGTTTTTAGTTTTTTTGTGTGAGACAGGCTCTCTCATTCTGTCACCCAAGATAGGGCGCAGTAGTGCAATCTCAGCTCACTGCAACCTCCACCTCCCGAGTTCAAGCGATTCTCCCACCTCAGCCTCCCGAGTATCTGGGACTACAGATATGTGCCACCATACCCAGCTAATTTTTCTATTTTTAATAGAAACAGGGTTTCACCATGTTGGCCAGGCTGGTCTCGAACTCCTGACCTCAAGTGATCTGCCTGCCTTGGCCTCCCAAAGTGTTGAGATTACCAGTGTGAGCCATCGCACCCCGCCTGTGGTTTCATTTTTAAATGAGGATCTGTGAATAATAAATTCTTGGACTTTTGCCAGAAAAATTAACTTCGCCTTCATTGTAAAATAACAGTTTTGCTGAATAAGGAACTCAATGTATTTTCTCAGCTAATTGAAGATGTTATCCATTGCCTTTTGGCCTTTGTTTTTGCTCTTAAGAAGTCTGCTTAATACCTAGTTAGTTTGCAGGTTATTTTGTCTTTTTCTGTCTGGTAATATTTAGAATTTTGTCTTTGTCTTGGTGTTACACAGTTTCACTACTATGTGTCCAGTCCATTTTCATTATTCCTGCTTTAGGAGGGTGCATCTTAAAACTTTACAGTAATGTCTTTCATCAATTTTGAAAAATTCTTAAGCATTCTTTCTTTGAACTTTGCTTTTCCTCCATGCTTTCTATATTCTCTTTCTGGAATTCAAATGTATTTTGGATCTTCTCATTCTAGTCTCTATTTCTGTTAACCTTGTTTTTATGTATTTTTAAGTCTGTCTGCAATGCAGTATAGACAACTTCCTCAAGTCTACCTTCCAATTCACTGATTTTCTTTTCAGTGTCTAATGTCCTGATTAGCCTATTGAGTTTTAGCCAATTACTAATATTTACTGTTTCTAAAATTACGATTTGCTTCTCCTAATATTTGTTCATAGTCTCATCTATGTGTATGTGTTATTATCACCCAAAGTTCATAGTTTAAGATTTATATTTTCAGGTATCTTTATAGCAATGCCCCACTTCCCAGTACCAATTTTCTGTGTTAGTCCGTTCTCACATTGCTATAAAGAAATGCCTGAAACTGGGTAATTTATAAAGAAAAGAGGTTTAATTGGCTCACAGTTCTGCAGGCTGTACATGTTCTGGGGAGGCCTCAGGAAACTTACAATCATGATGGAATGTGAAGGGGAATCAGGCAATATCTTACATGGCTGGAGCAGGAGGAAGAGAGAGAAGGGGGAGGTGCTGCACACTTTTAAACAACCAGATCTCGTGAGAACTCAGTATCATAAGAATGGCAAAGGGGAACTCCACCCCCTTGATCCAATCACCTCCCACCAGGCCCCTCCTCCGACATTGGGGATTAAAATTTGACATAAGATTTGGGCAGGGACACAAATCCAAACCATATCAGGGCCTATGCCCATAAAATCAGCAGGAAGCAGTTACAGAAGATGGACCTCCACCCTTCTTCAGCCCCCTTAAGATTAAGGAGGAGTATCTAATATCTGAGGGGGGAATGAGGTAGGAGACTGGCAGGACTTATTTCCTAGTACTGACAGGATAAGTGAAAAAAACAGCAGAAACTAGCAGATGGTAACAAAAGCAATCCCTAGTTGCCCCCACTACTCATTAGTATAAGACACCAGCACCATGACGGTTTTCAAATGCCATGGTAAGGACCCAGAAGTTATTGCCCCTTCCCATGACAATGACCGAGAAGTTACCACCCCTTTCCTAGAAAGCTTTAAATAAACTACTCCTCAATTTGCATTAACCCACCACTGATTGGCATATGATTGAAAGTGGGTATAAGTGGGTATAGAGTTGCCAACAGTCCATTCATTGCCAACTTGGCACATTATCTATGAGTTAGCCCTGCTCTGCAAGGAGCAATAAAGTTCAATAAAAGATTGCTGTCTAAAACCACTGGCTTGCCCTTGAATTCATTCCTGGGCAAAGTCAAGAACTTTCCTGGGCTAAGCTCTAATTTTGGGGCATGTCTGTCCTGCATCAAATGGATAAAGAAAATGTGATATATATATATATATATATATATATATATGTATGTATGTAGTGGAATACTATTCAGCTTTTAAAAAACAAGGAAATTCTGTCATTTGTGACAACATGGATGAACCTGGAGGACATTATGTTAAGTGAAATGTAAGGCACAGAAAGATAAATACCACATGATCTCACTTATATGTGGAATCTTAAAAAGTTGAACGAAGAAGCAGAGAGTAGAATGGTGGTTACCAGGTACTGGGAGCAGGGAAATGGGGGACAGAAAATGGGGGAATTGGGGAGTTGTTTGTCAAAGGATACAAAATTTAGTTTCATAGAATAAATAAGGAAGTCAGAATATCTATTTTATAACATGGAGACTATAGTTAAAACAACATTATTGTATTCTTGAAAAATCACTGAGTAGATTTTAAGTGTTCTCATCATAAAAAAAGGATAAGTATATGAGCTGATATATGTTAATTAGCATGATTTAGCATTCTGTGATGTATACGTATTTCAAGACATCATGTTATACATGATAATTGTATACAATTTTTATTTGTCAGTTTAAATATATAAATTTTAAAATAAAGTACTCACATCAGGGATATATTTGTATTTTCTAAGTAACAACAATAACAATTTAAAATGCATAATACAAAACTAACAAAGGCTGATCATAGAATAATTTATAAAAATCATTCCAAAAGGAGGCCAAGAGGCCAGATGCAGTGGCTCATGCCTATAATCCTGGCACTTTGGGAGGCAGAGGCGAGTGGATTCCTTGAGCCCAAGAGTTCAAGGCCAGCCCAAGCAACATAGCAAAACCCCATCTCTACAAAAAATACAAAAATTAGCTGAGCATGTTGGTGTGCACCTGTAGCCCCAGCTACTCGGGAGGCTGAGGTGGCAGGATGACTTGAGCCTGGGAGGTGGAGGTTGCAAGAGAGACCACACCACTGCACACCAGCCTGGGTAACAGAGCCAGATGCGGTCTCAATAAACAAATAGGAGGCCAAAAACATAAGAAAACATATAATACAAAACAGGTGAAAAAATAGAAAACGAGCAATAAAATAATCTTAGACCCATATATATCAATCAATAATTCCATTAATTATAAATGGACTAAATGGCCACATTTTATTTGTTTTTACTTAAGTTTTTATTTATTTATTTATTATTTCCATAGGTTTTAGGGGGACAGGTGGTATTTGGTTACACTAGTAAGTTCTTTAGCGGTGATTTGTGAGACTTTGATGCACCCATCACCCAAGCAGTATACAGTGAACCCAATTTGTAGTCTTTTATCCCTCACTCCCTTCCCACCCTTTCCCACTGAGTCCCCAATATCATTCTTATGGCTTTGCATCCTCATAGTTTAGTTCCCACTTATGAGTGAGAACATATGATGTTTGGTTTTCCATTCCTGAGTTACTTCACTTAGAATAGTGTCCAATCCCATCCAGATTGCTGCAAATGCCATTAATTCATTCCTTTTTATGGCTGAGTAGTATTCCACCATATATATATGCCATAGTTTCCTTGTCTATTCGTTGACTGATGGGTATTTGGGTTGGTTCCACATTTTTGCAGTTGTAACTTGTGCTGCTATAAACATGCATGTGCAAGTATCTTTTTTGTATAATGACTTATTTTGCTCTGGGTAGATACCCACTAGTGGCATTGCTCGATTGAATGGTAGTTCTACTTCTAGTTCTTTAAGGAATCTCCAAACTGTTTTCTATAGTGGTTGTACTAGTTTACATTCCCACCAGCAGTGTAGAAGTGTTCCCTGTTCACCGCATCTATGCCAACCTCTATTATTTTCTGATTTTTTTTTCAAAAAGAACATAAAACTTTATTAAGAACATCTTATACTGTCATCAGATACAGCCAAAGAAAAACGGGTAAACAAACAGGGAAAGTTCATCTTCCCATGTGCTATTGCCACCTCAGAACAGACTCCTGTGTAGATAGCTGGAACAACAGTTGGCAACAAATGCTCTGTATAAATAATTCATTAAGTACACAATGTTTCCTTTCTATACAGAGAAGAATTGGGCTTACAACTATGAAACAAGACTACATCTTTAGGAGCTATTTCTTAATAGAATACAAAGCAGTTTAGTAGCTGTATGTTATTTCAGATAATGTAATTTTTTAATGAAAAATTCAGAAAGGACATTCTAACTTTCCCAATTAGTTAATTTGTACTGTTGAGTTTTTTCTCTCTAAAGATTTCTCAGAATCAGTTCAGTAACTATACTTTAAAAAGATGAGTTGCTCATCTACAGTGATAATTGACAACTTAGTTTTGTGACTTTGCAAATCAAGATGCCTGGGTCATCCCCACTTTTGCTGATTCTGAAAGATTTCTTTAGAAAAACCCTGATTCAGAGAAGCAGGAGTAAGGTGGTATCACACTGTGGTTTTGATTTGCATTTCCCTGATCCTTAGTGATGCTGAGCATTTCTTCATATGTTTGTTGGCCATTTGTATATCTTCTTTTGAGAATTGTCTGTTCATGTCCTTAGCTCAATTTTTGATGAGATTGTTTCTTTCTTTCTTGCTAATTTGCTTGAGTTTGTTGTAGATTCTGGATATTAGTCCTTTGTCAGATGTATAGATTGTGAAGATTTTCTCCCACTCTGTGGGTTGTCTGTTTACTCTGCTGACTATTCCCTTTGCCATGCAAAAGCTCTTAAATTAAGTCCCAGCTATTTATCTTTGTTTTTATTGCATTTGCTTTTGGTTCTTGGTCATGAAATCCTTGCCTAAGCCAATGTCTACAAGGGTTTTTCCAATGTTACCTTCTAGAATTTTTATAGTTTCAGGTCTTAGATTTAAGTCCTTAGTCCTTCTTGAGTTGATTTTTGTATAAGGTGAGAGATGAGGATCCAGTTTCATTCTCCTACATGTGGCTTGCCAATTATCCTAGCACCATTTGTTGAATAGGGTGTCCTTTACCCACTTTATGTTTTTGTTTTCTTTGTCAAAGATCAGCTGGCTGTAAGTATTTGGGTTTATTTCTGGGTTCTCTATTCTGTTCCATTGGTCTTTGTCCCTATTTTTATACCAGTACTATCCTGTTTTGGTGACTATGGCCTTACAGTATAGTTTGAAATCAGGTAATGTGATGCCTCCAGATTTGTTCTTTTCCCTTAGCCTTGCTTTGGCTATTTGGGCTCTTCTTTGGTTCCATATGAATTTTAGGATTTTTTTTTCTAGTTCTGTGAAGAATGATGCTGGTATTTATATGGGAATTGCACTGAATTTGTAGATTGCTTTTGGCAGTATGGTCATTTTCACAATATTGATTCTACCCATCCACGAGCATGGGGTGTGTTTCCATTTGTTTGTGTCATCTATGATTGTTTTCAGCAGTGTTTTGTAGTTTTCCTTGTAGAGGTCTTTCACCTCCTTGGTTAGGTATATTCCTAAGTTTTTTTGATTGTGTGATTTGTTTGTTTGTTTGTTGCAGCTATTGTAAAAAGTGGTTGAGTTCTTGATTTGATTCTCAGCTTGGTCACTGTTGGTGTACAGGAGAGCTACTGATTTGTGTACATTAATTTTGTATCCAGGAAATTTGCTGAATTATTTTATCAGTTCTAGGAGCTTCTTGGAGGAGTCTTCTGGGTTTTCCAGGTATACAATCATATCATCAGCAAACAGTGACAGTTTGACTTCCTCTTTACCAACTTGGATGCCTTTATTCTTTCTCTTGTCTGATTGCTCTGGCTAGGACTTCCAGTACTATGTTGAAGTGGTGAAAGTGGGCATCCTTGTCTTGTTCCAATTCTCAGAGGGAATGCTTTCAACTTTTCCCCATTCAGTATTATGTTGGCTGTGCGTTTATCATACATGGTTTTTATTACATTGAGGTATGTCCCTTGTAGGCTGATTTTGCTGAGAGTTTTAATCATAAAAGGATGCTGCATTTTGTCAAATGCTTTTTCTGTGTCTATTGAGATGATCATGTGATTTTTGTTTTTAATTGTTTATGTGGTGTATTACATTTATTGACGTGCATATGTTAGACCATCCCTGCATCCCTGCTATGAAACCCACTTGATCATGGTGGATTATCTTTTTGATATGTTGTTGGATTTGGTTAGCTGGTATCTTGTTAAGGATTTTTGCATCTATGTTCATCAGGGATATTGGTCTTCAGTTTTCTTTTTTGTTGTTGTTATGTTCTTTTGTTCTTTCCTGGCTTTGGTATTAGGATGATACTGGCTTCATAAAATGATTTAGGGAGGATTCCTTCTTTCTCTATCTTGTGGAATAGTGTCAATAGGATTGGTACCAATTCTTCTTTGAATGTCTGGTAGAACTCAGTTGTGAATCCGTCTGGCCCTGGACTTTTTTTTTTGTAATTTTTTTATTACCATTTCAATCTTGCTGCTTGTTATTGGTCTGTTCAGGGTATCTAATTCTTCCTGATTTAAGGTAGGAGGGTTTTCTCTTCCCAGGAATGTATCGATCTCCTCCAGGTTTTCTAGTTTATGCACATAAAGGTGTTCATAGTAGCCTCAAATGATCTTTTGTATTTCTGTGGTGTCAGTTGTACTATCTCCCATTTCATGTCTACTTGAGCTTCTTTGGATTTTCTCTCTTCTTGGTTAATCTTGCCAATGGTCTATCAAGTTTATTTATCTTTTCAAAGAACCAGCTTTTTGTTTCACTTCTGTATTTTTTTGTTTCAATTTCATTTAGCTCTGCTCTGATCTGGGTTATTTCCTTTCTTCTGCTGGCTTTGGGCTTGGTTCTTGTTTCTCTAGTTCCTTGAGGTGTGACCTTAGGTTGTCTATTTGTGCTCTTTCAGACTTCCTGATGTAGGCATATAGGGCTAAGAACTTTCCTCTTAGCACCGCCTTTGCTGTATCCCAGAGGTTTTTGTAGGTCATGTCACTATTGTTATTCAGCTTGAATAATTTTTTAATTTTCATCTTGATTTCATTGTTGACCCAATGATCATTCAGGAGCAGGTTATTTAATTTCCATGTATTTGCGTGGTTTTAAAGGTTCCTTTTGGAGCTGATTTCCAGTTTTATTTCACTGTGGTCTGAGACAGTGCTTAACATAATTTCAGTTTTCTTAAATTTATTGAGACTTGTTTTGTGCTCTATCATGTGGTCTATCCTGGAGAAAGTTCCATGTGCTGAAGAATTGAACGTATATTCTGCAGTTGTTGGGTAAAATGTTCTGTATATATCTGTTAAGTCTATTTGTTCCAGGGCATAGTTTAAATTCATTGTTTTTTTGTTGGCTTTCTGTCTTAATGATCTGTCTAGTGCTGTCAGTGGCGTATTAAAGTCCCCCACTAGTATTGTGTTGCTGTGTATATCATTTCTTAGGTCTAGTAGTAATTGTTTTATAAATTTGGGAGCGCCAGTGTTAGGTGCATATATATTTAGGATTGTGATATTTTCCTGTTGGACAAGAAATGCCACATTTTAAAAATAAAAATTATCAAACTGGATTAAATGGCAATATAAATGTCAGTTGATAGGATAGTTAATACTATACTCAACAATGTAATGAAGAGTAAGAAAGGGCTGGGCTTTGTGGCTCATGCCTGTAGTCCCAGCACTTTGGGAGGCCCAAGGGAAGAGGGGCTGGCTCTCACTCCCCGCATCGCGGGGGGCGCCTGAGATAAGGTGGATCACCTGAGATAAGGAGTTCAGACCAGTCTGGCCAATATGGTAAAACCCCGTCTCAACTAAAAATACAAAAAAATTAGCTGGGTGTGGTGGCGGGCACCTGTAATCCCAGCTACTTCGGGAGGCTGAGGCAGAAGAATCGCTTGAACTCAGGAGACAGAGGTTGCAGTGAGTCGAAGTCACGCCATTGCACTCCAGCCTGGGCGACAAGAGCAAAACTCTGTCTCAAAAAAAAAAAGTAAGAAAGAACTCAAACTTATACGTAGTGATCATGACAATAAGGAATTTTGTCTGTGTGAGCTCTGAAAATTTTATAAAGTTTTTAAATATGGAGTTCATGCTTAGTGATTGAGTTATTTAATGTCAAATGATATCTAAGCATTTATTTTTAACATTTCATTAATCAAGTACACAATATGTATTTAAGGAATTATGATAAAGTAAACCAATCTTCTACCCATATCACTATACCTATTTGATTCATCAAAATTTGTCCTCCCTAAATTCCATGTTCTGCAATGTGTTTAGAAATAAATAGTAAGGCATGGCGCCACGCACCTGTAATTCCAGCTACTCAGGAGGCAGGGCAGGAGGATCACTTGAGCCTGGGAGTTTGAAGCCAGCCTAGGCAATATAGTAAGACCCTGTCTCAAAAATTAATTAATTAATTAATTAATTAATAATAACAAGTGGTAGCCTTGCTCTTGGTCAAAACATTGACTTTGGGCTGGGCGCGGTGGCTCACGCCTGTAATCCCAGCACTTTGGGAGGCCGAGATGGGCGATCACAAGGTCAAGAGATTGAGATCATCCTGGCTAACACGGTGAAACCTTGTCTCTACTAAACATACAAAAAAATTAGCCGGGCGTGGTGGCAGGGGTCTTTGGTCCCAGCTACTCAGGAGGCTGAGGCAGGAGAATGGCGTGAACCCGGGAGGTTGAGCTTGCAGTGAGCTGAGATCGCACCACTGCATTCCAGCCTGGATGACAGAGCGAGACTCTGTCTCAAAAAAAAAAAATTTTTGGCAGGGCACAGTGTCTCACGCCTGTGATCCCAGCACTTTGGGAGGCCAAGGTGGGCAGATCACAAGATCAGGAGTTCGAGACCAGCCTGGCCAACATGGTGAAACCCCATCTCTACTAAAATACAAAAATTAGACGGGTGTGGTGGTGCACGCCTGTAATCCCAGCTACTTGGGAGGCTGAGGCAGAAGAATTGTTTGAACCCAGGAGGCAGAGGTTGCAGTGAGCCAAGATCACGCCATTGCACTCCAGCCTGGGCAAGAGAGCAAGACTCCATCTTAGGGGAAAAAAAAAAAAAAAGATTGACTTTGGTTTATTATTTGATCGAGTTTTTTCCATTAGTACATTACTTATCTATTTATCAGTTACTGGATACAAAAGTTTCTGGAACTGAGTTCCTCACAATTGTTCCTCATAATTGTTTGGATGTAGTCCATTCCAAATAATAACTATCTATTTAAGTCTATTAAGTCTATTTTTTTAAAAAAAGAAAACACCCCTGAATAGCAAAATGACTAACGAAAAATAATAAAATTATCTGAGATTAGTCGTAGATTTTTATCAGCTAAAAACAGAAGGAACTTCCAAACCAACAAAGAGTAGATTAAACAAAGGCAAAAATAAAATGAGAGAATAGAAAATGAGATGAAAAAAGAAGAAAAATTATAGCAGCCAAGTTTAATGAGGTGCTTTGCCAATCACTGAAATGTGTCTGTCCAGCCTAAGAAAAGTTGAAAAGAAAAAAATGGGCCGGGTGGGGTGGCTCACGCCTGGAATCCCAGCACTTTGGGAGGCCAAGGCAGGCGGATCACGAGGTCAGGAGATCGAGACCATCCTGACTAACACAGTGAAACCCCATCTCTACTAAAAATACAAAAAAAAAAAAAAAAAATTAGCCAGGCATGGTGGCAAGCACCTGTAGTCCCAGCTACATGACAGGCTGAGGCAGGAGAATGGCGTGAGCCTGGGAGGTGGAGCTTGCAGTGAGTCGAGACCACACCACTGCACTCCAGCCTGGGTGACAGAGCAAGACTCTGTCTCAAAAAAAAAAAAGAAAAAAAGAAATCAGATGCATATCAGTGAACTTTACACCTTTCAGATCTATTCAATGGTGGACTGAATGACTGTGGAAAGAAACATCTTCTTTATCATATGAAGTACCCTGTGGTCCAGTGGCAATTCTGATGAAACCACACTGCTTTGTAACTTATGGACATCTTCATACACTAAATAAGAAAAATTACATTAAAACTAACCACCATCCAATCACTTTTGACTAGGTGTTAAAAGGACTCACATTCTACCTTTTATCCATCCGACAAGCTCCTACTTATTTGCGATTCAGGTCAAATGTCATCTCATTTGTAAAGTCTTCCTAAACACCTACTAAGGGAGACTGCCCTCCACACAGTTCCCAAACCACTTTTATATACCTCAATTATTCTCTGTTTATACGTTTACCCGCTTTACTAGATTCTGTGCACCTGGAGGTGAGAAACCAGATGTTTTTCGTCTTTGTTTCTCCAGAGTTAAGCTTAGCTGGTTCATGAAAATCATTCAAAAATTACTGAAAGAATCTCAGTCTTAAGAGGAAAAAAGTAAACAACTATCATATACAGTAACAAACAGCTTAGGAACAAAATATTACAGGAGGAATGATAATTTCACCCTAATAGAGTGCTGGGATACTTCACAAAAAGATGATATTTGATCTGCTTTGAAGAAGTCATAAGTTAGATGAAGCAAATAAAAGTGGATTTTAAAAGGTGAAATCAAGTCTATTCCAAGGAGTGAATATGAGCCAATGCCCAGAGGTAGGACAGCATGAAGGGTCTAACGAGAGTGAGTGGACAGGCCTTGCTGGACTATAAGTGAAAAGTAGTATCAGAAATGATATCAGAAAAGTAGATTGGGGCCCAATTGAGAAGTCCCTTGAATGCCATAGTAAATAAAGCTTTAATTATTTATCTTACAGACAATGTGGAGCCCTTGGTTTTAAAGAAGAGCATCAAAATTAAATTTCTTCTTTCAAAATTTTATTCTCCCCAGATTAACGAATATTATTCAAGTTATAGCTTCAGTTTCACCAAAGGTCATGTCTCAATCCTTCTCCTCTACAGGAAAGCAATTCTAAAAAAAAAAAAAAAAAAAAAAAAAAAAAAAAAGGGAAAAGAAAAACCTCAGATAAAACTGGTTTTGGTAGGACTACTCTCAGGCAGGACAGCATAAGATACAAGAATCAAATGACTGGCAATAGAAGACTTATTAAGATTAAAACTGTACTGGTCATCAGATAAGTGACTAGATCTGATTTGTTCAAATTAGAGTTTGTAATTTATTTTGAATACAAAGCAAGGCATGGTCATTTAAAAACATACAATACTAAAAAATGTAAAAAAAAAAAAGAGGGAAGTGAAAATTACTATAACCATCCTCATCCCTTAAAATGACTCTGCTATTAACATTTAAGTTAAATCATTAACTTTCTTCAATGCCTGAGTATACATACAGATAGATAATTCATTTTTCCAAGTAGATTTCAAACTTACATACCTGCATCTTTTCACTCAATATACCATGAAAATTTTTCCATAATAATATGTATCTATATAATATTTAATCAGTGCATAATTTATTTAAACACTCCCCTGTAGGTGGACTTTATCTTTTCATTTAAACCAACACTACAGTAAATGTATGTCTCTTTACACATTTATCTAAATTTTTCCTGAAGTTAAATTTCCAAAAAAGTAATTTCTGAATCAAAAGGTATCTGGTGCAGCAGCTGTAGAGACAGGGTGCAGAACCCCTGCCCTGCAATCACAAGGCAGTTTCTTCTCTATCCCAACTAAAGTATGTGGGGCTGGTAAGATTACAGAAAAAAGAGAAAGGAATATTCTGAATCTGTGTATGAAATTCTTGTGAGCAGTACATGTAAGAAACTAATCAGAGGCTGGGCGTGGTGGCACACACCTGTAGTCCCAGCTACTTCGGAGGCTGAGGCATGAGAATCACTTGAATCCAGAAGGTGGAGGTTGCAGTGAGCCGATATAGCGCCATTGCACTCCAACCTGGGTGACACACTTTTGCACTCAGTCTCAAAATAAATAAATAAATAAATAGGCCGGGCGTGGTGGCTCATGCCTGTAATCCCAGCACTTTGGGAGGCCAAGGCAGGTGGATCACGAGGTCAGGAGATCAAGACCATCCTGGCTAACATGGTGAAACCCCATCTCTACTAAAAATACAAAAATTAGCCAGGTGTGGTGGTGCGCACCTGTAGTCCCAGCTACTCGGGAGGCTGAGGAAGCAAAATCACTTGAATCCAGGAGGCAGAGGTTGCAGTGAGCCAAGATCGTGCCACTGCACTCCAGTCTGGGCAACAGAGCAAGACTCTGTCTCAAAAATAAATAAATAATTTTAAAAAAATTTTAAAAACTGATCAGAAATGACATCCACAAAACCTGAGAACTTAACAGTGATGTGAAACATCACCAGGCTTCAGATTGACCTCTAAGTAGCACACAAGTAGGACAAGCCAGAATAGCACCATAAAGACTTTGAACACTAAATTAACATTTGCATCATGGCCCATAAACATGGGTCAAGACATGTGTTCTGAACCTAAACAAGTTGACTGCCTACTAAAACAGAAACGTTAAATAGAAACCAGGCCTCAATGCACCATATTCAAAATGTCCAACATATAAACAAAAAATCACCTGTCATTATCAAGAACCACAAAAATCTAAATAAGAAAATTCAAACAGTGTCAACACCAAGATGACACAGGTATTGCAATTATCTCACAAGTATTTTGCAGCAGCTATCATAAAAAATGTTCCAACAAGCAATTATGAATAACTTCGAAATTATTTTTAATGGAACATCTTAGCAACAAATATAAAATATAAGAAAGAAGCACTTAAGTCTTTAATCCATCTTGAATTAATCTTTGTATAAGGTGTAAGGAAGGGATCCATTTTCAGCTTTCTACATATGGCTAGCCAGTTTTCCCAGCACCATTTACTAAATAGGGAATCCTTTCCCCATTTCTTGTTTTTGTCAGGTTTGTCAAAGATCAGATAGTTGTAGATATGTGGCATTATTTCTGAGGGTCTATATCTCTGTTTTGGTACCAGTACCATGCTGTTTTGGTTACTGTAGCCTTGTAGTATAGTTTGAAGTCAGGTAGCGTGATGCCTCCAGCTTTGTTCTTTTGGCTTAGGACTGACTTGGCAATGTGGGCTCTTTTTTGGTTCCATATGAACTTTAAAGTAGTTTTTTCCAATTCTGTGAAGAAAGTCATTGGTAGCTTGATGGGGATGGCATTGAATCTATAAATTACCTTGGGCAGTATGGCCATTTTCACGATATTGATTCTTCCTACCCATGAGCATGGAATGTTCTTCCATTTGTTTGTATCCTCTTAAATGTTAGACCTAAAACCATAAAAACCCTAGAAGAAAACCTAGGCAACACCATTCAGGACATAGGCATGGGCAAGGACTTCATGTCTAAAACACCAAAAGCAATGGCAACAAATGCCAAAATTGACAAATGGGATCTAATTAAACTAAAGAGCTTCTGCACAGCAAAAGAAACTACCATCAGAGTGAACAGGCAACCTACAGAATGGGAGAAAATTTTTGCATCTACTCATCTGACAAAGGGCTAATATCCAGAATCTACAATGAACTCAAACAAATTTACAAGAAAAAAACAAACAACCCCATCAACAAGTGGGCGAAGGATATGAACAGACACTTCTCAAAAGAAGACATTTACACAGCCAAAAGACACATGAAAAAATGCTCATCATCACTGGCCATCGGAGAAATGCAAATCAAAACCACAATGAGATTCCATCTCACACTAGTTAGAATGGCAATCATTAAAAAGTCAGGAAACAACAGGTGCTGGAGAGGATGTGGAGAAATAGGAACACTTTTACACTGTTGGTGGGACTGTAAACTAGCTCAACCATTGTGGAAGTCAGTGTGGCGATTCCTCAGGGATCTAGAACTAGAAATACCATTTGACCCAGCCATCCCATTACTGGGTATATACCCAAAGGATTATAAAACGTGCTGCTATAAAGACACATGCACACGTATGTTTATTGTGGCACTATTCACAATAGCAAAGACTTGGAACCAACCCAAATGTCCAACAATGATAGACTGGATTAAGAAAATGTGGCACATATACACCATGGAATACTATGCAGCCATAAAAAATGATGAGTTCATGTCCTTTGTAGGGACATGGATGAAGCTGGAAACCATCATTCTCAGCAAACTATCGCAAGGACAAAAAACCAAACACCACATGTTCTCACTCATAGATGGGAATTGAACAATGAGAACACATGGACACAGGAAAGGGAACATCACACACCAGGGCCTGTTGTGGGGTTGGCGGAGGGGGGAGGGATAGCATTAGGAGATATACCTAATGTTAAATGACGAGTTAATGGGTGCAGCACACCAACATGGCACATGTATAGACATGTAACTAACCTGCACATTGTGCATATATATCCTAGAACTTAAAGTATAATTAAAAAAAAAAAGAATGCTGACATAGCTCTCAAACAAGGTAGACTTAAAGACAAGAAGCATTGATAGAGCTATAGATGAACACTACCCATGGCACATGTTTACCTATGTAACAAACCTGCACATCCTGTATATGTACCCCGGAACTTAAAATAAAAAGATGAACATTTCTAAAAAAAAAAAGAAAGAAAGAAGCAAATGGAAATTTTATAGCTGGAAAATAAAATAACCAAAATGAAAACTCACTGGATGGATTCAATAACAGAATGAATATGACAAAAGAAACAATCAGTGAACTCAAAGATAGAGCAATTGAAATTTTCCAGCCTGAACTGAGAGGAAAATACACTGAAAGAAAAAATTAAAAATGAACAGGCAAGATTCAAGATGGCCGAATAGGAACAGCACCAGTCTGCAGCTCCCAGCGAGATCGAGGCAGAAGGTGGGTGATTTCTGCATTTCCAACTGAGGCACACGGTTCATCTCACTGGGACTGGTTGGACAGTGGGTGCAGCCCACGGAGGGCAAGCCGAAGCAGGGTGGGGCATCACCTCACCTGGGAAGTGCAAGGGGTCGGGGAATTTTCCCCTCTACCCAAGGGAAGCCATGAGGGTCTGAGCCTGAGGAACTCCAGCACAGATACTGCACTTGTCCCACAGTCTTCGAAACCCACAAACCAGGAGATTCCCTCCAGTGACTACCCCACCAGGGCCCTGGGTTTCAAGCACAAAACTGGGTGGCCAATTGGGCAGACACTGAACTAGCTGTAGGAGCTTTTTTTCTTTTTTCCATACCCCAGTGGCGCCTGGAACACCAGCGAGACAGAACCGTTCACTCCCCTGGAAAGAGGGGCTGAAGCCAGGGAGCCAAGTGGTCTGGCTTGGCTGGTCCCACGTCCATGGAGCCCAGGAAACTAAGATCCACTGGCTTGAAATTCTTGCTGCCAGCACAGCAGCAATCTGAGATTCACCTGGGATGATTGAGCTTGGTGGTGGAAGAGACGTCCACCATTGCTGAGGCTTGAGTAGATGGTTTTATGGCCACAGTATAAACAAAGCTGCTGGGAAGTTCAAACTGGGCAGAGCTCACTGCAGCTCAGCAAGGCTGCTGTGGCCAGACTGCCAGATTGCTCCTCTCTGGACAGGGCATCTCTGTAAAAAAGGCAGCAACCCCAGTCGGGGGCTTATAGCAGACTTAAACGTCCCTGCCTGATGGCTCTGAAGAGAGCAGTGGACCTCCCAGCACGGTATTGAAGCTCTGCTAAGGGTCAGTCTGCCTCCTCAAGTGGGTCCCTGATCCCCATGTATACTGACTGGGAGATACCTTCTAGCTTGGACCGACAGACACCTGATACAGGAGAGCTCTGGCTGGCATCTGACAGGTGCCCCACTGGGTCGAAGCTTCTAGAAGAAAGAACAGGCAGCAATCTTTGCTGCTTTGCAGCCTCTGCTGGTGATACCCAGGCAAACAGGGTCAGGAGTGGACCTCCAGCAAACTCCAGCAGACTGGCACCAAAGGGGCCTGTTAGAAGGAAAAGAAACAGAAAGGATTAGCACGTCCACTCAAAGACCCCATCCGAAGGTCACCAACATCAAAGACCAAAGGTAGATAAATCCACAAAGATGGGAAAAAAGTAGCATGAAAAGGTTGAAAATTCCAAAAACCAGAATGCCTCTCCTCCTCCAAATGATCACAACTCTTCGCCAGCAAGGGAACAAAACTGGACAGAGAATGAGTTTGATGAACTGACAGAAGTAGGCTTCAGAAGGTGGGTAATAACAAAAAACTACAAGCTCAAGAAGCATGTTCTAAGCCAATGCAAAGAAGCTAAAAACCTTAAAAAAAGGTTAATCGAATTAACTAGAATAACCAATGTAGAGAAGAACATAAATGACCTAATGGAGCTGAAAAACAAAGCACAAAAACTTCATGAAGAATACACAAGTATCAATAGCCAAACTGATGAAGCAGTGATTGAAGATCAACTTAATGATCAACTTAATGAAATAAAGAGAGAAGACAAGATTAGATAAAAAAGAATAAAAAGGAACGAACAAAGCCTCCAAGAAATATGGGACTTGCCGGGGCGCGGTGGGTCACACCTGTAATCCCAGCACTTTGGGAGGCTGAGGTGGGTGGATCACGAGGTCAGGAGATCGAGACCATCCTGGCTAACATGGTGAAACCCCGTCTCTACTAAAAATACAAAAAATTAGCTGGGCGTGGGGGTGGGCGCCTGTAGTCCCAGCTATTTAGGAGGCTGAGGCAGGAGAATGGCGTGAACCCAGAAGGTGGAGCTTGCAGTGAGCCGAGATCACACCACTGCACTCCAACCTCGGTGACAGAGCGAGACTCCATCTCAAAAAAAAAAAAAGAAACATGGGACTATGTGAAAAGACCAAATCTACGTTTGATTGGTGTACCTCAAAGTGACGGGGAGAATGGAATCAAGTTGGAAAACACTCTTCAGGATATTATCCAGGAGAACTTCTCCAACTTAGCAACACAGGCCAACATTCAAATTCAGGAAATACAGAGAACACCACAAAGATAATCCTCAAGACGAGCAACCCCAAGACACATAATCATCGGATTCACCAAGGTTGAAATGAAAGAGAAAATGTTAAGGGCAGCCAGAGAGAAAGGTCGGGTTACCCACAAAGGGAAGCTCATCAGACTATCAGCCGAACTCTCTGCAGAAACCCTATAAGACAGAAGAGAGTGGGGGCCAATATCCAACGTTCTGAAAGAAAAGAATTTTCAACCCAGAATTTCATATCCAGCCACACTAAGCTTCATAAGGGAAGGAGAAATAAAATCCTTTACAGACAAGCAAATGCTGAGGGATTTTGTCACCACCAGACCTGCCTTACGAGAGCTCCAGAGGGAAGCACTAAACATGGAAAGGAACAACTGGTACCAGCCACTGCAAAAACATACCAAATTGTAAAGAACATTGACACAATGAAGAAACTGCATTAACTAATGGGCAAAACAACCAGCTAGCATCATAATGACAGGATCAAATTCACACATAACAATATTAACCTTAATGTAAATGGGCTAAATGCCCCAATTAAAAGACACAGACTGGCAAATTGGATAAAGAGTCAAGACCCATCAGTATGCTGTATTCAGAAGACCCATCTCATGTGCAAAGACAAACATAGGCTCAAAATAAAGGGATGGGGGAATATTTACCAAGCAAATGGAAAGCAAAAAAAAAGCAGGAGTTGCAATCCTAATCTCTGATAAAACAGACTTTAAATCAATAAAAATCAAAAGAGACAAAGAAGGGCATTACATAATGGTAAAGGGAACAATGCAGCAAGAAGAGCTAACTATCCTAAATATATATGCACCCAATACAGGAGCACCCAGATTCATAAAGCAAGTTCTTAGAGACCCAGACTCCCAAACAATAATAGTGGGAGACTTTAACACCCCACTGTCAATATTAGACAGATCAATGAGACAGAAAATAAAGATATTCAGGACTTGAACTCAGCTCTGGACCAAGCAGACCTAACAGACATCTACAGAACTCCCCACCTCAAATCAACAGACTATACATTCTTCTCAGCACCTCATTGCACTTATTCTAAAATTGACCACATAATCAGAAGTAAAACACTCCTCAGCAAATGCGAAATAATGGAAACCATAACAAACAGTCTCTCAGACCACAGTGCAACCAAATTAGAATTCAGGATTAAGAAACTCACTCAAAACTGCACAAATAAATGGAAACTGAACAACCTGTTCCTGAATGACTACTGGGTAAATAATGAAATGAAGGCAGAACTAAAAATGTTCTTTGAAACCAATGAAAATGAAGACACAATGTACCAGAATCTCTGGGACACATTTAAAGCGGTGTTTAGAGGGAAATTTATAGCACTAAATGCCCACAAGAGAAATCAGGAAAGTTCTAAAATTGATGCCCTAACATCGAAATTAAAAGAACTAGAGAAGCAACAGCAAATAAATTCAAAAGTAGCAGAAGACATGAAATAACTAAGATCAGAGCAGAACTGAAGGAGATAGAGACACAAAAAACCCTTCAAAAATATCAATGAATCCAGGAGCTGATTTTTTGAAAAAATCAACAAAATAGACCACTAGCCAGACTAATAAAGAAGAAAAGAGAGAAGAATCAAATAGATGCAATAAAAAATGATATAGGGGATATCACCACTGATCCCATACAAATACAAACTACCATCAGAGAATACTATAAACACCTCTATGCAAATAAACTAGAAAATCTAGAAGAAATGGATAAATTCCTGGACACATACACCCTCCCAAGTCTAAGCCAGGAAGAAGTCGAATCCCTGAATAAAGCAATAACAATTTCTGAAATTGAGGCAGTAATTAATAGCCTACTACCCCAAAAAAAACCCCAGGAGCAGATGGATCCACAGGCGAATTCTACCAGAGGTACAAAGAGGAACTGGTACCATACCTTCTGAAACTATTCCAAACAATAGAAAAATAGGGACTCCTCCCTAACTCATTTTATGAGGCCAGCATCATCCTGATACCAAAACCTGGCAGAGACACAACAAAAAAGGAAAATTTCAGGCCAATATCCCTGATGAACATCAATGTGAAAATCCTCAATAAAATACTGGCAAACCGAATGCAGCAGCACATAAAAAAGCTTATCTACCACGATCAAGTTGGCTTCATCCCTGGGATGCGAGGCTGGTTCAACATACGCAAATCAATAAATGTAATCCATCACATAAACAGAACCAATAACAAAAACCACATGATTATCTCAATAGATACGGAAAAGGCCTTTGATAAAATTCAACACCCCTTCATGCCAAAAACTCTCAATAAACTAGGTATCGACGGAACATATCTCAAAATAACAAGAGCTATTTATGACAAACCCACAGCCAATATCATACTGAATGGGCAAAAACTGGAAGCATTCCCTTTGAAAACCGGCACAAGACAAAGATGCCCTCTCTCACCACTCCTATTCAACATAGTATTGGAAGTTCTGGCCAGGGCAATCAGGCAAGAGAAAGCAATAAAGAGTATTCAAATAGGAAGAGAGGAAATCAAATTTTCTCTGTTTGCAGAAGACATGATTGTATATTTAGAAAACCCCATCGTCTCAGCCCAAAACCTCCTTAAGCTGATAAGCAACTTCAGCAAAGTCTCAGGATACAAAATCAATGTGCAAAAATCACAAGCATTCCTGTACACCAATAATAGACAGAGAGCCAAATCATGAGTGAACTCCCATTCACAATTGCTACTAAGAGAATAAAATACCTAGGAATACAACTTACAAGGGATGTGAAGGACCTCTTCAAGTAGAACTACAAACCACTGCTCAAGGAAATAAGAGAGGACACAAACAAATGGAAAAACATTCCATGTTCATGGATAGGAAGAATCAATATCATGAAAATGGCTACACAGCCCAAAGTAATTTATAAATTCAATGCTATTCCCATGAAGCTACCACTGACTTTCTTCACAGAATTGGAAAAAAACTACTTTAAACTTCATATGGAACCAAAAAAGAGCCTGCGTAGCCAAGACAATCCTGGGCAAGAAGAACAAAGCTAGAGGTATCATGCTACCTGATTTCAAACTATACTACAAGACTACAGTACCCAAAACAGCATAGTACTGGTACCAAAACAGATATATAGACCAATGGAACAGAACGGAGGCGTCAGAAATAACACCACACAGCTACAACCATCTGATCTTTGACAAACCTGACACACACAAGCAATGGGGAAAAGATTCCCAATTTAGTAAATGGTGTTGGGAAAACTGGCTAGCCATATGCAGAAAACTGAAACTGGGCCCCTTCCTTACACCTTTTACAAAAATCAACTCAAAATGGATCAAAAACTTCAACATAAGACTTAGGACCATAAAACTCCTAGAAGAAAATCTGGGCAATACCATTCAGGACAGAGGCATGGGCAAAGACTTCATGTCCAAAACACTAAAAGCAATGGCAACAAAAGCCAAAATTGACAAACGGGATCTAATTAAACTAAAGAGCTTCTGCACAGCAAAAGAAAGTATCATCAGAGTGAACAGGCAACCTACAGAATGGGAGAAAATTTTTGCAGTCTATCCATGTGACAAAGGGCTAATATCCAGAATCTACAAAGAACTTAAATTTACAAGAAAAAACCCATCAAAAAGTGGGCAAAGGATATGAACAGACACTTCTCAAAAGAAGACATTTATGCAGCCAACAGACATATGAAAAAAATGCTCATCATCACTGGTCACCAGAGAAATGCAAATCAAAACCACAATGAGATTCCATCTCACACCAGTTAGAATGGCGATCATTAAAAAGTCAGGAAACAACAGGTGCTGGAGAGGTTGTGGAAAAATAGGAATGCTTTTACACTGTTGGTGGGAGTGTAAATTAGTTCAACCACTGTGGAAGACAGTGTGGCGATTCCTCAAGGATCTAGAACTGGAAATACCATTTGACCCAGCAATCCCAATACTGGGCATATACCCAAATGATTATAAATCATTCTATAGTAAAGACACATGCACACATGTTTATTGTGGCACTATTCACAGTAGCAAAGACTTGGAACCAACCCAAATGTCCATCAATGATAGACTGGATTTAGAAAATGTGGCACGTATATATCATGGAATACTATGCAGCCATAAAAAAGGATGAGTTTGTGTCCTTTGCAGGAACATGGATAAAGCTGGAAACCATCATTTTCAGCAAACTATCACAAGATCAGAAAACCAAACACCGCATGTTCTTGCTTATAAGTGGGAGTTGAACAATGAGAACATACGGACACAGGGAGGGGAACATCACACACCGGGGCCTGTCAGAGAGTGGGGAGTTAGGGGAGGGATAACATTAGGAGAAATACCTAATATAGGTGACAGGTTGATGGGTGCAACAAACCACCAGGGCACATGTATACCTATGTAAGAAAAATGTACATTCTGCACATGTAACCCAGAACTTAAAGTATAATAAAAAAAAAAAAAGAAAGAAAGAAAAGAAAAAACGAACAGAGCAACAAGTATCTGTGGGACAATAACAAAGTCTCTAACATTCCTGTGACTGGAATTACAGAAGGAGACGGCATAGGGTGCTAAAAAAAAAAAAAAAATTGAGACAGGCTCTCACTCTGTTACACAGGCTGGAGTGCGGTGGCATGATCACAGCTCACTGCAGCCTCAAACTCCCAGGCTTAGGTGATCCTCCTGCCTTAGCCTCCCGAGTAGCTGGGACCACTGACACATGCCACCATGACCAGCTAATTTTTTTTATTTTTTTTGTAGAGACAGTGTTTTGTCATGTTGCCCAGGCTGGTCTGAAAAAACTTTTTAACAAAATAATGATTGAAGACTTCTCAAACTTAATGAAAGACATAAATGTGTAATTCAAAAAGCTAAAGCAACTTCTAATATAATAAACTCAAAGAAATCTATGCTCAGATACATCATAATCAAATTTCTGAAAACTTAAAAAAATCTTGAAAACATTCTGAAAGAAAAAGCATTATTTATAGGAGAACAACAATTAGAATTACAGTGGATTTCTCACCAAAAAACCCAAAACAGGAAGAAAGTAGCACAACATTTTTCAACTGCTAAAAAATAAGACCTATCAGCCCAGAAGCTTATATCCAGAGATAATACTCCGAGGAAACTTCAAACACATTTTTAGCAATGTTACAGAATAGTAATCAATTGTATTCCTCTATGCTAGCAATAAAAAGTAGGAAGCCAAAACTGAAGCACAGTACTATTTACAACCACTCCAAAGAAAATTAAATATTTAAGTATAAATCTAACAAAATATGTACAGAATCAGCAGGCTGAAAACTACAAAATGCTGATGAAAAAATAAAAATAGATCTAAACAAACGGAGAGACATGCAGTGTCATTTAACTGGAAGACAACAAAGATGTCAATTCTCTTCAAATCGGTCTATAGGTTTAACACATTTCCTATCAAAAGCTTCCTTTTGTAGATATAGACAAACTGGTCCTAAAATCTATATGTAAAGTCAAAAGAACAAAAATTGCTAAAACAATATTTAAAAAGAATAGTAAAGTAGGAAGAATCACACTATCCAATGTTAACATTTACTACTGTAGATTGCCAGGCCAAGATGGCTGATTAGAAACAGCTATGGTCCACAGCACTCACAGAGAGGAACAAAAGAGGCAAGTGAATACAGCATCTTCAACTGAAATATCCAGGTACTTGCATTGGGACTCATCAGGAAAACAACTCGACCCACAGAGAACAAAGAAAAGCTGGATGGGGCGACAGCCCCCCTGGGAGCGACACAGAGCCAAAGGAACCCCCACTCCCAGCCAAGGGAAGAAGTGAGGGATGGTGCGACCTCAGGAAACCATGCTTCTCCCATGGATCTTTGCGACTGGTGGATCAGGAGATTCCCTCATGAGCCCATGCCACCAAGGCCTTGGGTCCGACACACACACAGCTGTGTGGAGTCTTGGCAGAGCAGCTGCTCAGACACACACAGAGACCCACGAGCTTTACATACTCTGGCCCAGGGCGGAGCGCAGGAAGGGCCCCAAAACAGATCATATCACAACTGTTGTTCTGGGAGAAAGTAAAAGTCAAAAAAGCATTGCATTTAGTTCAGGTTTCAGCCAAACTGCGAGATACCACGTTATTTAAGAGGCAGGCGGAGGAAGGAAACCTACCGCTTTGGAAGAGGCGGAGGAAATCGCTTTCTTCCCTGTGACTCAGCCCTGGAGGAATTTCCCTTTTGAAATCTTGCGGTGTTGAGTAGGACCGCCAGGCCGGCAAGCAGGAGGCGGCCTCCTCGTAACCGCCAGGCGGCGACACCTAGGGCGGCGCGGCCAGGAGGCGGGACCCCTTCTCCCCTCGCTTTTCCCCCTCGCGCCCCTTCTCCCCTCGCGGTTCCCCCTCGCGCCCCTTCTCCTCTCACATTTCCCCCTCACAAGCCTTCTCCCCTCCTGGTTCCCCCTCAAGCGCCTTCTCTCCTCAAATCTCCCTCAGCTTCCTTCTCTCCCTCCCATTTCTCTCCCCATTCTTTTACCTCTCCTAGTCCCGCCTTCCCCAGCACGATGGCACCTCTCTCGCCCTAAATCTTCTCCCCACTCCTCTCAACCCACTGACCGCCCTCGCCTCCCCACCCCCATCCCCTCTTCCCGCACGCACTGTCTACCTTTCTGCCCCTCCGCACTCCCGGACTCCTCAAGCACATACACCCAGCCTCATCTCACCCAACCCGGCCTATTCACTCCCTGAACCACCCCACCCCATCATCCTCTTCCTCCCCCATCTTCCTCCTCCCCAGTAGCTCTTCCCCCTCTTCCTCCTCACTTCCCCACCCCGTCACACCCCCCTCCCTCTCCCTGCCCTCGGTCTCTTCACTCCATCTCCTCCCTTTCACTGTGCTGTTTCGCGGTAGGAAGAGAAGAGTGGTGATACCTGAGGAATAAAAGGTATAACTCCCTCCCCAAACACTGCTAAAATGACTCTGAAAATAAATAATCAGGCAGACAAGGGGAACAGGGAACAGCAACAGACTGTAATGCTTTTCTGGAAAACTGGTGAAAAGCGGAGCTGATGAAAGTGGAACCTATTGTGCATCCAAAGAAATGCTACACAGAAGGAAAACCACTGTTTAGACAGAGCCCTAAATCTCTAGAAATGGAAAGCTAAAAACTAAGAAAGTCTAGGGTAAGAGGGTAAACCTGAAAAAGATGGACCTATTGAAAATCTGTATAAGAAGGAGTTAGGGCTGAGATCTTTCCCTTATTCTTGGTCTGCACATCCATGAACCTAACTTTCCCCCAATACCATTTTTGACTTAAAACAAGAATCAGTAAACTTTTTCTATAAAGGGCCAAATGTTTACTTTGGCTTTGTAGGTCCCTATGGGCTCCATCACAACTACTCACCTCTGCCTTTATAGCACAAAAGCAGTCATAGACAATACATAAATGAATGAAGAACATGGCCATGTTCCAATAAAGCTTTACTTATGGAGACTTAAATTTGAATTTCATATAATTTTCACATGTCACAAAATATTATGTGACATTTTACATGAAATGTAAAAATCATTCTTAGCTCATGGGCTATACAAAAAAAAAACAAGTTGCAGACTGGATTTGGCCCATTGGGTGGTAGTTTGCTCATCCCTGGCTTAAAGAAAAAAACAATTAATAAACCAGGAATAAGGCCAGGTGCAGTGGCTCACACCTGCAATCCCAGCACTTTGGGAGGCTGAGGTGGGCTGATCACCGGAGGTCAGGAGTTCAAGATCAGCCTGGCCAACATGGTGAAACCCCCATCTCTACTAAAAATACAAAATTAGCTGGGTATGGTGATGCCTGCCTGTAATCCCAGCTACTTGGGAGGCTGAGGCAGGAGAATCTCTTGAACCCAGCAGGCAGACGTTGCAGTGAGCCGAGATCATGCCAT
Source organism: Homo sapiens (assembly GCF_000001405.40). Classification (NCBI taxonomy): domain Eukaryota; kingdom Metazoa; phylum Chordata; class Mammalia; order Primates; family Hominidae; genus Homo; species Homo sapiens. The sequence continues at coordinate 3,569,940 of NT_167249.2, read as the reverse complement.
TGCACTCCAGCCTAGGCAACAAGAGCAAAACTCCATCTCAAATAAATAAATAATATAAATAAATAAACAAACCAGGAATAGAAGAGAACTTCTTTAACCTGATAAAGGGTATCTATTTTTTTTTATTCTGAAACACATCTTCCAAAAAGAGAAAGTTGGGATGCATTCTCATTAAAATTATGAAGACAAGGAGACTACTATCATCACTTTTATTCAACATTGTATTTTGGTCATTACCAGCATAATGAGATAAGAAAAAGAAACCAAAAGATTGGAAAGGAAGACATAAAACTGTCAACATTTACAGAGGACATGATTACACCATAGAATCTAAAGACAAATTAATCTAAAGACAAATTACTATAAATAATAGGAAAGTTTAATGAAGTAACTGATATAAACTCAATCCTCTATTTTCACATCTTTGCTTTTCCTATTGCCTATGTTTTTATGTTTTTGTTATACTTGCTGGGATATTTCTTCTCCTTTACCTTCCCAAACCTTTATTAAATACTTATTCTGAGCTCTCATATTTTAAGTTTTCAGGAGCTGTTTACTTGTTAATCCTTCCCTTGTTTAAGTATCTTGTTCTTTCATAGATGTGATACCTGCTTTTATTTCTCATTGATTATAGTTGTGTTTTAAAGTCTCTTCTGAATTGTCTCTGTTCTTCCAAGTTCTTCCTTGTTTTGAACTCTGCCTTTGTTACTGGATACTTTCTTTGCATTTTAATGAGACTAAGAGGTCCCTTCTGAAACCTTACACATCAGCATCTCACTCTCTAACCAAAACCCAATATCTTTGCAGCTCTAGTGCTCTAGAGTTCCCACTGCCTTTCTTCTTTGACCTCACTAGTACCTTCAGGCACTTCCCCCTTTTGTTTCCAGTCAGTCAGCTTCCTTCCCTTACCGACTACATTACCTGAAACTTTCTAGCCTAAACCATGATCAGTCAATTCAGTTGCACCCACAATTCAAACATCCCCTTACTAGATCAAATTAACTCTGCCCTCTCAGTTGTCAGAAGATTAAAAAGTCTGCATGTTGGACTCCCAATTCTTCAGCTCCATGTTCCTCTGAGCCTCCAACATGCTCACTTAAGCATGTCCTTCTATTGACCAAGGCAGCTTTTGCAGACCTTCAGGCATATTCTTAAACCACTTCCTAGTCCTCATTCTCAGCAGAGGATCATACCTTACATTCTTATCTCATATCTCAGTGGAAGTGGCATTCCTGCTTCCATACAGATTTTCCATACAAATTTTCTCCCTTCACCTGTGCTCTAGCCAAGTGATTCTCAAACTTAAGCATGCATCAAAATCACCTGGTACATTCCTAAAGCCCCACTCTCACAGATACTAATTCACTGTATCTGGGATAAAGTCTAACAATTTTGTATTATAACTCAGGTACTAAACCCAGTAAACAAAGTTCTTATTTTTCTTGATGCTGTTGGCCTTAATTCTTTCCCTAGTTCTAGAAGACACTACATGTCTTATGGCCTGCCGCAATTAGGGCCATCCCCCCCACCTCTTGAAAAGACATTATTATTTTGAATATTTCTCACACACACACACACACAGAGAAAATTAAATTACTCACAACTCTATTAATTGCCCCAGAGATCTATCCTCACATCCTTCTCTCATATCTCAGTGGAAGTAGCATTCCTGCTTCCATACAAAGTTTTTCCCTTCACCTGTGCTCTAGCCAAGTGATTTTCAAACTTGAGCATGTATCCAAATCACCTGGTGATTGCTAAAGCCCTACACCCACAGATTCTAATTCACTGTATCTGTGATGAAGTCTAACAATTTTGTATTGCTAACAAGCTTCCAGGTGATGCCAGTGCCACCCATTTGCGGATCATCCTTTGAGTATCCTGCTCTAGATTCCATCATCTCCTGTCTCCCAGAAGTCCATACTTCATCTTCAACCTCTTTCCTATTTCCCATGCCCATACCTTACCCCTCAAACACATATGAATGCAGTCAAGACTCTCCAATCTTCAAAAAAGAAAAAAAAAACTTTCAAAATATCCTATTATTCTCACCTTTTTTTTTTTTTTTTTTTTTTTTGGAGACAGAGTCTTGCTCTGTCACCCAGGCTGGAGTGCAATGGTGCGATCTAAGCTCACCGCAACATCCGCCTCTCAGAATCAAGCAATTCTCCTGCCTCAGCCTACTGAGTAGCTAGAATTATAGGCACGTGCCACCATGCCCAGCTAATTTTTTGTATTTTTAGTAGAGACGGGGATTCACCATGTTGGTCAGGCTGGTCTCAAACTCCTGCCCTCGTTGATCCACCCACCTCAGCCTCCCAAAATGCTGGGATTACAGACGTGAGCCACCACACCCGGCCTGCACCTTTTCTTTATAACCAAGCTTTTCAGAGGAATCATGTCCATACTCTTTACTTCCTCGCCATCGATTGCACTTTTCAATTTGGTTTCTATTCCAACTAAAGCATCAAAACGACTCAGATACTAAACCCAGTAAACAAGGTGCTTATTTTTCTTGATGCTGGTTGGCCTTAATTCTTCCCCTAGTTCTAGAAGACACTACATGTCTTATGGCCTGCCAAAATTAGGGCTATCCCCCCACTTCTTGAAAAGACTTATCATTTTAATCTTTCTAACCACAGCACAGATGATATAGGACTAACAAGATACATTTTTTTCCCCTTTATTTTCCATTAAATGCAATGCAAAGTAAATCTAAATATTAACTACACTGCTCTTCCCTTTTCCTGGAGGTAGGAAGCCTTTTATGATTCAAACTATTCTGTGCCTTGAAGCATCCTGCCTCCCATGTAGTGGTCCTCATTGTCCCTGGGAAGCTCCTCTTCCTTAAGTGATGATGTCCCCAAGGTTCTGACCTCTTTTCACTCTCACTCTCTACCTGGGCCATATCTTTCACCCTATGGCTTAGGCCCAATAATATAACTGCATCCTTGATGTAGCCTTGCAAAACCTTTGACTAATTTAGACCAAATGCATACATTTTGAAGATGTTATTTGATTTTATTAATAATCTTTAAAACCATCTTTATTTACCAAAGATCACTGAAGTCACATGAACTAAAAGGCCTTAAAATTTCTATTTCTCGGCCTGGCACAGTGGCTTACACCTATAATCCAAGCACTTTGGAAGGCCGAGGTGGGCAGATCACGAGGTCAAGAGATCAAGACCATCCTGGCCAACAAGGTGAAACCCTGGCCCTACTAAAAATACAAAAATTAGCTGGGCATGGTGGCGTGTACCTGCAGTCTCAGCTACTCAGGAGGCTGAGACAGGAGAATTGTTTGAACCCGGGAAGTGGAGGTTGCAGTGAGCCGAGATTGCACCACTGCACTCCAGCTTGACAACAGAGCGAGACTCTGTATTAAAATATATATATGTATATATATATATATACATATATATATGTATATATATACATATATATATTTCTCTGATAAAATATTTAAGTGCTTATTTTTCTAAAAGCCATTAATTACAGCTTTTTCATATATTTTGGTAGTGAAAATATCACAAACACATGACATGTATAAACACACAGACATACAAACACACAGAAGCAGATTTTATAGATTTGTAAGATTCTTCATGTGCCAGTTTTTAAAGTTTCTCTTCCTCATTTTGGACCTTCTCTTGATTACCTGTTCCCTGCCCTAAATAATTGTCAGCTATGCCACTCCAAATCTGCATTTCTAAAGGCACAATTCTTAAGTGAAATGAAATAGAAAATTCATATTTTATTTAAACCAAGGAAAAATGGTATGAGTAAAAGTTCAGTTAAGATGGCCAGGAAGCTGTGTGTGGTGGCTCATGCCTGTAATCCCAGCACTTAGAGAGGTCAAGGCAGGAGGATTACTTGAGCCCAAGAGCTCAAGACCAGCCTGGACAACATGGCAAGACCCCATCTCTACAAAAACATACAAAAATTAGCTGGGCGTAGTGGTCTCAGCTGCTGGGGAGGCTGAGCTGGGAGGATCACTTGAGCCCAGGAGGTCAAGGCTGCAGTAAGCTATGTTCTCACCACTGCATTCCAGCCTGGGTGACAGAGCAAGACCCTGTCTCAAAAGAAGAAAAAGAAAAAAGATGGTTAGGAAAACAGACACACTTGCCCACTGAAATTTTTTTAAAGATGTTAGTTTCTTAATTGAATTACTGGCTTTAGGGTGGAGCCCTTTAAGGAACAGGGCCAGGAAAGCATGCAGTTTCTATGGCCTAATAAGCAGGCACAGCTGGAAGGCAAAACAGATCTCCAAAGTTAAGGATCCAACTTTTACACTGAATCCTGGGTCCTCAAGAGAGGAGAACACCGCAGGACAAGACAGTGCAATGCTTTTACGGTGCACTTCACTGCAAGGACATTCCCCTGAGGCTGGTGGGCAACCCTATAGCAATCAGCCTATTCTGTAATCACTTAATGCTCCATGGGAGTCTTAACCCTCATTCCATACCTTCTAGGTGCCCGAAAGCATGCTTTTCTTATCTAAATGTGCAAAAAAAAAGCAGTACCACCCTGTAGTAATAACTATTCACTGTAAACAACTGTCAATAGCCATCTCTAAAAGTATATTTCTTTCCTAGCTTTTACATACCAAGATTAAAATTTAAGCAGACAGAATTCAGTTGCTTAAGATGTTTTTACAGAGAGAGAGCAGAGGCTTTAAAACAATATCTGTACACATATATTCTAAATCAGTTTTAATTAAGTTGACTTTTAACTATAGAGCTCTTGAAGAAAATTCTTTCAGATCTCTTATTACCAGTTTTTAGCTGGAACAAACAGCTGATATTTCTGGCTTTTGAACTCTCTACCAAGGATAACCTCCCACCTGAAACCAATGAGCCTTAACTAGGGTTATGACTTAACCACAGATGCACAAGGTATCTCCAAAGAGATGCCAAGCAGTTTTTTACAAGATCTAGAATCACCCCAAAGGTATCTCAGAGCAAGGAAAATTCAAGACAGGAAATCAGAAGCTGTCCATCAATGAATGGCAAAAAGTCCCACAAATACAAAACCAGAAAGGACGCATTCCCTAAGCTGGGAAGTGATCCCAGGCCACCATAGTGAAAGGGCAGAGATTTAGCTACTGTGCTACAGCATAGGGTGGTTGCCAGTGCTCTTCCCAGAAAGAATCTAGAGCAGTCATTTTCAAGCTTGCGAATGATTTTAACTGCTCAAGAGAATTTTTAAGGCTACCCACGACACTACTGTTTAACCTTCCTTCAATTGTTTTAGATAAGAGATCTCTAAAATCCTTTTTCTTTCAATGGTGTACTTAGTTCCAATAGAGACTCAAACACCTTTTTTAAATTGCAGATGGTAATTTTCCAGGTTTTTGCCATATAAGCAGCAAGAAGTATTCCTAGAGGAGGCATCCCCAAGTATTCCCTCTTGGAAATGGGTTTAAGATAGCAAAATACAACAAAAGTCCTGTAGAGATAGGACTGTTTTTTTGTCCTAATAAATCCAACCAGCAGAGATGGGACGTTTTAAGACAAAACTCACCTAAGGGCTCGACACATTCAGGACGAAGAGTATGCTAATGTGTCTCAGACTCCCAGTCCTCTCAGACCAGCCACCTGACTTGAACCCAAGAATTTCCATCCTCCAGATGGCAGAGATCAAGAGAGAGAGTACCCCTACATGGTTACAAAGTCAAGCTCTCAACCACATAAAACAAGACCAGGGAAATCTCATCCAGTTTTTGTTCGAAGGACCTGCAGCAAAGTTTGTAACCGACCAGTCTGCAGGGCTGGCTTGAACAGCAGGCTTACAGGGATCCTAGGCCTGTGTTCTATCCTATGGTATCCTTCTCCATGACAGAACGACACAAAAAGGCAAAGACAAAGGAAGATGGCAAAAAAGGTGATTTCTGAGAAGGGGCCAAACAATACAAATATTTATAGTTCAAAGTAGCAAAAGTACACAAGATTCACTACAACCTAAGACTAGTCACACAAATCTTCTTCCCTATTAATCAAAACTTTGCAGAGGAGACAAACAGTGACTTTTATTGTTCACTCAACTCATTTGCACAGAGAGAGAAAGGCCAGAGGCTAGCTGGTAAGAAATTAGCTTTTTACCAGCTTGTCAGGTTTATGGCTTCCCTTTCTCAGCTGCTTCCAGAAGAGCAGAGTGGCTTTTGATGACCCTGCTTGCTGCACCATAGCTGTGGGGGCCAAGCCACTTTACAAAAGAAAAACATTCCTTTTCTTTTCATGGAACCAAAGGCAAAAGGCCCCAGTTTTGCAAGAGGCAGCCCAACAGGTTGTGTGGGGGAAATAAATTAACGTTTCCCATTCCAACAGGAGTTATACACACATGTCAAAACACAGACACTAGTCACTCTGCTCAGTGCCCAAGTATCAACCTGGCAAGGCTCAAACTTGCCCCCATTGGCCCCTATCTGAGTCTCCTCCCCAATATAAGTTTCATGGTGGTAGGGCATATTAAGAAAGCCTGGCAGGCCAGGCGCGGTGGCTCCCGCCTGTAATCCTAGCACTTTGGGAGGCCAAGGCAGGCAGATCACCTGAGGTCAGGAGTTCGAGACCAGCCTGGCCAACATGGTGAAACCCTGTCTCTACTAAAAATACAAAATTAGCCAGGTGTGGTGGTGTGCACCTGTAATCCCAGCTACTCAGGAGGCTGAGGTAGGAAAATCGTTTGAACCTGGGAGGCAGAGGTTTCAGTGAGCCGAGATCACGCCACTGCACTCCAGCCTGAGTGACAGAGTGAGACTCCATCTCAAAAAAAAGTACCAGAACTAGAATGAAGCTGTTTTCTCTGCTATGTCTTGCAGTATTCCTTCCAGTGCAATTTACTGTCAAAGTCTAACGTTGTGCCCAATGGCAAAGAAGAAATGTGTATAGGGTCCAGCTCCAGAACCACAAGGCAGGACAAAGATGGAGTGGATTTGGAACAAAGATGCAATAAAATAATATTGAGCACCAGTCACACCTTTGGCTGCACAGTTTTCATATTACACATATTTGAACTTTTTTTTTTTTTTTGAGACAGAGTCTTGCCCTGTCACTCAGGCCAGAGTGCAGCGGCACAATCTCAGCTCACTGCAACCTCTGCCTCCTGGGTTCAAGCGATTCTCCTGCCTCAGCCTCCCAAGTAGCTGGGATTACAGGCACCCACCATCACACCCAGCTAATTTTTGTATTTTTAGTAGAAATGGGGTTTTGCTATGTTGGCCAGGCTGGTCTGGAACTCCCGACCTCAGGTGATCTGCCTGCCTTGGCCTCCCAAGGTGCTGGGATTACAGGCATGAGCCACCGTGCCTGGCCTGAACTTTTATACAACAATGAAATAATTCTCTATTTTCACCAATCAAGACAAAGCCACCTTATAAGTGAAGAAGTTCTCACTCTGTCCCCAAAATAAAGAGAGCCCTAGTCATTATATAGCTCAATACAGAGCTGTATTATTTACTCTTCAAATTCAGTCACAGTATCCTTGACCATATATACTCTTACCAAAAGGACTATATTACGACATAACTTCCAACAATTTGTATATAAAATCATAAGTGTCAGGAGAAGAAACAGTTGCCGAGAGCAGCATGTGTACTGCCCAGGTAGGTGACCCAGTCAGTGGTGGGGACGAATTTACTGACCCTCTCAATCCCGTGTAGGTCAGGCCCAACCATGGTTAAGGCTGAAACAGGCAAGTCCTAGTGGGAGGAATTTGAAAACCAAGTTAGGTGAAAAGGCCTAGGGGTCTCCAACCTTGGCCTCCGTCCCTGATAGAATCAGAGGAGAGAGGCCTGGGGTGCTGGAGGCAGAAGAGGCCCTGCCCTGTCCAACCCTGAGAGGCAGATTCTCAGTCCCCAGGATGCCGGACACTTTTTTCTCTCTTGTCACTGAGTCTCCTCTCCACAGGCAGAACTGTGGGCTGAACCCTGAGGCCAGCGCCTCTGCTCTCTAATGACCACCACCAAATACTCAGGCCCACTGTTCACTAGGTGGCATCTTACTCTGAGCATTACATATTTATTTCCGTGAATGTTTTAGCTTAATACCATGAGATGGTCCTTACTGTCCTCACTTTACAGCTGAGAGACAGAGCCTCGATGATCTGAGGAAACCTGCCCAGGGTCACAGGTCGTGTGGCCAAACCCTAACAGGGGCCAGGTCTACATCAAAGCTCAGTTGAGCTCTAAACAGGGGGCCACCAGATTAGGGGCACCAGCCCTAGGGGTCCTCCAGGGATCTGGAGAGACAGGAAAGAAGGCAGAGAACATATTAGAACTATTATAAAATCTTTAATCTTATGCCCTTTTAATGTGATTTGCGTTTGTTCTTTCAACCTGCATTATGTTTGCACATGTTTGTTAGCTGCATGTTCAAAATATATTACTGAATGGAGTGTGTGATCAAAAGAGTTTGGAGATCCTTGCTCCAAATCTCTGCTCCAGAAATCTACTCTAAAGCAGCGGGTCTCAGAAAAGGAAGCAGAACCAAGAAGCAGCAGCGGCCTGGGAGGCGCCCGGACAGAAGGTGCTCCGTGGGCGGGGGGGAGTAACTCGTGGGCCCGGGAAAAGGCCCCCAACCTGGTCTCACCAGATTTTCCTCAGCCTCTGCTGCCCCCTTGTGGCCACCACGTGGCAGACAGAAAGAGCAGTTCCCAGCAGGAAGACACCGAGGGAGGGGTACGGAGGATGCAGAAAACAATCTTAGAACCGTGGAAGGGAGCGAAGGAAACCAGACACTAAAGACCTCAAGCTGTAGCAATCCAAACATGCGAAGTTGAAGAATAGCAAAACGAGGCCGGGCGCGGTGGTTCATGCCTGTAATCCTAGCACTTTGGGAGGCTGAAGCGAGCGGATCACTTGAGGTCAAGAGTTTGAGACCAGCCTGGCCAACATGGTGAAACCCCGTCCCTACTAAAAATACAAAAATTAGCCGGAAATCGCTTGAACCCGGAAGGCGGAGGTTGCAGTGAGCCAAGATCATGCCACTACACTCCAGCCTGGGCAACAGAGTAAGACTCTGTCTTAAAAAAAAAAAAAAAAGAAAAAAGAAAAGAAATGTCTTTTCTCACAGTTCTAGAGGCCAGAAAACCTGAGATCAAGGCACTACTGCCTGGTGAGGGCTGTTCTCTGCTTCCAATGTGGCATCTGTTGCTTCATCCTCTGGAGGGGAGGAACACTGTGTCCTCACGTGGCAGGGAGTGGAAGGGCAAAAGGGATGAACTCTTTCCATCAAGTCCTTTTATAATGACATTAATCCATTCATGCAGGCCCTGCCAAAAGGCCCTCCCAAAAGGCCCCACCTTCCAACAGTTGCATGGGAATTAAATTTCCAACACATGAATTTTGGGAGACACATTCACAGCGTAGTCCAGCCTAAGCAATACGCTGTGCCAGGATTGCGGGGAGGGAGGGAATAGCTGCAGAAGCAGGGAATAAAGAATTTGGACTGAGACATGTTTCAGTTGACATCCTGGTGGGGAGTGGAGGAGGTGGCTGATGTGAAGAATGTGAAGAAAACAGTGATTCCACTGAAAACACATCCGACAGTCCTCTATCCTTACCAGGTGCTCCGTATAGTTTGGCGAGAGAGGCAGAAAGGTCTGAGTTCCAAGGAGAGGTCAGGGCTGGAGACATTCCATTGTGTGGCCACAGCTTCTTCCCAGAGCTTGCAGGAGACATGTTCACACCACCTCCCACCACCCCCACGATGCTATTTGTTCTGTATGTCTCTCCCACCTAGACTGGGAGCCTTGGAGGGCAGGGCATTGGGGGCCAGAGAGCCTTCCAGGCAGACTCTCCTAATGCCCGAAGCAAGGCTAGGCTCAGAAGCCCCGTGAGGAAGGCAGGTGAGGAACAGGCAGCCCTTGACCCATGACTGTGCCAGGTTGGGGACCTGGGACCCAGGGAAGCCTTCTCCCGCCTCACCATCAGCACAGGCCAGGATTGGAGAGTTTACCTCCTTTGGTGTTTACCAAACACACAGGGAAGACCAGTTGTGAGTAGACCAAGGCAGCCCAGCTGGGTGATCAGCAAGTCTCACCACCTCAGGCTACCCTCTTCACACACCGCAGCCTGTCCCCTGCCTACACTGCGCATCTTGAGTGCTCTGACCCCTTCACTACCCCTTCCTCCACCCCCCTGGACAGCAGCCCTGAGACAGGTCCTGAACCCCTAGCCAAGTACCCGCTGCCCACCCCCAGTGCCCCACCCACCCTTACTAGCTCTCACCCACCCTCCCATCCTAAACCTCAGCCCTCCCACCCCCCCATGCCCACCTGAGCCCCTGCTTTCAGCTGCCTAAGAACTTCCCCCTGATGTGAAGAAAACAGCGATTCCCCTGAAAACACATCTGACAGTCCTCTATCCTTAGCCAGGGCTCCATATAGTTTGGCGAGAGAGGCAGAGAAACAACAACGAAAAAAAAATATACACGCACACACACACACACAGACATCCACAGATTCATAAACATTTTGGATCCCTGGAGCTTGGATACATTTTCTAAAGGGCAAGCAGTTGTTTTGCTTATTTAATTTTATTGACAATCATCTTGTCATTCACTCTTGTAATTATAAATTTTTGGATTTACCTTTTTAAATATATTTTAATAGATTCTTTCCCCATACTAGACCCCAGCACACAACTAATTTCCTTGTCATGAAAAAATAAAAATAAAAAACTCATTTGTGATATCTTTAACTTTTGCCTGTAGTTTCTAAATTTAAAATGGAAGATTGTCAATCCATAATTATATGTGTCCAGTAAAAATTTTAAAGACTGTTTCCAGGGTTAATTGTCAACCTCCCCAGGAAAGGGATAACCAGTAATGCCGCCCCAGCCCAGAGTCTCCTAGGACGGCAGCTGACACTGGCCAAGTCCGCCAGGTGCCTCCTGTCCATCTCCTTCCCTCTTCATCCAGCACCCACCCACTCACCCACGCCAGCCCCAACCTCTTTACAGATGAAGGAACTGAGTGAGGCTCAGAGAGGTTAGCTAGTCTGACCAACATCACACTGTGTCAAACTCCTAAGCTAAGTGTTTTTTTCACTATTATATACTCTTCTGCTCTACCCACCAAAAAATTTCTTATCATGCCTTTGTTGCGAAAGAAGGAAAGAAAGAAAGAAGGAAGGAAGGAAGGAAGGAAAGAAAGAAGGAAGGAAGGAAGGAAAGAAGGAAGGAAGGAAAGAAAGAAGGAAGGAAGGAAGGAAGGAAAGAAGGAATGAAGGAAGGAAGGAAGGAAAGAAAGAAGGAAGGAAGGAAGGAAGGAAGGAAGGAAGGAAGGAAAGAAAGAAAGAAAGAAAGAAAATCTTTTGTCCCCAAAGTTAGAAAAACAAGTGAAAAAGGCCCAAGGCTATCAGCGAGGGCTCCAGAACCAAGGCAGTGCGGCCCTGCCCTTTCCTCCCACCTCACCCCTGCTCTGCTTTCCTCAGCCACTCCTGACCAGCAAGCAGGACACTGGGCATGGGTCCCAAGCCTGTGTCACCTTGGGCAGGTCGCGTCTCCCCTCTGGGCCTCAGTAAAAGAAGAAATGGGACCAAGTGAACAGTTCCAGGCTGTGTTCCCCAGCATCCTACATCCCATGGCAACCTTGAAGGGTCACTCTGGGTAGGGGTGGGGTCTCAGGAGGGGAAAGACTCAGCCAGAGCGCTGATCCTATATCTCTTCTCTATTTTGGGATTCTAGATATGAGTTTGATGGACAAAATTCCTCTACATTTGACATGATGAAAAGAAAAAGTTTGAAAGCCAGAGGCAAGACCATCCTGAAGATTCCTTTCAACTCCAAGGTCCTTTCACTTCCACAGGTGATCTGACATCACCACCTCTCTCACCACGCTGACAGCACTTTCATTTTGACTCTTGTGATGAGGTCACCTGGTATCTACACAGGATGGGGTTTTTTTGTGGAAAATGAAGGATTTCCATATCTGCGAATTTATTACACAAGAGTTTTAATATGGCTGAGCACAGTGGCTCATGCCTGTAATCCCAGCACTTTGGGAGGCCAAGGCGGGCAGATCACTTGAGGTCAGGAGTTCAAGACTAGCCTGGCCAACATAACAAAACCCCATCTCTACTAAAAATACAAAAATTAGTCAGGTGTGGTGGTGTGCACCTATAGTCCCAGCTACTTGGGAGGCTAGGGCAGGAGAATCGCTTGAACCTGGGAGGCAGAGGTTGCAGTGAGCCAAGATCGCACCACTGCACTCCAGCCTGGGCAACACAGCAAGACCCTATCTCAAAAAATGGAGGAAAAAAAAGAGTTTTAATCCCAGATGTTTTATTCATTAAAATTCACTGCTAAACAAACAACCAAAAAAACTGTCAGTTAACTAGAAGGATTGACGGGGGTGTCTGATTAACTGGAAGTGTCCTGAAGATGTCCTGACTTTATAAGGACAATTTTGTAATGAATACATATACATTCTGTGAGGGCAGGGAGGGTTTTGCTAAGCACAGGGTAGATAGTCAAGCTTGGTTAACTTACTGCTTGAATAAATGAATGAATACATGAACTTTTCTCTGGTGGTCAAGAGTAATGCAGGGCCTTAGCTGCTTTGCAGTACATGTGGCCTCCAACGTCACCCTCAGCTGCTCCTGTTGCCAGCATTTAACAGCCTTCCAGTCACTCCTCACTCTTCACAATTCACTAAAATTTTCAGTCCCTGGGTCACTGTCTTTCTCTTCATCCCACTCCTGCTACCATTCTTTGTGGCTTCTCTATCAACCAAGACACTCCACCCAACACCCTGGCCTCTCACCTTGACCTTTTGACCTTCTCACCTCCAGTGATCTTGTCCTCCCCCTACCACAGCCACTCACTCCACAGTCATACCTAGACCTTGTCATTACCTGTACCTGTACCTGAAACCTCTCCATAATCTCAGTTTTAAGTATCCCCCTTCCTGTCCTTGCAGATCACTCCCTCTAGTGTCCACCTCCAAAGATCAAACAATATTTTCACTTCTCCAGACCTCCAACCCCTTTGACCCTGACATTATGAGATCCTGTGCCCTCCCAACCTTATCCCGCTTAGGTTTCATGAAGCATTGTTGTAAGAGCTATCTTGCATCTCAACTCCTATTTCCCTCATTCCCTCCATCATGCCTGCCTGTCAAAAGCCTAGCTCTGGCTACCTCCAACTTCCCACCGACTCCATGCCTGCATCCAAGCAGCTGAAGTGGTTGGATAAAAATACTCAACCATGCTCATCAAACATTTACAAACTTCAAGTTGGCCATTAGAAACACCCAGCAGATAACCTGTGATGGAATTAGAGTAAAGAAAAGAAAAAGAAGTATACGGCATTTTCCTGGCCACTCACTCACAGAATTTCAAGGCAACTATTTCACACTTTCTTGTATTTCATTACACAGCCTCCATCCTCCTCACTTTCTTTTTTTTTTTTTTTTTTTTTGAGACAGAGTCTCACTGTATGGCCCAGGCTGGAGTGCAATGGCGCAATCTCGGCTCACCGCAACCTCTGCCTCCTGGGTTCAAGTGATTCTCCTGCTTCGGCCTCCCAATTAGCTAGGATTACAGGCATGCACCACCACACCCGGCTAATTTTGTATTTTTAGTAGAGACGAGATTTCACCATGTTGCCCAGGCTGGTCTCAAACTCCTGACTCAGGTGATCCACCCTCCTCAGCCTCCCAAAATGTTGGGATTACTGGCATGAGCCAATGTGCTCAGCTCATCTTCCTCACTTTCAACTAACAACCAACTCCTCCACTTGGGCACTAGACCCCACTGCCTCTCACCTACTCAGGGCCATTCCTCCAGCAATACCCCATCTCCTGCACACCGCCTTTCCCTCTGCAGTGGCTCACTCCCATCAGCAAGCAAATATGTTATTCCTCCTATCTTAGAAAATAAAAAATGAATAAATACAAACCTTCCTCAGCACCCAAACTGAGGTCTCCTAGTACCATTTCCTCTAAAAAGAAACATATAGCAGCTTATGTACAAGATGAGCCTGAACATCTTATCACCAGAAAACAAGAAAGGCATCAAAGATATTAGTATTTTATCAACTTGAGGCTCGCACTGCCCAAATATGGCATAAATGGAGCCTCAGTAAAAATAGTGATAGCAACGGATTAAAACACATTCAAATCAACTGACTCATAGTGATACTAAATAAAGGGTCATTGGTTACCTTTGGCAGATGCTAGAGAACAAACTCATTATTCTGAAAGCTGCTAAATAAAGGGGAAAGAATGGCATCAATCTGCCTTTCCTAAATAAGTCATGTCAAAATAGTAGATGGGACATAATCTGTATAAATGAAATCAGTTTAGACAGAATAATAGACTTAGAATATCTGCATTTTATAATCCCTAAGAAAATAATGGATCTAGCAATGCTCATCATGGCTACCAACTAGAATTCTATGCCTCCTGATAGAAACACAGCACAATACCACCTATGACGTAGCCTTGCCAGAAAATAGATCATGAATCATATAAAGTCTTTAAATCTAACTACCAGTTTAAGAAGAAAATGGGGGAGGCAGAGGAATATGGTAAATGGTACAGTGATTCAATTAGCAAAATTCAGAATGTGGAAAGTTCTATAGGAAACAAGCCATTTCTTCAACAAATAAATGTCAAGGGGGTAAAAAAAGATTTAAAGAGACTTAAGCTCCAAGTCTAACCATGAGAAAATCACCAAACAAATTCCAAAAGAGGGGCAGCCTGCATAACACCTGACTAGTACACCTCAAAACTATCAAGGTCACCAAAAACAAGGAACACTGGCAAAACTGTCACAACCAAGAGGGCCCAAAGAGACATGACAAATACATGAAATATGGTATCCTGGAAGGCCAGGCGTGGTGGCTCACGCTTGCAATCCAGCACTTTGGGAGGCCGAGGCGGGCAGATCACTTGAGGCCAGGAGTTCGAGACCAGCCTGTCCAACATGGGGAAACCCCGTCTCTACTCAAAATACAAAAAAATTAGCCGGGCATGGTGGTGGGCACCTGTAGTCCCAGGTACTCGGGAGGCTGAAGCAGGAGAATTGCATGAAACTAGGAGGCGGAGGTTGCAGTGAGCCAAGATCACACCATTGCAATCCAGCCTGGGCAACAAGAGCAAAATTTCGACTCAAAAAAAAAAGGAAAAGAAATATGGAATCCTGGAACAGACAAAAAGACACCAGGTGAAAACTAAGACAATCTGAATGAATGAAGTATGGACTTTAATAATAATTTATCTTTTTTTTTTTTTTGAGACAGAGTCTTGCTCTGTTGCCCAGGCTGGAGTGCAGTGGCATGATCTCAGCTTACTGCAGCCTCCACTTCCCAGGTTCAAGTGATTCTCCTGCCTCAGCCTCCCAAGTAGCTGGAATTACAGGTGTGCTCCACCACGCCTGGCTAATTTTTGTATTTTTAGTAGAGAGAGGGTTTCACCATGTTGGCCAGGCTGGTCTCAAACTCCTGGCCTCAGGTGATCCGCCCACCTCAGCCTCCCGAAGTGCTGGGATTACAGGCGTGAGCCACCATGCCCGACCAATTTATCAATATTGATTCATTAATTATAACACATATACCCACACTCACGTAAGATGTTATTAATAAGGGACACTGAATCCAGGGAGGGCACATGGGAATACTCTGTACTATCCTCTCAGTTTCTCTAGAAATCTAAAACTGTTCTAAAATGTGAATTCCACTTCAAAGAAGAGAAAGAGAGACTTAAGACACATATCAACTGAATACAATGCACGGATATTGTTTTGATATTGATTCAAACTGTATATATATTTAATGGAGAATTTGGGAAAACTAAACATTGCATATTTGATAATATTAAGAAATTATGTAAACTTTTCAGAAATAATACTAGCAAAATGGTTATATTATTTAAGAGTTCTTATCTTTTAGGATACTGAAATATTTGTGATAGAAATGATACAATATCATATCATATCATGTCATATCATATCATATCATATCTGGGATTTGTTCTAAAATAATCTGGTATGGAGGTTGGGAGTAGAGATGGAACCAGAGTGGTCCTGAATTTTTTTTTTCTTTAGACAGTGTCTCGCTCTGTTGCCCAGGCCGGAGTGCAGTGATGCCATTTTGACTCACTGCAACCTCCGCCTTTTGAGTTCAAGTGATTCTCCTGCCTCAGCCACCCTAGTAGCTGGAATTACAGGCGTGCACCACCATGTCCGGCTAATTTTTGTATTTTTTATTAGAGACGGGGTTTCACCACGTTGGCCAGGATGGTCTTGAACTCCTGACCTCAGGTGATCCACCTGCCTCAGCCTCCCAAAGTGCTAGGATTACAGGCATCAGTGGTCCTGAATTAATGATTATTGCATCTGGGTCACGGGTATATGGGAGTTCTTTTTCATTATCTCTATTTATGTGTATGAATTTTCTGAAATAATGAGTTTTTTAAAATTTCTCATGACCTCATATGCTGTCTCGCTAGACATACTTTCTCTGCAGCTCTTGACAGCAAAATTCCTTAAGAAATTCTACAACACAAAATGTCTCTACCTCCTCTCCTCTCACAGATTTATTGAGGCATAATTTACACACCATAAAATTCACCCACTTTGGTCAGGCGCAGTGGCTCACAGCTGTAATCCCAGCACTTTGGGAGGCCGAGGTGGATGGATCACTTGAGGTCAGGAGTTCGAGACCAGCCTGGCCAACACGGTGAAACCCCGTCTCTACTAAAAATACAAAAATTAGCCAGGTGTAGTGGTGGCCCCCTGTAATCTCAGCTACTCGGGAGGCTGAGGCAAGAGAATTGCTTGAACCTGGGAGGTGGAGATTGCAGTGAGCCAAGATGGCACCACTGCACTCTAGCCTGGGCAACAGATCGAGACTCCATCTCAAAGAAAAAAAAATCATCCATTTTAAGTGTACAATTCAATGATTTTAGTATATTTATAGAGTTGTAAAACTATCACCACAATCTAATTTTGAAACATTTCCATCACACCAAAAAGAAATTTCATATTCCTTTGCACTTAGCCCCCATTCCAAACCTGAGCCCTAGACAATCACTAATCTTTCTGTCTCTATAGATTTGCCTATTTTAGACATTTCATGTAAGTGGATTCCTGCAGCCTTTTGAGTCTAGCTTCTTTCACTTAGCATAATGTTTTTGAGGTTCATTCATTTTGCAGCATGTATCCATATTTCATTCATTTTTATTGCTGAATAGTATTCCATTGTATGGACACACCTTTTTTTTTTTTTTTTTTTTTTGAGATAGAGTCTTGTTCTGTCACCCAGGCTGGAGTGCAGTGGTGTGATCTCAGCTCACTGCAACATCTGCCTCCCAGGTTCAAGCAATTCTTCTGCCTCAGCCTCCCAAGTAACTGGGATTACAGGGGTGCACCACCATGCCCAGCTAAATTTTTTGTATTTTTAGTAGAGACGGGGTTTCACCATGTTGGCCAGCCTGGTCTCAAACTCCTGACCTCAAGTGATGCACCTGCCTCAGCCTCCCAAAGGGACACACCATATTTTGTTCACCAATTCACTGATCAATGGATATTTGGTTGTTTTTACTTCATACCTATTGTGAATAACACTGCTATGAATTCTTATACAAGTATTTGTGTGGACAATACGCTTTCATTTTTCTTTCTTTTTTTTTTTTTTTTTGAGACAGAGTTTTGCTCTTGTTGCCCATGCTGGAGTGCAACAGCGCAATCTCAGCTCACCGCAACCTCCGCCTCCTGGGTTCAAGTGATTCTCCTGCCTCAGCCTCCCAAGTAGCTGGGATTACAGGCATGCACCACCATGCCCAGCTAATTTTTGTATTTTTAGTAGAGATGGGGTTTCTCCATGTTGGTCAGGCTGGTCTCAAACTCCTGACCTCAGGTGATCCGCCCACCTCGGCCTCCCAAATTCCTGGGATTACAGACGTGAGCCACCACACCCGGCCTGCTTTCATTTTTCTTAGGTAGATACCTAGGAACCCAATTGCTGAGTCATATGGAAAATCTGTGTTGAATGTTTTAAGGACTTAACCAGCTGCCTTCAAGCTCCAAGACAAGATGACGTAGATGCTCTTCTGATTCCTCCTGCTAAATACAGCTACAATCCTGGATGGTATATATAAAACAAACATAAGAAGATCCTGAAAGATGCAGAGAAGGCAGACTGGCTAGGAATCTCAAGACCCGAAAAAACAATATAGTGGTGAGTTCCCTGGGTTTGGCTTTTGCCTCATATATACAAGACTGGGTGCTGGAAAAGCCAGCAACCAGGAAACTCCAACAGGAAGATGAAAAAAATCCCGGAAAGTCTCTGGCCAAAGGACCAACAAAGGAACATCCTGGAAAGACAAAACTTTTAGACAATGACTACTCTATTTCAGGCAAAAAAAAAAAAAAAAAAAAAAAAAAAAACAACACTCTCACCCCCATATCTGCCAATAAAGGATGAGTGGGGAGTTTAGCCATCAACTCCCACCCAGCTGAGGCACCCCTCCCCAGCAAGTAGGAAGCTGGGACTCTCAGCCCCGCCTGGTGGTATGAAATCCCCCTCCATCACAACCAGTGTCACTGGAGACCCCGTGGGGAACAGGAATGAAGTGCTTCTTACTCTCTCAGCCAGGGTGTGTCAGCAGAGACCTAGTGGGAAGCCTGAACCCCCATCCACACCTAGCAATAACAAGGAGCACGGCTCCCTCAAGTGTTCACAGAGGCCAGGTGAGGAACCTGGGCCTCTCCCCCAACCTGACAGCAGTGAGGCAGCACCCTCTTTGCTCAACTAGTGCGGTGTCAAAGGATGATCACTAAAACAGACTTAAATAAGATCCAGAGTCTCATAACATACAATCCAAAATGTGCAGGATGCAAGCGAAAATCACTTGTCATACCAAGAATCGGGAAAATCTTGAATAAGAAAAGACAATTAACAGACATCAACACCCAAGTTGACTTAAATGTTGGAATCACCTGATGCATATTTAAAGCAAGCAAGTATTTTAAAACAAGTATTAAAAATGCTTTACAGGCCAGGCACATTGGCTCACTCCTGTAATCCCAGCACTTTGGGAGGCCAAGGCGGGTGGATCACTCAAGGTCAGGAGTTCGAGACCAGCCTGACCAACATGGCGAAACCCCGTCTCCACTAAACATACAAATATTAGCTGGGCATGGTGGTGCATGCCTGTAATCCCAGCTACTAGGGATGCTGAGGCAGGAGAATCACCTGAACCCGGAGGCAGAGGTTGCAGTGAGCTGAGATCATGCCATTGCACTCCAACCTGGGTGACAGAGCAACACTCCATCTCAAAAAAAATAAAAATAAAAATAAAAAAGCTTCACAGGCCAGGCACATTGGCTCACATCTGTAATCCCAGCATTCTGGGAGGCCGAGGTAGGCAGATCACTTGAGGTCAGGAGTTCAAAACCAGCCTGGCCAACATGGCAAAACCCCATCTCTACTAAAAATACAAAAATTAGCCAGACATGGTGGCAGATGCCTATAATCCCAGCTATTCGAGAGACTGAGGCAGGAGAATCACTTGAACCTGGGAGGTGAAGGTTGCAGTGAGCCAAGATTGCACTGCTGCACTCCAGCCTGGGCAACCGAGTGAGACTCTGTCTCAAAAAAAAAAAAAAGCTTTACAGCCAAGTGCAGTGGCTCATGCCTGGTGGGAGGATCACTTGAGCCCAGGAGTTCATGACCAGCAACATAGGGAAATGCTGTCTCTACAAAAAACAACAACAAAATAATAATAATAATAATAATAATAATAATTACCCAGGAATGGTAGTGTGTACTTGTGGTCCCAGCCCCTTGGAAAAAAAAAATGTTTTTAATTAGCCAGACATGGTGGTGTGTACTTGTGGTACCAGCTACTTGAAGGCTGAGGTGGGAGGATCACTTGAGCCTAGGAGGTCAAGGCTGCAGTGAGCCATGATTGCACTTCAGCCTGGGCAACAGAGCAAGACCTTGTCTCAAAAAGAAAAGGAAAAAAAAAAAAACAACATTTAACAAGCAATTACAAACTCTCTTGAAACAAATGAAAACCAGAAATTTTGGCAAAGAAATGGAAGATATAAAGAAGAATCAGGCCGGGTGAGGTGGCTCACACCTGTAATCCCAGCACTTTGAGAGGCGGAGGTGGGCGGATCATGAGGTCAAGAGATCAAGACCATCCTGGCCAACATGGTGAAACCCCGTCTCTACTAAAAATACAAAAAGTTAGCCAGGCATGGTGGCAGGTGCCTGTAATTCCAGCTACTTGGGAGGCTGAGGCAGGAGTATCACTTGAACCTGGGAGGCAGAGGTTGCAGTGAGCCAAGATCGTACCATTGCACTTCAGCTTGGGCAAAAACAGTGAAACTCCATCTCCAAAAAAAAAAAAGAAGAAGAAGAAGAATCAAATAGAAATTTTAGAACTTAGAAATATAATCATGAAAATTGAAGACTCAATAGATTGGCTTAACAGCAGATTGGAGAGGACAGAGGAAAGATTCAGCGAACTTAAAGGTAGAAGAGAAATTACTCAATCTGGACAACGGAGAAAAATAGACTGAAAAAAATGAACAGAGGTTCATTTATGGGACTGTAACAAAAGAGCTAACTAACGTTCTGTCATCAGCATTTAAGAAGAAGAGAGAGAGAATGGAGCAGGAAAATGTACTCAAAGAAACAATGCCTGAAAAACTCCCAAATTTGGCAAAAGATATTAACTGATTGATGCAAGAAGCTAAGTGAACCCCAAACAGTATGTTTTCATGTATTTGATGGCCATTTATGTATCTTCTTTGGTGAAATGTCTATTCAAATCTCTTGCCCATTTTTTATTGTTATTATTGAGTTATAAAAGTTCTTTTTATATTTTAGATACAAGTCCCTTATCTGATAAATGATTTGCAAATACTTGATCTCATTCTATTGCTTTTGTTTATCTTTTCACTTTCTTATGGTTGCTGTTATTTTTATGTTTGTTTTTTTCCTTAATGAAGGCAATTTCCACTTTCTTTTTTTTTTTTTTTTTTTTTTTTTTTTGAGACAGAGTCTTGCTCTATCACCCAGGCGGGAGTGCAGTGGCATGATTTCGGCTCACCACAACTTCCAACTCCCAGGTTTAAGAAATTATCCTGCCTCAGCCTCCCAAGTAGCTGGGACTACATGCATGCACCACCATGCCCGGCTAATTTTTGCATTTTTTAGAGACAGGGTTTCACCATGTTGGCCAGGCTGGTCTCAAACTCTTGGCCCCAAGTGATCCACCTGCCTCGGCCTCTCAAAGTGCTAGGATTACAGGTGTAAGCCACCACACCCAGCCTTCACTTTCTTGATGGTGCCTTTTGGAGTACAAAAGTTTTCAATTTTGATGAAATCCAATTATCAATATTTTATGTGAAGCATGGGCAATATAGTGAGACCCTGTCTCCACACCAAAAAAAAAAAAAAAAAAAAAATTTAACAATTAACCAAGCGTGGTTGTATGCACCTGTAGTCCCAGCTATCCAGGAAGCTGAGGCAGGAGGATCACTTGAGCCCGGGAGTTGAGGCTGCAGTGAACTATGATTGCACCATGGCACTCCAGACTGGGTGACATACCAGGACCCTGTCTCCAAAAACAAAATACTATTTTATTGCTTGTGTAGATGTAAGAAAGTATCATATGTAAGAAATCATTGCCTAGCCCAACATCATGAATATCTACTTTTAGGCCTTTTTCTAATAGTTTTATAGTTTTGCACTTACATTTAGGTCTATGATCAATTTTAAGTTGGTTTTTTGTGTATGGTATGAGGTAATATAGGAATTACAAGCTATAAATCCCCTCTAAGCATAGCTTTAGCTACATGTCAAAAATTAATTCTGATATGTTCTGTTTCAATTTTCATTCAGCTTGAAATATTTTCTGGTTTTCCTTGTGATTTCTTCTTCCACCCATTGGTTGTTTAGAAGCATGCTGTTTAATTTTCACACACTTGTAATTTTCTCAAATTTCCTGTTGTTGTTGATTTCTAATTTAATTCTATTGTGATCAGAGAACATCTTTGTATTATTTCAGTCCTTTTAAAATTATTGAGACGTGTTTTATGGCCTAGCATATGGCCTATCCTGGAGAACGTTCCATGTACACTTGAGAAAAATGGTATATCCTGCTATTGTTTAGCAGAGTGTTTTATAGATGTCCGTTAGGCTTAGTTAGTTGACAGTGTTACCCAAGTCTTCTGCTCAAGGACAGCCCTCACCTCTCAGCCCTCTTTGTGGACTGAAGATAATTGCTTCCCCAAGGTCACACTCTTTCTAGGGGCAACCCACCTTCCGTGACTGATTAATGTGGGGGGCAAAAACCCAGCTCCCTTGCCCCAGTTGGGGATGGCTCTGAAGGGCCATCCCAGCTCCGGGTTAAATCTCAAAGTCCACTTCCTGGAGACCCAACCTGTGTACCCCTTATTCAGTCAAACTATACCCACTCTAGTTTTAAAATATATTCCAAATCAGACTCACCATGCCCCAATCATCTCTCACTGGTCACCACATCGAGAATGGCCTGGGCCAACAGTTGGGGGCAAGTTGGAAGCAAGGGAGCCAGGTAGGATACTATCACAATACTCCTAATTAGAGATGGTAGGGGTGTGGTGATGAGCAGTTTAATTTGGTACTTATTTTTGAAACTACAGGTGCCATCTCTTATTGACCTCTCAGTCTTTTTTTTTTTTTTTTTTTTTTTTTTTGAGACAGAGTCTCACTCTGTCACCCAGGTTGGAGTGCAGTGGCACGATCTCAGCTCACTGCAACCTCTACCTCCCGGGTTCAAGCGATTCTCCTGTCTCAATCTCCCGAGTAGCTGGGACTACAGGCGTGCACCACTATGCCCGGCTAATTTTTGTATTTTTAGTAGAGATGGGGTTTCACCATATTGGTCAGGCTGGTCTCAAACTCCTGACCTCAGGTGATCCACCTGCCTTGGTCTCCCAAAGTGCTGGGATTACAGGTGTGAGCCACCACGCCCGGCCTGAGGCGGAGTCTTGCTCTGTCACCCACGCTGGAGTGCAATGGCTTAATTTCAGCTCAATGCAACCTCCACCTCCCAGGTTCAAGTGGTTCTCCTGCCTCAGCCTCTGGAGTAGCTGAGACTACAGGCGTGTGCCACTATGCCTGGCTGATTTTTGCATTTTTGGTAGAGACACGGTTTCACCATGTTGGCTAGGCTAGTCTCGAACTCCTGACCTCAGATGATCCCACCTCCACCACCCAAAGTGCTGGGATTACAGGTGTGAGCCACCGCACCCGACCAACCTCCCAATCTAAAGTAGCCCCCAAGTTCTCTCTCCCCTCACCCTGCCTTATATCATCTCATACTCCTTATCGCTATCTGATATTATATTTCATATTTACTTGGTATCTGTCTATTTTGTTCAAGACCATAAATTCAGGGCCTAAAACATTGCGGGGTATAAAGACTGTGTTCAATAAATACTGTGTAAATGAATTGATAAGTAAATAAGCAAATGACATGCATCAGTACTTACTGAATGCTGCACTGAATGTCAGCAAAGGCATAAGAGAATGTCTGGATCTGTAGTTTCTGATGTAATCGAAGCAGAAACTTGTTTCCCAGCCATGCCCACATTAGTTTTTTAAATGACAAAAAATAAACCCTACTAAGACAGATGGCGCCTCAGGGTAGAAAGAACATGGGTTTGGATGTGAATAACTCACATCTGAAACACACTTAGTAGCTATATGAACTTGTACAAGTGACTCAACTTCTCTGAGCTCCACATCTCACTGTGGGTGGAGGTAATGGTATCCTCCTCCTGGGGGTATTTTAAGTGAGACAGTGCACGCTGAGTTGAGGTCCTGCTCCACACACTGAGGCATGGTCAAGTCCAAAAACAAGTAAATGAAAAAGACAAAAATCCTTGACTTTGTGGAATTGGCAGTCAGTAAATAAGAAATATAAATTAAATATATGTTAGTTAGATGGTGAGAAATAATAAGGAGAAAAGCCAATGGGGGTGGGGAACATGAGAGAAGGCTTCCAGTTTTGAAATGGGGTAGCCAAGGAAGGCCTTGATTAGGTGCCTTTTGAGATGAGGGACAGAGCCACGAAGACAGCTGGGGAAGGAAGCAGTTCAGGCAGTGAGAAGAACAAGGCTCTAAGGTGTGAATGTGCCTGTTTCAAGAACAGCAGGAAGCTAATGGGGCTGGATGGTGAGAAGTAATCAAAGATGAGGTTAGAGAGGGAAGGGCCTTGGCTGGGGGGCAGTGGCTCATGCCTGTAATCCCAGCACTTTGGGAGGCCGAGGCAGGTAGGTTAGGAGATAGAGACCATCCTGGCTAACACGGTGAAACCCTATCTCTACTAAAAATACAAAAAAATAGCCCGGCGTGGTGGCACGCACCTGTAGTCCCAGCTACTCAGGAGGCTGAGGCAGGAGAATCGCTTGAACCCGGGAGGCGGAGGTTGCAGTGAGCCGAGATTGCACCACTGCACTCCAGCCTGGGCCACAGAGCAAGACTGCGTCTCAACAAAAAAAAAAAGAGAGAGAGAGAAAGAGATTGAGAGGGAAAGGCCTTGTGCAGAGCCTTGCAGGCCCTGTAGGAAAGTTAGCTTTACTCTGAGTGAGTGGAGAAGCGATTGGAGACTTTTGAGCAGAGGAGTGAGGTGGTCTAACTTGTATTTCAACTGACTCACTTTGGCTGCTGTGTAGAGATATGGACAAGGAGAGCAAGGACAGCAGCAGGAAGACAAGTTAGGAGATGCAAGAGATGACATAGGCTTGGACTAGGATATTGGCAATAGGGATGAGAAGAGATGAGAAGTGCTCAGATTCTGGATATACATATTTTTTTTTTTTTTTTTTTTGAGACGGAGTCTCGCTCTGTCGCCCAGGCCGGACTGCGGACTGCAGTGGCGCAATCTCGGCTCACTGCAAGCTCCGCTTCCCGGGTTCACGCCATTCTCCTGACTCAGTCTCCCGAGTAGCTGGGACCACAGGCGCCCGCCACCGCGCCCGGCTAATTTTTTGTATTTTTAGTAGAGACGGGGTTTCACCTTGTTAGCCAGGATGGTCTCGATCTCCTGACCTCATGATCCACCCGCCTCGGCCTCCCAAAGTGCTGGGATTACAGGCGTGAGCCACCGCGCCCGGCCTGGATATACATATTTTGAAGGTAGAGTCCACAGGATTTAAGACAGTTTGGATGTGGAGTATGAGAAAAAGAGAGGAGTCAGCAATATCTTCAAGGATTTGGGCCTAAACAATGGAAAGAATAGAACTGCAAAACTCAATTCTATCAGGAAGGAAGAGAAGGTTAAGGGAGAAGATCAGGTCAGTTCTGGACATGTTAAGTTTGTGGTACTTGTACTTGGAAGTACAAGTCTGGAGTTCCGGGAAGTGTATGATCTTGAGAGTCATCAGCACAAAGGTGGTCTTCATAGATGGTATCTGAATCTGGTAGGGAGCCAGGAGACTGGATGAGATCACCTAGGGAGACAGAAAACTAGAAGAGGCCCAGGGAATAACCATGGACACTACAATGGTAAGAGGTTGGAGAGATGAAGAGTAACCAACAGGGAGGCAGAGAGGGAGGGGCCTGGGGCAACGAGGGGCTCCATATCTCCCGAACCATATATTTACAAATAATCTCCAAGAGTGGATTACTCTTGCTTATTTCTTTTTTTTTTTTTTTTTTCTCACTCTGGTCTCACCTTGTCACCCTGGCTGGATTGCAGTGGCATGATTATGGCTCGTTGCAGCCTCAACCTCCTGGGCTCAAGTGATCCTCCCACGTCAGCCTCCCAAGTAGCTGGGGCAACAGGTGTGCATCACCACGGCCTGCTAATTTTTGTATTTTTTCATAGGGATGGGGTTTCCCTATGTTGCCCAGGCTGATCTTGAACTCCTGGGATCAAGTGATTCTCCCACCTTGGCCTCCCAAAGTGCTGGGAGTACAGGCATGAGCCACCGCTGCACCTGGCACTCTTGCTTATCTCTATGGCTACAGTGGCCTATTGCCTTCTTTGTGTTTGGACACATTATCAGGGCCAACCTCGGAGTTCACCTTTTAAGGTCACAAGTCCCTATGACTGAAGTGTGAATGACTGACAGGTTTATCCTTCTCAGGGGGTATACAATGAAAGAAAATCCCTTTAATAAAATGAATCTCTATTTGATGAAATACTGTAGGAAAAAGGGTCATTTCCCAGAGGGAACTATCTGTATCCCTGGCATGCTGCAGTTCACTGTAGTGATGATGGTACCACCCTGGTCAGTATCAACCCTTGGGAAACCATTGGGAAGGAGAAACAAGCTCTTGGGGGAGCATCAATACTGCTTTGGGCTGTAAGGTCTTAGAGGCCAGGAAAAGTATCTGGGACCCAAGCATAGCTCATAATGCCTGAGCAGGTGCACACTGCCTTACCTTAAGCAGGATAAAGCAAGAAGTGGGCAGGCAGCTTCCTGACACTGTCTTTAAACTCAGCTTCTGCCCACCACACTTCTGGTTCCCTTCCACCTAACCACTTCTCTGTCTCCGTTGCAATTTCTCCTTTTTCTCAAGCTCCAGCCTAGTGCCCCAGCCTCCCTTTCCACAAATGGTGTTAGATTGTCAACATTGCAGAAATGGTGAGTTCAGTTCTTTCCACCAAGGTCTTCGCGGTTCCATGAGAAACCTGTTGTCTCTTCCCATTTTCCTTTCACTACTCACCAGCACCAAATCCCCAGTCAGCAAACCAGAGAGTACAAAAGCAGGGACTTTTACACTAGGGTTCCTCTTCCCCATACCCACAATTGCCTCCTCGACTAAGGAAGGTGATGGGAAAATGACAATGACACCAATAGGACAATGGGACAAAAGCATGGACAGGAAACTCACAAAAGCATGGACAGGAAACACGAATAGCCATTAAACAGTTAAAAAGAATGTTGACATTTAACAACAAATGTGCAGTTTAAAGGAGCAATAAGAGACCATTTCATCTATCAAAGTGGCGAGGATTCTAATGTGGAGGGTTGGCGAGAGTAAGGACACAGGCAGACACTACTAACTGGAGTAGAAAGGCCTCACTGCTTTCTGGAGAATGGCTTGGCAACACATAGAGACCAAGAGCTTTAAAACAAGTCTATGTCTTCACCCTTTCACTCAGGGGTTTCACTTCTAGAATTTAGCCTAAGGCAATAATTAGCCATGCAAATATGTAAGTTCAAGGATATTTACCGAAGGTCTGGGCGCGGTGGCTCACACCTATAATCCTAGCACTTTGGGAGGCCGAAAGAGGTGGTCAGATTACCTGAGGTCAGGAGTTCGAGACCAGCCTGGATAACATGATGAAACCCCGTCTCTACTAAAAATACAAAAATCAGCCAGGCATGTGCCTGTAATCCCAGCTACTCAGGAGGCTGAGGCAGGAGTAGCTTGAACCCAGGAAGCAGAGGTTGCCGTGAACCGAGATCACACAACTGCACTCCATCCTGGACAACAGAGTGAGACTCCATCTCAAAAAAAAAAAAAAAGAAGAAGAAAAAGAAAAAAAAGAATATTTACCACAGCTCAGTTTATTATATGTTTAAAAATTGAAGGCCAGGTGTGGTGGTACACACCTGTAATCCCAGAGCTTTGGGAGGCCGAGGAAGGAGGTTGCCGTGAGCCCAGGAATTCAAGGTTATAGTGAGCTATGTGCGTGCCACTGCACTCCAGCCTGAGTGACAGAGCAAGACCCTGTCTCTAAAAAAACAGAAAGCAAATTGAGACCCACCTAAACATGCTATAATAGGAAATTGGTTTAAATGAACTAGTAGAATACTGGGTGACCATTATAAATGATGCTGGCTCACGGGCTTCCTAATGTGATACACTGGTACTCGTGCCCAAAAATGCATAAACACCAGACATACTCAAATTTAGGAACAGTCTACAAAACAACTGTCCTGTATGCTTAAAAATGCCAGTATCGGCCAGGTGCGGTGGCTCACGCCTGTAATCCCAGCACTTTGGGAGGCCAAGATGGGTGGATTGCCTAAGCTCAGGAGTTTGAGACCAGCCTGGGCACCATGGTGAAACCCTGTCTCTACTAAAATACAAAAAGTCAGCCAGGCGTGGTGGTGGGCGCCTGTAATCCCAGCTACTCAGGAGGCTGAGGCACGAGAATTGCTTGAACCCAGGCGGTGGAGGTTGCAGTGAGCCAAGGTCGTGCCACTGCAATCCAGCCTGGACTGTCTCAAAAAAAAAAAAAAAAAAGTCAATATAATGAAAGGCAAAGTACATTTAAGGTACTGTACTCATATTAAAGGAAACTAAAAAGACTCGACAGCTAAATGCAATGCAGGATGCCAAATGAGATCCTAGACCAAAGGAAAAAATTGTCATGAAGGACATTATGGGGCAATTGGCAGGACCTGAATTTGGACTGTCAATTAGATCATAGTATTACATCGGTCTAAGTTTCCTGATTTGGATAATTGTACTATATTATGTAAAAGAATGTTTTGTTCTTAGAAAATTTGCACTGATGGATTTAAGGGTAAAGGGTATCTTGTATGCAACTTACTCTCAAATGGTTCAGAAAAAAATACAAATGTGTATTTATAGAGAAATAATGATAAAGTAAATGTGGTCAAATGATATTAGTGGATGAATCTGAGTGAAGGGTATCCTGGAATTCTTTTTAGTATTTTTGCCCCTTTCCCATGAGATTAAAAGTATTTTAAAATAAAAAGCTAAAAAAAGGAAGAAAGTGGTGCTGGTGAAGTATATTCCCCGGTAGGGGAAGGCTCTCAGGTGCACCAGCAGCAGCCATGAGTGCCTCAACACCAGGGAGAGCACAGCTGCCACTGACACCTTCTGCCACCCTGGACTCTCAGTTCCCTGTGCTACTAAAGGAACTCAGTGTGTGGTTGACCCCAAAGTTGTCCTGGGTTGACTCAAGAAGGTAGGATGAGCATTCTGAGGCAAAGAATTCTCTTTTGTGATTTTATTGACTCCAATTTTGCATTCTGACTGGCATTCCCTGCATCCCAAGGACCTTGACAGCGGAGGGAGGCAGAGATGGAGGAAGTGAAAACTACCCAAATTCAGTGTTTGTTACAGACAATTCAGACTGCAAAATTTAGGGTAGACTATGTTCATTTATCACTGATAATGACAGTCTTAACATTCCCCTACAACAGGAAGACCAAGATTTCCCCAAAACCGGCCAGCATCTTGCCCATTTGCCAGAAGGAGAAAAATAAGTCCTGGCAAGAGCCAAGATAAGGCCCAGAAGCCCCTGGGTTCCTTTAGCCAAGGTGAGTGGTTTCAAATTATGACAAGTTGCAGGTTCTCTGAGAAGCATCTGTAATAACCTGGCAAATTAAGCATCCTCTCCTGGGAGGAGGAATACAGAACTCTGTAACCACCCAATACCTGTTTCCAGGTCCTGCCCCTCCTGGGGCACAGGGCAGCCACCTTGCAATTCTCATCCCTAGAAAGGAGAGACCAGATCAACAAACAGCAGGGCTGGGACTGCCCAGGGGGTTCCGAGATTCCTTCTCCCCTCCTATCACCTGCCCTCCAGGCACACCGTCCTACTTCCCCCTACTTCCCCAGGGGTTGTCAGGGACAGAAGGCCCCTCCTTCATCCCCCCTAGTGTTCCTCCACTCTTCCTCCGCCCCCCATTACTAGGGTGTCCAGGACATTGTGTGACTCAGGAAACAGCTCAGACGTGAGGCTTGCAGCAGGCCGAGGAGGAAGAAGAGGGGCAGTGGGAGCAGAGGAGGTGGCTCCTGCCCCAGTGAGAGCTCTGAGGGTCCCTGCCTGAAGAGGGACAGGGACCGGGGCTTGGAGAAGGGGCTGTGGAATGCAGCCCCCTTCACTGCTGCTGCTGCTGCTGCTGCTGCTGCTGCTATGTGTCTCAGTGGTCAGACCCAGAGGTGAGGCATGGCGTGGGTGAGGTGAGGGGACCCAGCTCCCTTAGGAGGATGATCAGTGGGGTGGGGGAAGAGGGCCAAGCCCCAGGCCGTGTGAGGGATGCTGGATGGAGGAGATTCTCACTGCCCAAATAGAGACGGCCTCCAGGGAAAGACGGCTCTGCCCATGGAGCTGCTTCGGGCCTGGTGCCAGGGGTGGTGACTGCTGGGGGATGGGTGAGAGGGTGCCCACCTCCAGGAAGAACCTCGTCAGCACTGGCACTGGAGGACTCTTGCAGCCATAGGGAAGAGGGGAAGAGGGAACACACTGACCACCTGCTTGGGGAGGAGATGAGAGGGAAGCAGGAGATGGGGACATGAAAGGTCAGGCCTACTAAGCCCTTTCTTAGTCCAGCTGTCCCCACCCCCCGGATGGCTCAATGCTCGGCCTTTCCGGGAGGAAATCTCTTCGAAGTCTCAGCCATTCACCTCCCGGGAGCCACCTCCGCCCCTCTTCTGACCCCTGTTGTCTTGCTTCCGAGAGATGGAGTCCGAGGCTGGACTTGGGAGGCCAGAGAATAAACAGGAAAGGGGGGTAGGGATTAGTAACTGGGACGGAGGGCACTGGGGCTGGGGCTGGGTACCATGTGGAGAGTGGGGACAGATGTGAAGAAGAGGTGGTTTAGAGTACCTGTGGGAGCTGCTGTGGGCAGGTCTCTCAGGAGCACCTAGAAGAGGAAAGGTGGAGGCACAGCACCCAGGGCTTCCATTGCGCCTGCCTCTCCACCCTCAGGGCTGCTGTGTGGGAGTTTCCCAGAACCCTGTGCCAATGGAGGCACCTGCCTGAGCCTGTCTCTGGGACAAGGGACCTGCCAGTGAGTGTGCCTTGCAGGAGTGGGAGACTGGAGAGAAAGGGGGAGGGAGAGCAGGGGGGGAGAGGTGAGGAAGTGAGACCAAAGAAGAAAGAGAGGAAGTGAAGGAGATGAAGGGAAACAAATGAAGGCAGAGGAGGGAGTGGGCAAGAATAGGAAGAGGGACCAGTGATGTGAGTTTTCCTCTCCTCCCCTGCCCAGGTGTGCCCCTGGCTTCCTGGGTGAGACGTGCCAGTTTCCTGACCCCTGCCAGAACGCCCAGCTCTGCCAAAATGGAGGCAGCTGCCAAGCCCTGCTTCCCGCTCCCCTAGGGCTCCCCAGCTCTCCCTCTCCATTGACACCCAGCTTCTTGTGCACTTGCCTCCCTGGCTTCACTGGTGAGAGATGCCAGGCCAAGCTTGAAGACCCTTGTCCTCCCTCCTTCTGTTCCAAAAGGGGCCGCTGCCACATCCAGGCCTCGGGCCGCCCACAGTGCTCCTGCATGCCTGGATGGACAGGTAAGCGCTGCTGGGGGCAGCCAGGAGGGGACAGGCAGGAGCAATGGGCTAGGCTGTGGGTGGGGAAGATAGAACTGGAGCCTGAGAAACTGCAAGCCCTTTGAAGACAGAAGCCATGAGAATCAACATGCCAATTCTTGGCAATCCACTTACCCACAACCAACATTCACCAGCATGGTTGTACTGATTGCTAAAATGTTAAAATATTTCCAAATTAAGGGTGCCATGAGCCCCCTTTGTGCACCATCCTGATGCCTGTCCTAGCCCCTTTAATCTCCCCATTGCCTAGCAGCTAGAAGAGGGTCATTGCTCTGCATACCAGGGGTCCTCCAGACTTTTGCATTCTGAGCATCTGAATGGCTCCCATTCTGAGTGGAGGGAGCCATTATATCACCTGGGAAGACTGCAGTGGTGGGAGGGGCACCGGGAAGGGAAGGATGTGACCCAGAGAGTGGATTGGGGGCCGCCCCAGGAGGAGGGGTGTAACCCTGGGGCAAGCTTAGTGCTTCATTCTAGGGGCTCTGCACCAGCCCCTGGATCCAAATGCTAGCTCTGCCACTGATCAGCTACATGACCTCATATAAGATATTTTAGCTTTCTGGTGTTCAGTTGTCAGCTGACAAACAGGGAGAGTAATGGTCACACTTCATAAGGTTGCTGAGAGGACAGAAGGGGCCGATGCTCAGGAGATGCTTGCTCAGCTCAGCACCTGGCACCTCCACTGCTGCCGCCATTACCACTGGTGCACATGGACTGTGAAGTGAGTCTCCAGGTGCCTAAACCCACTTAAAGATTAGGAAATGAGGATCAGAAAGGCAAAGTGGCTCACCCAAGGGTATACAACCAGTTGTGGCACAGCATGGTGCCACCTGAGTCTCCTGCCTGCAGACGTGGGGTGCTTTTCACCTCCCCCAAGATCACCCACGTCCCAGATTTTCTCAGGCAAGGCCAATTTGCAATACTCTCATCATCACTTTAGAAGATATGGTCACTCCAGATAAACCCTCCCAAGCCATGACATCGCTCAGAGCAGGGGTGATGGAACAGAGCAAAGAAAGTATGGTAATAAAGGGAAGGAAATATGAAAATGAGACCCAGAGATAATCCAGAGTGAGCACTGGGTAACCTCAGATGGGCTAGAATTCGTACAATGCTAGAAACGGCTCCCTCTGTCCTCTGCCTCAGGTGAGCAGTGCCAGCTTCGGGACTTCTGTTCAGCCAACCCATGTGTTAATGGAGGGGTGTGTCTGGCCACATACCCCCAGATCCAGTGCCACTGCCCACCGGGCTTCGAGGGCCATGCCTGTGAACGTGATGTCAACGAGTGCTTCCAGGACCCAGGACCCTGCCCCAAAGGCACCTCCTGCCATAACACCCTGGGCTCCTTCCAGTGCCTCTGCCCTGTGGGGCAGGAGGGTCCACGTTGTGAGCTGCGGGCAGGACCCTGCCCTCCTAGGGGCTGTTCGAATGGGGGCACCTGCCAGCTGATGCCAGAGAAAGACTCCACCTTTCACCTCTGCCTCTGTCCCCCAGGTGTGTCCTCACAGGGGCTCTCCGGCCGCCCCTCTCTCTGGGCAGGGCAGGATGTCTCCGTTGGAGCCTCCTCCCACAGCTGATCCATGACCCTGTCAGGTTTCATAGGCCCAGACTGTGAGGTGAATCCAGACAACTGTGTCAGCCACCAGTGTCAGAATGGGGGCACTTGCCAGGATGGGCTGGACACCTACACCTGCCTCTGCCCAGAAACCTGGACAGGTGAGTTGTTTAAGCCACATCCATGACACCCATGGCCCAGAGAGTTGGCCCCTGGCCTCCCCTACTCATAGGGCTCCCAGCCTTAGCCCTCGTCCCCTCCCCAACCCCCTGCAGGCTGGGACTGCTCCGAAGATGTGGATGAGTGTGAGACCCAGGGTCCCCCTCACTGCAGAAACGGGGGCACCTGCCAGAACTCTGCTGGTAGCTTTCACTGCGTGTGTGTGAGTGGCTGGGGCGGCACAAGCTGTGAGGAGAACCTGGATGACTGTATTGCTGCCACCTGTGCCCCGGGATCCACCTGCATTGACCGGGTGGGCTCTTTCTCCTGCCTCTGCCCACCTGGACGCACAGGTATGGGGGTAGAGGGTATCAGGAGGTGGGAGGTAGAGAAGGAGGGTGAGAGAAGCACCAGGAGGACTGCTAGGAGCTTCAAGTGGCCTTTGAGAGCCTCACCCCCTCTTACCCCTCCAGGACTCCTGTGCCACTTGGAAGACATGTGTCTGAGCCAGCCGTGCCATGGGGATGCCCAATGCAGCACCAACCCCCTCACAGGCTCCACACTCTGCCTGTGTCAGCCTGGCTATTCGGGGCCCACCTGCCACCAGGACCTGGACGAGTGTCTGATGGGTGAGGCCACTCCCACTTCAGAGCCTCTCTGAGCCTCAGACAGGCCTCTGCACTGAAGACAGAAAAGGGCAGATTGCTTTTCCAATTAAAAAACCAAACATCTTTTTCCTTGAATTTGCCCAGATTTGGCATCTCTTGCCTACATGACCCTCTCTCCAATGTTCAGCCCCTCAGTCCCCATGAGTTTGGTCCCTTATTTCCTTTCCATCTTAAAGACACAAGCCCCTTCCCCAATTTGGTCTCGTCTGCCACACGCAGGCCCCCACACCTTCCCTGACAGTCTCACCTCCTTGCCCTTCCTGCCCTGACCCCTGTGGACTCCCAGCTCTTCTCTCCTCCCAGCCCAGCAAGGCCCAAGTCCCTGTGAACATGGCGGTTCCTGCCTCAACACTCCTGGCTCCTTCAACTGCCTCTGTCCACCTGGCTACACAGGCTCCCGTTGTGAGGCTGATCACAATGAGTGCCTCTCCCAGCCCTGCCACCCAGGAAGCACCTGTCTGGACCTACTTGCCACCTTCCACTGCCTCTGCCCGCCAGGTATCAGCTGGATGGGGCCTTGGGTGGGGAAAACAGGGAACTAGTCCTGAACCCACTAGGAATGCCCCCTCCAGAGTAAGGACAGCTTCAGGCCAATTGGCGTAAGTTACCACAGATGCTTCTCTCTCTACCCCCAGACGAAAACTCAGGGACACCCAAGACCCCTAGGAGAGGGGTTACCACAGATGGTAGTGAGGTTATGCATTCCTCAACTTGGGGGGAAGCTGCCATTCATTTCATAGTCATCATAGAGGCTGCACAACCTGGTCCACTGTACACAGCAGCCCAGCAAGAGAGGGTAGAAGAGCAGTTCATAAACTTTCTGTGCTGCAGCCTTTGCTCAGGTCAACCCAGAATGCTCCCTCTGATTATAGAAACTCTCCCATGTAGAGATTCAAGGTAATCCCTTAAAATCCCAAAAGCCCTGTGATACAACAGGAAAATTTGGTACAACAAGAAAAAAATTGCTGCAAGACAGCACCCACCTCCAGGCTAGTTTTAAGGGGGAAAAGTCGCCCCAGGGAGACAGCAACAGAGCCAACATCAAGGAGTTGAATGAAATCAGAAAAATAATCGCCAACTTTATGCCAGGTACTGTCTGAGCATCTTACAGGCATTGTCTCATCTACTTATTACAATAACCCTATGAGGTCAGCACTGCCCATTTTATAACTGAAGAAACTGAGGCACAGAGAGTTTAAGTGACTTGTCCAAGGTCACCCAGCTAGCAAGTGGCAGAGCTGAGATTCAAACCAAGGGCTTCAACAATTATAACCACTACCCCATATTGACTTTCTAAACTGAGCGGCACCCAAAGATACTGGCTCAGGTCACCCAACAGACAATCATAGAGAAATAAGAGAAAACGGTTCGGTAACCCAAGGGACAACATTGTAGATATCAAGGAGCTTCAGAAGCAGACTCCTCAGGCAAGAAAAGAAAGGAAGCCAAGGTCCAGAGGTTGATCCCACCTCAATTCAGGATGAAACAGTGGAGACCAGGATGAACCCAAAGCAACGGGACAAATATAGGAGCAACAAGCTTCCCAGATGCACTTCAAATTCCTCCACTTTGGGATCTCTGTTCTCCCTAGCATGGAGGCCCACCCAGGGAGAACAAGAAGCGGGACTCATTCTCCAAGCCAATTTGTTCCTATTTGTACCTTGAGGTCCTCCAGGCTGATCAGCCTGCCCTGGTGAGCCCCGCCCTCTGTATACACAGGAATGGCCACCAGAAAGCCTTGTAGTCCTCCCGCAGGTCCCCAGCAAGCACCCTGTTCCCTGGCCTTTCACACCTCAAGGAGCAGGGCCACACACTGCGAAGCAGCAGGGCCTCAGGGTTCATCTTATTCAACCCCATGCAGACAGCACCTCGGGGGAGGACCGCCTGAGTGGGGCAAGTCAGGAGCAGGGCCGATTCTAGAACACAGGTCTCCCAGGCAGACCTGGCTGAGCCACAGCCCTCATGGTCCCCATGTCCCCAGGCTTAGAAGGGCAGCTCTGTGAGGTGGAGACCAACGAGTGTGCCTCAGCTCCCTGCCTGAACCACGCGGATTGCCATGACCTGCTCAACGGCTTCCAGTGCATCTGCCTGCCTGGTGAGTACAGATGCCTCTCTGGCCACCCTCAGACCCCAGGCCTCTGAACCTGCAGAGTTCAGGCTCAGCAATCACCCAAGGCCACTTGAAGCTCTCTCTAGCCAAGCCAAGGAGTCCTCCAAATCTGTCTTTGCTCCCCAAAATCTCTACTCTTACATCCCCAAATCTTCCCTTGCTTACTTGCCCATTCTCATCTCTGTCCTACCAAATCACCCAAAGATCCCTCCTTTCCAGTCCTCCTGCACAGCCTCTGTGTATGCATGTTGAGGTCCCAGGCTGGTCTTGGCACTCTCATCATAAACCCAGCAAAAGCTGCCCCAAGCCTTTCTTCTCCAGCCTCACCGGACACTCCTCTGTCCCCTGCTATTATAATAACTACACTTATTCACCACTTACTCCAGGCTAGCCATTTGGCTGAGTACTTTTCAGGCGTTATGTCATTTAATCTTTTTAACAGTACCATGAGGTAGGTTCCATTATTATTCCCCTTTTACACAGAACAGGAAACTGGGGCCTAGAGGGTTGACCAGCTTGCCCAAAGTCACACAGCTGGCAGGTGGCTGAGCTTCACCTTTTCTGCATCATCTCCTGTCACCCCACGCTCACCTGCCCCAGGTGTCTTCTCTGGGAAGCTCTGCAAGTTCACCTTTCCTGGCAAGGGAAGGCGCCATGCTGTGCCTCCCTCGATGACCTTGGCCTCCTCTCCCCACCCACTTCCGCCCCACCAGGATTCTCCGGCACCCGATGTGAGGAGGATATCGATGAGTGCAGAAGCTCTCCCTGTGCCAATGGTGGGCAGTGCCAGGACCAGCCTGGAGCCTTCCACTGCAAGTGTCTCCCAGGTAAACTGGGGCACACACTGTGGGGGACAGCGGGAGCAGGAGGCAGACATCCGTGCAGGTCCCTGACCTTCCTGCTGTGCCACAGGCTTTGAAGGGCCACGCTGTCAAACAGAGGTGGATGAGTGCCTGAGTGACCCATGTCCCGTTGGAGCCAGCTGCCTTGATCTTCCAGGAGCCTTCTTTTGCCTCTGCCCCTCTGGTTTCACAGGTTCACAGGGGAGGCACTGGAAAGAACTGGCAGAATATTTTATTCCATTTGGGTTGGGGCAGAGTTCATTGGTGGGTGTTTGATGGTTGGGATGTGAGAATAGAATGAGAATGGTATCCTTTAAAGTTATTTAGTGTAAAACCTGCACAATTGTACAACCATGGGGACAAGGGCAGGGGTTACCGTAGGGCCCACATGGGCCCAGTGTAAATGGTGTGATTGCGGCTTGGGAGCAGAGGACGGGGCTCAAAGAAAAGGCATTCACTTGCTTATTTAGCAAGCACTTACCAACTGCCTACTATGCCAGATACGGAGGCAAATCTGAGTAAGACAGTTGCCATCTTCATGTGACTTTAAGTCTAATACAGAGAGACCAACAAGTCTCCTGTTGATCATAGCCCACAGAGGTGCTCTGAGAGAAAAACGTGCAGGATATTACAAGAGCACAGAGGACCAGCCAACCCAGACTAAAAATGGAGGAGGTGATGGCTGAGATGAGTCTTGAAAGATAAGCAGAGGCTGGGCGTGGTGGCTCACGCCTATAGTCCCAGCACTTCGGGAAGCCGAGGCGGGTGGATCACCCGAGATTAGGAGTTCGAGATCAGCCTGGCCAACATGGTGAAACCTCGTCTCTATTAAAAATACAAAAATTACACTTTGGGAGGCCGAGGCGGGTGGATCATGAGGTCAGGAGATCGACACTATCCTGGCTAACACGGTGAAACCCCATCTCAACTAAAAATACAAAAAAATAACTGGGCGTGGTGGCGGGCGCCTATAGTCCCAGCTACTCCAGAGGCTGAGGCAGGAGAATGGCGTGAACCCGGGAGGCGGAGCTTGCAGTGAGCTGAGATCACGCCACTGCACTCCAGCCTGGGTGGCAGAGTAAGACTCCACCTCAAAAAAAAAAAAAAATACAAAAATTAGCCAGGCGTGGTGGCGGGCGCCTGCAATCCCAGCTATTGGGGAGGCTGAGGCAAGAGAATCGCTTGAACCTGGGAAGCAGTGGTTGCAGTGAGCTGAGATCACTCCACTGCACTCCAGCCTGGGTGACAGAGCAAGATTCCATCTCAAAAAAAAAAGAAGGAAGGAAGGAAGGAAAGAAGGAAGGAAGGAGAGAAGGGAAGGAAAGGAAGGAAAGGAGGAAATGAGGAAAGAGAGAAAGATAGAAAGATGGATGGTCAGGAGTCTGTCTAAATAGAGTGCCAGATAGTGTGTTTTAGCTGGAGATAACTGCATGTGCAAAGACACAGATGGAAGAAAAGCCCACCCCATTTAAGGAACTGTAAGAAAGTCAGAGTTAAGGGTACAGCAAGGCAAAGATGAGAAACACAGCTGTTGTACAAATGTCATGTCCTGCAGGACTCTGCATATCATTCTGAGAAAGTTAAACAATATCTTAAAGGCAATAGGGACCCATTGAAGGACAGGTTCATGGGTTCATAGGGAGTGAGTAAGGCAAGCATAAGAAGTGGCTTTGGCCCAATGAAGGATGTGGCTTTGGCCCAATGAAGGATGTGGAGGAGCTGTTTTCTTTTTGACCCATCTTCCCACCCCAGGCCAGCTCTGTGAGGTTCCCCTGTGTGCTCCCAACCTGTGCCAGCCCAAGCAGATATGTAAGGACCAGAAAGACAAGGCCAACTGCCTCTGTCCTGATGGAAGCCCTGGCTGTGCCCCACCTGAGGACAACTGCACCTGCCACCACGGGCACTGCCAGAGGTAACATCTTCCAGACCCTCCCCATCTGCCCCCTCCTTTGGGCTCCCTTCGCTAGGACAGGAGAAGACAGCCAGTGAGATGTAGGTCTGTGAGAAATGACCAATGGGGAAAAGGAAGGAGATGGCAAAGTTCTTAGGGCAAGGCAGTGGGAGGGCTCAACTGGTAAGTGTTATCCAAGGAGAAGAGAGTCCACAAAAACTGGTGGAAACAGAGGACCAGGGGGTCAGAGCAGAAAGAAGAGCACTAAATCCCAGGGCGAATTAATCATTCATTAGAAAAATATCTGCTGAGGCCAGGCGCAGTGCTGATTACGGTCTCATGCCGGTAATCCCAGCACTTTGGGAGGCCGAGGTGGGCGGATCACCTGAGATCAGCAGTTCAACATCAGCCTGGCCAACATGGTGAAACCCTGTAGCTACTAAAAATGCAAAAATTAGCTGGGCATGGTGGCGCACCTGTAATCCCAGCTACTTGGGAGGCTGAAGCGGAAGGATCACTTGAACCCAAGAGGCGGAGGTTGCAGTCAGCCAAGATCATGCCACTGCACTCCAGCCTGGGTGACAGAGCAAGACTCCGTCTCAAAAAAAAAAAAAATCTGCTGAGCACCTACTTTGTGTGGCTACTGTTCCAGGCCCTGGGGGAAACACAAAGCAAAAGAGATAAAGCAACTGCTCTCGTAGAGCTTTCATTCTAAAGAAAGACAGAAAATAAGTAAGTTACAGAAAGAATATATATGTGTGTGTATATATATATATATATATCTCCAACTAGATATATAGATGCATATATCTAGTTGGAGAAAATGAGCAGGTGTTGGGGAGGATGGGGGCGGTGCTGAGAGCAAAGTCACTGAAGAAAGAGGCCAGAATCTCAGGGCCAAAAGAAGAGGAAGTCATAGGGGTCCAGGCAGCAGGGAGGGGAACATAAGCAGTAGGAGAAGAGAAAAACCCTCCCCTTTCTCTTTACAACCAGATCCTCATGTGTGTGTGACGTGGGTTGGACGGGGCCAGAGTGTGAGGCAGAGCTAGGGGGCTGCATCTCTGCACCCTGTGCCCATGGGGGGACCTGCTACCCCCAGCCCTCTGGCTACAACTGCACCTGCCCTACAGGCTACACAGGTGAGACCCTCCCTAAACCATATACACCCTGTGCTGGTCACCCCCTATGTCAAGGGTAAGGCAGGCGACCACGGGCCCTGAGTCTCAGTCACCACTAAGGAGAACTGGACTGCAGGGGACACGGGTGATGTGTGGGAGGTGGTGAGAACGGAGGTTGATGGGAAAGAATAATAGGGTTGGGGATGAGGAAGGGAAGGAAGAGGAAAGAGAAGGAGAGCGGAGGGAGGGAAGGAGGACACCCTTTCTCAGCCCCCACCTGTTTCCTTCAGGACCCACCTGTAGTGAGGAGATGACAGCTTGTCACTCAGGGCCATGTCTCAATGGCGGCTCCTGCAACCCTAGCCCTGGAGGCTACTACTGCACCTGCCCTCCAAGCCACACAGGGCCCCAGTGCCAAACCAGCACTGACTACTGTGTGTCTGGTGAGTGCCCACTGTGTCATGGGGCTGGGGTCCACAGGAGAATGGAAGAACTAAGGAGGGTATGCTTGTGTCATATTTTTTAAAATTTAATTGAACAGACCAGCCTGGGAAACATAATGAAACTCCATCTCTAAATTAGCTGGGCACACAGTGGCTAAGGCCTGTAGTCTCAAATACTTGGGAGGCTAAGGTGGGAGGATGACTTGAGCCCAGAAGGTTAAGACTGCAGTGAGCTCTGATGGCACCACTGCCTGGGTAACAGAGCAAGACCCTATCTAAAAACAATAAAATATCATATAAATAAAAATTAATTGGATGGCAGTGAGCTGTCGTTTTGATGGGGGTGGGGGGTGTATGTCCTATGTACAGTGTGACTGAGGTCACAGGCCAGGTTACAGGCAAGGAACCCAAACCCTCACAGCCTCCTCTCTCCAGCCCCGTGCTTCAATGGGGGTACCTGTGTGAACAGGCCTGGCACCTTCTCCTGCCTCTGTGCCATGGGCTTCCAGGGCCCGCGCTGTGAGGGAAAGCTCCGCCCCAGCTGTGCAGACAGGTGAGCAGGGCCCAAAGACCCCTAGAAGGGAGAAAACCCCTCAGCCTTCCCACCCCTCCTCTCATCTCCCCCTGGGTTCCAGGCTGCCTCCCACCCCACACCTCGTTCCGCCTTCCCTCCTGGCTTGCCACCTCCCTGTGGTTGCCTCCCGACAATATCACACACTACCTTCCCCTTGTTGCCCGAACTTCTTCCTATCATGCCCTGTCTCTGTCTTGTTCAGCCCCTGTAGGAATAGGGCAACCTGCCAGGACAGCCCTCAGGGTCCCCGCTGCCTCTGCCCCACTGGCTACACCGGAGGCAGCTGCCAGGTGAGGGCCATTGAAGTCAGGCGTGCTGAGGAGGGAAGTGGCTGGGAGGGAAACCAGGGAGGGTCACCTGGTCCCAGGCCATTCAGGAGAAGGTTTTTGAAGTAAGGGATTTCGAGGAGCTGGAGTGGGCAGAGGACCATCTCTGGGCTGAGAATCTGATGCTATGTCCTGCCTCACGCTCCCTCCCACCCCTCAGACTCTGATGGACTTATGTGCCCAGAAGCCCTGCCCACGCAATTCCCACTGCCTCCAGACTGGGCCCTCCTTCCACTGCTTGTGCCTCCAGGGATGGACCGGGCCTCTCTGCAACCTTCCACTGTCCTCCTGCCAGAAGGCTGCACTGAGCCAAGGTAACCAACGCCGGCACTGACTGGAGAGCAAATGAAGAAAATATGGGTGTTCTCACCTGCCCCGTTCCTGTGGGCTTCCACACAGCTTTTGGCCAAAACAACCACCTGAGAATCAAAACCACACAGACAAATCAGTTCTTGATTGCAGAGGTGTTGAATTGTGCAATCAGAGAAGCCTAACACAATTCCTGTTACCTCATTTAACGCAATTCAAGCAACACCAACCAGCCCATTCCACAGGATTCCAGTTTAACCCAACCATGAGGGACATGACTCAACGTGGAGCAACTCAACTCTGTCCTGATCATCATAACCCAGGCAGAGTGGACCACACTTAATCCAGCTACACTCAACACATTTCACCCCACCCCACTCACTTCGATGTCACGCCACCCTCTTTGTAAAAGAACACTAAAATAAGGTTTGATATGAGAAGAGCTCGGGAAAGAGATTATGATGGAGTTAAGGGATAGCTGATGGGAATCACAGGGAGAGAACATTAAAGGAATGCAGAACTCAGGGGACAGACTTAAGCCACTTGTCCTCACTTGAGGCATACCTTGAATTATTTCTTGCTCAAGCCTTGCTTTAAGCCAAGAAAACAGTTGCTTTAACATTATGATAAGCTTTAGGGGTATGTCTCCAATATTCTGGCAGAAAGGGTGAGGAGAGAGGTAAAACTCGATGGTCTAATTTCTTCAGTGCCAGGAGTTATTAACTCCTTGGGCCCAGACCAGTCTCCACCCAGGAATGTTAGTGGTCCCCAAGGTAAAGGCCTCTACACCCAGAGATTGGGCCCTGAATACACCCTTCCTCCTCCTCACATACCTTATTTATTTATTTATTTATTTATTTATTTATTTATTTATTTATTTTTGAGATGGAGTCCCAGTCTGTCACCCAGGGTGGAGTGCAGTGGCACGATCTCGGCTCACTGCAACCTTCACCTCCTAGGTTCAAGTGATTCTCCTGCCTCAGCTTCCCAAGTAGCTGGGATTCGTGTGCCACCATGCCCAGCTAATTTTTTTTTTTTTGTATTTTTAGTAGAGATGGGGTTTCATTATGTTGGCCAGACTGGTCTCGAACTCCTAACCTCAGTGATCCACCCGTCTCAGCCTCCCAAAGTGCTGGAATTACAGGTGTGAGCCACCACGCCCGGCCACATCCCCATTTACCGTTTCTGTTTGTTTGTTTGTTTGTTTGTTTGTTTGAGATGGAGTCTTGCCCTATAGCCCAGGCTGGAGTGCAATGGCACGATTTTGGCTCACTACAACCTGCGCTGCCCAGGTTCAAGTGATTCTCCTGCCTCAGCCTCCCAAGTAGCTGGGATTACAGGTGCCTGCCACAACGCCCGACCAATTTTTTGTATTTTTAGTAGAGACGGGGTTTCCCCATGTTTGCCAGGCTGGTCTCACACTCCTAACCTGGTGATCCACCTGCCTCGGCCTCCCAAAGTGCTGGGATTACAGGCGTGAGCCATGGCGCCCGGCCCCCCACTTATCTTTGTATATCCCTGTTTGTCTCTCTCCCCAGGCATAGACGTCTCTTCCCTTTGCCACAATGGAGGCCTCTGTGTCGACAGCGGCCCCTCCTATTTCTGCCACTGCCCCCCTGGATTCCAAGGCAGCCTGTGCCAGGATCACGTGAACCCATGTGAGTCCAGGCCTTGCCAGAACGGGGCCACCTGCATGGCCCAGCCCAGTGGGTATCTCTGCCAGGTGAGAGGGTCTGCAGGAGAAGGGGGAGGAAAGACAAGGGTGGGCTGGATGGGAGAGACAGTAGTGACTGAGGGAAGACCCAATGTATCCATTTCACCTCCTTTTATTTTTTTTAACCCCACACACCCAACTAACCACAAAGTCATGCCACTTTATCTCCTGAAGTTTTCTCAAGTCTGTGCTTTCACCTTCACCCTTTGTCCCACTGCCTGAGTCCTGACCTTTGTTGCGTTCCAGATAGATACTTGCATCAGCCTCCTAACTACAGTCTCTGCCTCCACACTTGTCCTTCTATAGGTTCAGCCTTTACCCCGTGGCCAGGGTACTCTACTGAAAATGTCCAGTTGACCTGTCTCTCCCCTGCTGAACCTTCGGAGGCTGCCCGCCTCATTCTGAATAAAGTCCAAGGCCTGCATGACCCAGCCCTGCCTGCCTCTCAGGCCTCAGCTCTCCCCATCCCACCCTTCTACTCTCTGCTCCAGCAACATGAAACTGCTGCTGACTTTGCCACGTACCCCATACTGATTCTTGCCTCTCAGCCTTTATCCCTGCTATTGACACTACCTGGAATGGCCTTCCCAACCCCTCTTCCACAGGCTGGTGTTCAGGAGGCATCTTCTTCAGGAAGGTGTCCCTAACTTCTCCCCAGGCTGGATTAGGGCCTCTTCTTTGTGGTCCAGGTCACTAAGCCAGGAGAGGCAAAGCTGGCATTCAAGTCTAAGCAGCCTGATTCATATGCTCAGAACCACAACTTTTTTGTGTGTGTGGTTGCCATTTTATTTTCTTTTGTTATTGACAAACGGTAGTCATACGTATCTATGGGGTACATGTGAGTTTTTTGGTTTCTTTTTTTTTTTTCTCTCGTTTTTGGAGACAGAGTCGCTCTATCCCCCAGGCTGAAGTGCAGTGGCATGATCTTGGCTCACTGAAACCCCCGCCTCCCAGGTTCAAGCAGTTCTCATGTCTCAGCCTCCCGAGTAGCTGGGATTACAGGAACGCGCCACCACGCCTGGCTAATTTTTGTATTTTTAGTAGAGATGGGGTTTCACCATGTTGGGCAGGCTGGTCTCAGAACTCCTGACCTAAAGTGATCCACCCACTCAGCCTGCCAAAGTGATAAGATTACAGGTATGAGCCACCGCACCTGGACACATGTGATATTTTGATACATGCATACAATGTATCATGATCAAATCAGGGTAATTGGGATATCTATCATCTCAAACATCATTTCTTTGTGTTGAGAACATTTCAAATCTTCTCTTCTAGTTATTTTGAAATACAAATTGTTAACTATCACCATCCTTCTCTGCTATCTAACACTAGAACTTATTCCTTCTATATGACCATAATTTTGTATCCATTAACCAACCTCTCTTCATCTCCCCCTCCCTGCCACC
Source organism: Homo sapiens (assembly GCF_000001405.40). Lineage (NCBI taxonomy): Eukaryota > Metazoa > Chordata > Mammalia > Primates > Hominidae > Homo > Homo sapiens. The sequence goes on along the minus strand of NT_167249.2, from coordinate 3,525,561 downwards.
CTTTCTAACCTCTGGTAACCATCATTCTACCCTACTTCCATGAGACTAACTTTTTTAGCTCCCACATATGAGTGAGGAGCAATATTACACATGCAATAGGAGGCTGATGCAAGTATCTACCTGGAATGCAAGAAAGGTCAGGACTAACTAAGGCAGTGGCACAAAGGTGAAGGTGAGAGACATGCAATATTTGTCTTTCCGTGCCTGGCTTATTTCACTTAACATAATGTCCTTCAGTTTCATCCATGTTGCTGAAAATGATAGGATTTCATTCTTTTTCTGGCTGAATAATATTCCATTGTGTCTATATGACACAGTTTCTTTTTTCCATTCATTTGTTGATGGCACTTCAGTTAATTCCATATGTTAGCTATTGTGAACAGTGCTGCAATAAATATGGGGATGCAGATATCTCTTCAAGATACTGATTTCCTTTGGATATGTAATGAACAGTAGATTGATCACATGGTAGATCTATTTTTAATTTTTGAGAAACTTCCATACTTTTCTCCATACTGGCTGTGTTAGTTTACATTCCCACCAACAGTGTATGAGGGTTCCCCTTTCTCTGCATCCTTGCCAGCATCTGCTATTTTTTGCATTTTTTTTCCTTTTTTGAGACAGAGTCTTGCTGTGTTGCCCAGGCTGGATCACAGTGACTTGATCTCAGCTCACTGCAACCTCTGCCTCCCAGATTCAAGCGATTCTTGTACTTCAGCCTCCCAAGTAACTGGGATCACAGGCGTGGACCACCATGCTTGGCTAATTTTTTGTATTTTTAGTAGAGATGGGGTTTCACCATGTTGGCCAGGATGGTCTCGAACTCCTGACCTCAAATGATCTTCCCGCCTCAACCTCTGAAAGTGCTGGGATTACAGGCATGGGCCACCACACTTGGCCCTTGTGTTTTCAATAATAGCCACTTTAACTGGTGTGAGATGATATCTCATTGTGGTTTTGATTTACATTTCCCTGATTTGCATCCATATACCTGTTGGCCATTTGTATGTCTTCTTTTGAGAAATGTCTGTTCAGATAATTTGCTCATTTTTTAAACCACATTATTTGTCGGTGGTGGTAGTGGTGGTGTTTGCTGTTGAGTTCCTTATACGTTCTGATTATTAATCCCTTGTCAGACAGTTTGCAAATATTTTCTTCTATTCTGTAGGTTGCCTCTTCACTCCATTAATTGTTTCCTTTGCTGCACAGACACTTTTTAGCTTGATGTAATCACATTTGTCTGTTGTTGCCTTTGTTGCCTGGCTGTTGAGGTCTTACCCAAAAAACTTTTGCCCAGACCAATGTCTTGAAGCATTTCCCAAATGATTTTTTTTTTTTTTTTTGAGAAGGAGTCTTGCACCGTCGCCTGGGCTGGAGTGCAGTGGCGCAAATTTGACTCACTGCAACCTTTGCCTCCTGGGTTCAAGCGATTCTCCTGCCTTAGCCTCCCAAATAGCTGGAATTTACAGGTGCCCACCACCACGCCCAGCTATTTTTTTGTATTTTTAGTAGAGACGGGGTTTCACCATGTTGGCCAGGCTGGTCTCAAACTCCTGACCTTGTGTTTGAGGATTACAGGTGTGACCCACCGTGCCCGGCTGAATTTTTTTTTTAGTGGCTTCAAGTTTCCAGCTGTACATGTAAGGCTTTAATCTATTTTGTATATGATGACAGATAGAGATTTAGTTTCTTTTTTTCTTTTTTTTTGGGGGGGGGATAGAGTCTTGCTCTGTTGCCCTGTTGCCCAGTCTGGAGTGCAGTGGTATGATCTCAGCTCACTGCAACCTCCACCTCCCAAGTTCAACTGATTCTCCTGCCTCAGCCTCCTGAGTAGCTGGAACTACAGGTGCACACCACTACGCCCGGCTAATTTTTGTAATTTTAGTAGAGATGGGGTTTCACCATATTGGTCAGGCTGGTTTCAAACTCCTGACCTCAGGTGATCCACCCACCTCCGCCTCCCAAAGTGCTGGGATTACAGGCGTGAGCCACCCCGCCCGGCCTAGGTTTAGTTTCTTCTGCATATGGATATCCAGTTTTCCCAGCACAATTTATTGAAGAGAGTGTCCTTTCCCCAGTGTGTGTACTTGGTGCCTTTGTTGAAAGTAAGTTGGCTGGCCGGGAGTGGTGGCTCATGCCTGTAATCCCAGCATTTTGGGAGACCGAGGCGGGCAGATCACAAGGTCAGGAGTTCGAGACCAGCCTGACCAACATAGTGAAACCCCCGTCTCTACTAAAAATACAAAAATTAGCCAGGCATGGTGGTGCGCACCTGTAATCCCAGCTACTCAGGAGGCTGAGGCAGGAGAATCGCTTGAACCCAGGAGGTGGAGGTTGCAGTGAGCCAGATCGTGCCATTGCACTCCAGCCTGGCAACAGAGCAAGACTCCATCTCAAAAAAAAAAAAAGGAAAGAAAAGAAAAAAGAAAGTAAGTTGGCTGTTAAATGTTTGGACTTGTTTTTCTGGGCTCTCTATTACATTCCATTGGTCTATGTGTCTGTTTTTTATGCCAGCACCATGCTGTTTTGGTTACTATAGCTTTATAGTATATTTTTAAGTTAGGTAGTGTGGTACCTCTAGCTTTGTTCTTTTTGCTCAGGACTGCTTTGGCTATTTGGGTCTTTTACAGTTCAGATAAATTTTAGGGTTGTTTTTTCTATTTCTGTAAAGAATATTATTGGTATTTTCATAGGGGTTGCATGACTCTGTAGATCACTTTGGTAAGCACAGACATTTTAGCAGTATTCATTCTTCCAATCCATGAACACAGGATATCTTTCCATTTTTTTGTGTCCTCTTCAATTTATTTCATCAATGTTTTATAGCTGTCATTGCAGTACTCTTTCACTTCTTTGGTTAAATTTATTCATTTGTTTTTATTTTTTGTAACTATTATAAATGGGATTGCTTTCTTGATTTCTTTTTCTGATTGTTTGCTGTTAGCGTATAGAAATGCTACTACTTTTTCTACATTGATTTTGTATCCTACAGCTTTACTGAATTTGTTTATAACCAGTGTTTTCTTTAGGTTTTTCTAAATATAGGATTATGTCATCTGTGAACATGGATAATTTGAGTTCTTCTTTTGCAATTTGGATGCCCTTTATTTCTTTCTCCTGCCTAATTGCTCTGGCCAGGACTTCCAGTATTACCTTGAATAAAAATAGTGAAAGTGAGCATCCTTGTCTTGTTCCAGATCTTAGAGGAAAGGCTTTCAACTTTTCCCCATTCAATATGATGTTAGCTGTGGGTTTGTCATATATGGCTTTTATTATTTTGAGATATAGAACCACAGCTTTTTTTTTTTGAGACAGAGTCTTGCTCTGTCACTCAGGCTGGAATGTAGTGGTGCAATCTCAGCTCACTGCAACCTCTACCTCCCGGGCTCAAGCAATTCACCTGCCTCAGCCTCCCCAGTAGCTGGGATTACAGGTGCCTGCCACCACACCTAGCTAATTTTGTGTATGTGTGTATTTTTAGTAGAGATGGGGTTTCACCATGTTGGCCAGGCTGGTCTCAAAATCCTGACCTCAAGTGATCCACCCGCCTTGACCTCCCAAACTGCTGGGATTACAGGCGTGAGCCACCGTGCCCGGCCAGAACCACAACTTTTGATAGAAGGCTCAAGACAGATACCCTAACCTACCCTCTTTTTTCACTTTTTTATTTTATTTTTTAACCTTTTATTATGAACATTTTCAAACATAAACAAAAGCAGTATACTGATCAGTAGTAAACCTCTGGGCACCCATTACTCAGCTTTACTTATTCTTTTTTTTTTTTTTTTTTTTTTTTTTGAGACAGCATCTCACTCTGTTGCCCCGGCTAGAGTACAGTGGCGCGATCTCGGTTCACTGCAACCTCTGCCTCCCGGGTTCAAGCGGTTCTCCTGCCTCAGCCTCCTGAGTAGCTGGGACTACAGGGACATGCCACCATGCCCGGCTAATTTTTGTATTTATAGTAGAGATGGAGTTTCACCATATTGGCCAGGCTGGTCTCGAACTCCTGACCTCGTGATCTGCCCACCTCAGCCTACCAAAGTGCTGGGATTACAGGCGTGAGCCACCGCACCCGGCTATTTACTTCTTCTTTTATGAAGCTCCCTCCTCCAAAACACCCCCATCACCTGTTCCTTCCAGCTCTCTGACCACTCCTTGGATTCTCTGTGAATTCCCTTTTCTCTCTTTGAAGCCTGCCTTCCTGGTACTGTACTCTTGCACACTCTCTTTCCTCTTGCAAGAAGCCAGCACGTGGTACAGATCTTGCCAATGACCCTTCTCTCACTAGCTGAGTGGCATGAAGAAGCAGAAAATGGTTAAGAGCATTGGTTTGGAGTCACAGACCTTCATTGATTCCCAGCTCTGCCACCTATAGCTATTTGACTTGCACAAGTCACTAACCTTTCAGAGACTCAGCTTCCTTACGTGCAAAGTAAAAATCGAATGAGATAACCCAAATAAAATGTCATTAGGGGGATTTTTAGGTTATGTATATAAATCATGCAATAAATGCTAGTCATTTCTTTCCTCTGGTTGACTGAGAGCTTCCAGGAAATAGGAATGGGTTCTAACTTTCTTTGTATTCCTAGTGCCTAAAACGGTGCCTGACACAAAGTAGGCACTCAATAGATGCTTATGAATTAATAAAGTATGAGAGAGCCTGGTAGGTATTTAGCAGGGGAGGAAGGTTTTACCAAAAATGGTGCTGTGTTTGGTGGCAGTGTGTCATAGAGATTGTTTGGGACTGGGGAAGTTTGAGTTGTGTGTCGCCAACAATTGTGTCTCATGGGGAGTTGAGATAGAAGGATTGTGACACATGGCCATGATGGATGGTGAGTTGAGTGATGCTGTTGAGCTGGAAGGTGGGGGACTGGACAGACTATCTTGAGCTGGGTCCCTTGTAGTGCTGGGTTGGGCTCATCCACTGGTTCCCTGTCTAATCCTCTTTGTCTGCAGTGTGCCCCAGGCTACGATGGACAGAACTGCTCAAAGGAACTCGATGCTTGTCAGTCCCAACCCTGTCACAACCATGGAACCTGTACTCCCAAACCTGGAGGCTTCCACTGTGCCTGCCCTCCAGGCTTTGTGGGGCTACGCTGTGAGGGAGACGTGGACGAGTGTCTGGACCAGCCCTGCCACCCCACAGGCACTGCAGCCTGCCACTCTCTGGCCAATGCCTTCTACTGCCAGTGTCTGCCTGGACACACAGGTGAGGCCCCAAGACAAGGGGCACAAGTGTGTCTGGAGCACAGCCAAGCAGACCATGGAGAGCCAGATAGTCTCCACCCATGCGGCAGCCGTCACCTGGTCCATCCCCTGCCTCCACGCCCACCCCCGCCCAGAAAAGATGCCCCAGGATCCCTTCACCTGCACATCTAGCACTGGGCCAACATCCAGGAATGAGCTAGGATGGAGGCAGTGACTGATGCAGTGTGTGACGTCTAATCTCCCCCATAATTACAGGCCAGTGGTGTGAGGTGGAGATAGACCCCTGCCACAGCCAACCCTGCTTTCATGGAGGGACCTGTGAGGCCACAGCAGGATCACCCCTGGGTTTCATCTGCCACTGCCCCAAGGCAAGTGACCACAAATCTGCCTTCTCTGTTGCCCCCTATGCTGACAAGGCAAGAATACCTCAGTTGGAATCCCAGAAGGGACTGTGGGTGAGCACTGATGTGGAAATTATTGGAAAAAGCCATGCCAAGCTCACAGTGGGAAGTGTCTCTCAGAAGCAGTCAAAGGCAAGGCAGGATCAGTTGATAGCATGAATGGAATTTTCAAAAATCACAGGCGTTGCCTAAGGGAAGGTCAGGAGCTCCCCAAGCTCAAGCTGCGTGGTGGGTGGCCTCAGATAGGTTATTTTAACTCTGTGTGTGTTTGTATATGTATTTATGGACCTCAGATGCATGGAATTAGACTAATCTTAAGCTTTGGTTCCTGATACACTGACATTGGTTTATGCCTGGTCTTCTTTTATTTTATTATTCTAACAATGTAACACCCATGAACCTAACCCAAGAATTTCAATATTAATAATAACTTACATCTACTTAAGTCCTCCTCCTGTATCCTGTTCCCTCTCCAGAGGAAGAGGAAGACATATGATCCTATTTCTAAGGAGTAAGATAATAATATAACAGCCGGCCGGGCACAGTGGCTCACGCCTGTAATCCCAGCACTTTGGGAGGCCGAGGCAGGCGGATCACCTGAGGTCGGGCATTCGAGACCAGCCTGACAAACATGGAGAAACCCTGTCTCTACTAAAAATACAAATTAGCTGGGCGTGGTGGTGCATGGCTGTAATCCCAGCTATTGGGAAGGCTGAGGCAGGAGAATTGCTTGAACCCGGGAGGCAGAGGTTGCAATGAGCTGAGATTGCACCATTGCACTCCAGCCTGGACAACAAGAGCGAAACTCTGTCTCAAAAATAATAATAATAATAATATAATAGCATTCTATTAACTGTTTAGTCTTCTAGGACTTGCACTGTAATGCCACAGTCCATCAGGTTGTTGCACACAGCTGTGCTTCATCCATTTTCAACAGAATGTAATATGTCATTGTGTGAAATTACCACAGGACATGGTTTCAACATCCACAAAATGATTAACTTGATGCTCTCTGAGGCGCCTTTTAGATATGAGAATCTAGGACCCTTGCACCGTCTTAACCCAAGAGTTTGCTTGATAGAGAGCGGGAAGAATAATGCAAGTTGCATCTCCAATATCTCCCCTCCCCTCCACAGGGTTTTGAAGGCCCCACCTGCAGCCACAGGGCCCCTTCCTGCGGCTTCCATCACTGCCACCACGGAGGCCTGTGTCTGCCCTCCCCTAAGCCAGGCTTCCCACCACGCTGTGCCTGCCTCAGTGGCTATGGGGGTCCTGACTGCCTGACCCCACCAGCTCCTAAAGGCTGTGGCCCTCCCTCCCCATGCCTATACAATGGCAGCTGCTCAGAGACCACGGGCTTGGGGGGCCCAGGCTTTCGATGCTCCTGCCCTCACAGCTCTCCAGGGCCCCGGTGTCAGAAACCCGGAGCCAAGGGGTGTGAGGGCAGAAGTGGAGATGGGGCCTGCGATGCTGGCTGCAGTGGCCCGGGAGGAAACTGGGATGGAGGGGACTGCTCTCTGGGAGTCCCAGACCCCTGGAAGGGCTGCCCCTCCCACTCTCGGTGCTGGCTTCTCTTCCGGGACGGGCAGTGCCACCCACAGTGTGACTCTGAAGAGTGTCTGTTTGATGGCTACGACTGTGAGACCCCTCCAGCCTGCACGTGAGCCTGAAATCCACTGGAGCCAGGGAAGGAGAGGGGTGGGTGAGAGGAGGAGGAAGGACGTAGATGGCTCTGAGTTACAGTGTGGCCACAGCCTTGGGCTCCAGGGAGTTTCCACCCTAATAACCATCACTAAACAGGGGTCGAAGACTCTGGACTCCAACCTAGGGTAATGGGGTGGCATCAGTATTTAATGTGGGGCGTGGCCTTTGGGCTCCTCTCTAAGAGTTGTAGGAACTCAGGTCTCAAGCCTCCTTCCCTAAGCCTTGCTGCCATGGGGTATTTCCCCTAGCAGTCAGCACCTCACAGAGGGAAAAGGGCCTGGGACTCTCCTTTAGAAACAGAGGAGAGCTTGGGAGGGTACAGAGAGGGGACAGTCTAGGGAGACAGGGGTGTTAGCAGACATTGGGGTGTCTGGACTACCATCCAGGACTTGACTAAGCTCATTGCTCCACAGCTGCCCCCACTTAGCAACCAAAGCCCTAGAGGGCACAAAATATGGGGAATTCTTTCTAGGGTGAAGAAAAGAGTCAGGTTTTAGGGAGGTCCTGAGTCCCCCTCTCCTTACCCCACAGTCCAGCCTATGACCAGTACTGCCATGATCACTTCCACAACGGGCACTGTGAGAAAGGCTGCAACACTGCAGAGTGTGGCTGGGATGGAGGTGACTGCAGGCCTGAAGATGGGGACCCAGAGTGGGGGCCCTCCCTGGCCCTGCTGGTGGTACTGAGCCCCCCAGCCCTAGACCAGCAGCTGTTTGCCCTGGCCCGGGTGCTGTCCCTGACTCTGAGGGTAGGACTCTGGGTAAGGAAGGATCGTGATGGCAGGGACATGGTGTACCCCTATCCTGGGGCCCGGGCTGAAGAAAAGCTAGGAGGAACTCGGGACCCCACCTATCAGGAGAGAGCAGCCCCTCAAACGCAGCCCCTGGGCAAGGAGACCGACTCCCTCAGTGCTGGGTAAGAAGCTAGGTGGAGGGAAGGGCCAGACACCAGTTTTTTTAAGAGGGCAGAGGGAGGAAAGGGAGCCAGGGACCAATACAGAGGTCTCTGAGGTGCCTCCTCTACAGGTTTGTGGTGGTCATGGGTGTGGATTTGTCCCGCTGTGGCCCTGACCACCCGGCATCCCGCTGTCCCTGGGACCCTGGGCTTCTACTCCGCTTCCTTGCTGCGATGGCTGCAGTGGGAGCCCTGGAGCCCCTGCTGCCTGGACCACTGCTGGCTGTCCACCCTCATGCAGGGACCGGTAGGTGACCCCTTGCCACTTTCTCTGACCTCTGTTCCCAGGCCAGCTCTCATGCTAGCAACAGGCAATGGAGGCTGAATCAAACAGGACAGCTGAGACTGAAAATGTTCTTTGTGGGGACTTACTTTCCCTAACCCCGCTTTCTCTAACTGAATCTCCCACTGGCCCATTTGTTCTACAGTCTCCTTCCTTATTTCCCTAAGCACATTATCCTAACCTCTGTCATAGCCCTCCAACAAAGGGATGGTTTATCTTCTCTACCAGACTGAGAATACCTAATAGTCTTTGTATCAGACAATTCATAGTACATGAAAGAATAATAGGCTGGGCGCAGTGGCTCATGCCTATAATCCCAGCACGTTGGGAGACCAAGGCAGGTGGATCACGAGGTCAGGAGATTGAGACCATCCTGGCTAATGCGGTGAAACCCTGTCTCTACTAAAAATAAAAAAATTAGCCGGCTGTGGTGGCGGGTGCTTGTAGTCTCAGCTACTCAGGAGGCTGAGGCAGGAGAATGGCGTGAACCTGGGAGGTGGAGCTTGCAGTGAGCCGAGATCGCGCCACTGCACTCCAGCCTGGGCGACAGAGGGAGACTCCATCTCAAAAAAAAAAAAAAGAAAAATAACTGCTATATCGTACTTTGTGCCTTACTCTAAGCATTTTACATTGTTACCTCATTTAATCCTCCCCCACAACCCCATGAGGCACGTACTGCTGGTTGAGTATCCCTTATCTGAAATGCTTGGGAACAAAAGTGTTTCAGATTTCGGATTTATTTTGGAATATTTGCATTATACTTACTGGTTCAGCATCCCTAATACAACATCCAAATGCTACAATGAGCATTTCCTTTGAGCGTTATGTTGGTACTCTAAAAGTTTCAGACTTTGGAACATTTCAGATTTGGGATTGGGGTTATGGATACTCAGCCTTTTTTTGTGTGTTTGTTTTCTGAGACAGTCTTACTCTGTCAGCCACACTGGAGTACAGTGACGCCATCTCAGCTCACTGCAACCTCTGCCTCCTGGGTTTAAGCAATTCTCTTGCTTCAGACTACTGAGTAGCTGGAATTACAATGGCATGCCACCATGCCCTGATAATTTTTTTTGTTTTTGTTTTGTTTTGTTTTGTTTTGTTTGAGACAGAGTCTTGCCTTGTCGCCCAGGCCGGAGTGCAGTGGCGCGATCTCGGCTCACTGCAAGCTCCACCTCCCAAGTTCACGCCATTCTCCTGCCTCAGCCTCCCAAGTAGCTGGGACTACAGGTGCCCGCCACCACACCTGGCTAATTTTTTGTATTTTTAGTAGAGACAGGGTTTCACCATGTTAGCCAGGATGGTCTCGATCTCCTGACCTCATGATCCACCCGCCTCAGCCTCCCAAAGTGCTGAGATTATAGGAGTAAGCCACTACACCCAGCCACTAATTTTTATATTTTTAGTAGAGAGGGGGTTTTGCCATGTTGGCCAGGCTGGTCTCGAACTCCTGGCCTCATATGATCCACCTGCCTCAGCTTCCCAAAGTGCTGGGATTACAGGCATGAGCCACTGTGCCCAACCTCAATCTATATTATCATCCCCATTTTGCAGATAAGGAAACCGAGGCAAAGACAGGCTACTAAACTTGTCCAAAGGTCTCCCAATAGTAATCAGTCTCACCAGGAGTGGCCTCTCTTTGTGACTCTGTCTCTCCCACCAGCACCCCCTGCCAACCAGCTTCCCTGGCCTGTGCTGTGCTCCCCAGTGGCCGGGGTGATTCTCCTGGCCCTAGGGGCTCTTCTCGTCCTCCAGCTCATCCGGCGTCGACGCCGAGAGCATGGAGCTCTCTGGCTGCCCCCTGGTTTCACTCGACGGCCTCGGACTCAGTCAGCTCCCCACCGACGCCGGCCCCCACTAGGCGAGGACAGCATTGGTCTCAAGTGAGAATGAGGAGAAACCCAGGCTCAGGAAGGGGAGTCTCTCCTATGGCGATATTTACAATCAGAAAAGATAAGAAATACTATTGCAGAAGTCAAAGATAGGGGAAGGAGAGAGGGGTGGGAAGCCTGCTGGAAATTTTGGAGACCCTGATGGTCATAATTCCGTGTAACCTCTACCCACCCATTCCTTTCCAGGGCACTGAAGCCAAAGGCAGAAGTTGATGAGGATGGAGTTGTGATGTGCTCAGGCCCTGAGGAGGGAGAGGAGGTGGGCCAGGTGAAAGGGCTGGGGCAAGAATGGTCTGGAGGTGATGGAAGGGATGAAAGGGCAAATCAACCTTCACTGATCCTTGCTGTTACCCAAAGGCTGAAGAAACAGGCCCACCCTCCACGTGCCAGCTCTGGTCTCTGAGTGGTGGCTGTGGGGCGCTCCCTCAGGCAGCCATGCTAACTCCTCCCCAGGAATCTGAGATGGAAGCCCCTGACCTGGACACCCGTGGACCTGGTATGTGAGTCAACCCAGACCAAGAAAAAAAAAAAAAGTCCTTTGACCCTATTAGAATCAGAGAGTCCTTTAATATCAGAACTAGAGGAAATAATTTTAGACTGAGTGCCTTAGAACAATGATTCTCAAAGTGTGGTCCTCAGACAGCAAAATCAGCATCACCTGGGAATTTGTCAGAAATGCAAATTATTGGGCTCCACTACAGAGCTACTGACTCAGGAATTTAAAATGTTAGGCAATCTGTTTTAACAAGCCCTTCAGGTGAATCTGATCCAGACTCGTTTGAGAAAACCACTGCTAGGCCGGGCGTGGTGGCTCACGCCTGTAATCCCAGCACTTTGGGAGGCCAAGGCGGGTGGATCACAAGGTCAGGAGATCGAGACCATCCTGGCTAACACAGTGAAACCCCGTCTCTACTAAAAATACAAAAAATTAGCCGGGCGTGGTGGCGGGAGCCTGTAGTCCCAGCTGCTCTGGAGGCTAAGGCAGGAGAATGGCGTGAACCTGGGAGGAGGAGCTTGCAGTGAGCCGAGATCGCGCCACTGCACTCCAGCCTGGGTGACAGGGCGAGACTCCGTCTCAGAAAAAAAAAAAAAAAAAAAGAGAAAACCACTGTCCTGGAATGTCAGAGAATTAAGCTGCAGGTTCCTTTTACAGAGGAAGAAACTGAAGTCAGAGAAAAGCAGAAAAGTCACTTGGCTAAAGCCACACAGAGCCAGAACTTAGCTTCCCAACACCTCAGGTTTTGATTCTCTCTGAGCTTACATGTTGTCCCTTCCCCCTTGTTGTGTCCTTTAGATTGACCCATTACTCTGTCTTACCAACAGATGGGGTGACACCCCTGATGTCAGCAGTTTGCTGTGGGGAAGTACAGTCCGGGACCTTCCAAGGGGCATGGTTGGGATGTCCTGAGCCCTGGGAACCTCTGCTGGATGGAGGGGCCTGTCCCCAGGCTCACACCGTGGGCACTGGGGAGACCCCCCTGCACCTGGCTGCCCGATTCTCCCGGCCAACCGCTGCCCGCCGCCTCCTTGAGGCTGGAGCCAACCCCAACCAGCCAGACCGGGCAGGGCGCACACCCCTTCATGCTGCTGTGGCTGCTGATGCTCGGGAGGTCTGCCAGGTTAGCACACACTGAGGTCCCTACAGGGAATGGGGCGAGCTTACAAGTAAAGCTGGACAGAAGCATCCCCTAGAGTTTGACAAGGAGGAAATTGGTGTGATTGGGAACCTGACAGGGAAACTGCGGAGGATGGCTGAATATGGATTGCGAGTGGGGTTAATAGTGTAAGGAACTCGAGTTGGCAGTCCAAGGTACCCCAGGTGTCAGTGGCCCTCTGTCTCCCCAGCTTCTGCTCCGTAGCAGACAAACTGCAGTGGACGCTCGCACAGAGGACGGGACCACACCCTTGATGCTGGCTGCCAGGCTGGCGGTGGAAGACCTGGTTGAAGAACTGATTGCAGCCCAAGCAGACGTGGGGGCCAGAGATAAATGGGGTATGTAGAGGAAGGGGTGATGTATGCTATAGAGAAGTTGAGCAGATGGGGTGGGAGATAGCGTGCAAAATATAGGTGCAGCAGAGGGGCATTCCCTCTCATCCTGCTGTTACGGCGGTCAATCTGAGATGCGGTGGAAGTACGGGCCGCGTGAGTTTCCCCCCCCAACTCCCACCCTCAACACCACACTGGCCCTCCGCTCCAGCTTACTGGGGAACTGGCATGGAACACAGTGTCTGTGGAAAGGGGGGGGAATCTCGTGGGGGGAGACTGTCTCCCGGTCTCACCGACCCCAGAACAATGCCCCATTGTCCCTCCCGCGCACTGGTGACGTCACCAGGGCAACACTTCCTGCAGGCCGGTGGTCTCCTGGGCAACGCTTCCCGCCTTTGAGGGACCAGCCGGCCCGAATAGCCCTTCCCCCAAGGCCAGAACCCGTGGGAAACCGGAACCCAGGCGTCTGGCCCCCAACTGGGGTAACAACCTCCCACGTCGTCCCCTAGGGAAAACTGCGCTGCACTGGGCTGCTGCCGTGAACAACGCCCGAGCCGCCCGCTCGCTTCTCCAGGCCGGAGCCGATAAAGATGCCCAGGACAACAGGGTTAGATGGGACAGAGGGCTTCCCACAAAACAGTCAGGCGCACGAGAGATGGAAAGTGCGGTAACCCGCAAAGCCTGAAGGGATAGGGGCCAGTGGTCGCGCAAGTGAAGGCAGAAAGGCCCAGTCCTGTGGGCGTGGCCTTCCCTGATATCGGCCCTGGCTCTTCTGTACAGGAGCAGACGCCGCTATTCCTGGCGGCGCGGGAAGGAGCGGTGGAAGTAGCCCAGCTACTGCTGGGGCTGGGGGCAGCCCGAGAGCTGCGGGACCAGGCTGGGCTAGCGCCGGCGGACGTCGCTCACCAACGTAACCACTGGGATCTGCTGACGCTGCTGGAAGGGGCTGGGCCACCAGAGGCCCGTCACAAAGCCACGCCGGGCCGCGAGGCTGGGCCCTTCCCGCGCGCACGGACGGTGTCAGTAAGCGTGCCCCCGCATGGGGGCGGGGCTCTGCCGCGCTGCCGGACGCTGTCAGCCGGAGCAGGCCCTCGTGGGGGCGGAGCTTGTCTGCAGGCTCGGACTTGGTCCGTAGACTTGGCTGCGCGGGGGGGCGGGGCCTATTCTCATTGCCGGAGCCTCTCGGGAGTAGGAGCAGGAGGAGGCCCGACCCCTCGCGGCCGTAGGTTTTCTGCAGGCATGCGCGGGCCTCGGCCCAACCCTGCGATAATGCGAGGAAGATACGGAGTGGCTGCCGGGCGCGGAGGCAGGGTCTCAACGGATGACTGGCCCTGTGATTGGGTGGCCCTGGGAGCTTGCGGTTCTGCCTCCAACATTCCGATCCCGCCTCCTTGCCTTACTCCGTCCCCGGAGCGGGGATCACCTCAACTTGACTGTGGTCCCCCAGCCCTCCAAGAAATGCCCATAAACCAAGGAGGAGAGGGTAAAAAATAGAAGAATACATGGTAGGGAGGAATTCCAAAAATGATTACCCATTAAAAGGCAGGCTGGAAGGCCTTCCTGGTTTTAAGATGGATCCCCCAAAATGAAGGGTTGTGAGTTTAGTTTCTCTCCTAAAATGAATGTATGCCCACCAGAGCAGACATCTTCCACGTGGAGAAGCTGCAGCTCTGGAAAGAGGGTTTAAGATGCTAGGATGAGGCAGGCCCAGTCCTCCTCCAGAAAATAAGACAGGCCACAGGAGGGCAGAGTGGAGTGGAAATACCCCTAAGTTGGAACCAAGAATTGCAGGCATATGGGATGTAAGATGTTCTTTCCTATATATGGTTTCCAAAGGGTGCCCCTATGATCCATTGTCCCCACTGCCCACAAATGGCTGACAAATATTTATTGGGCACCTACTATGTGCCAGGCACTGTGTAGGTGCTGAAAAGTGGCCAAGGGCCACCCCCGCTGATGACTCCTTGCATTCCCTCCCCTCACAACAAAGAACTCCACTGTGGGGATGAAGCGCTTCTTCTAGCCACTGCTATCGCTATTTAAGAACCCTAAATCTGTCACCCATAATAAAGCTGATTTGAAGTGTTACCTTTTTTTGGAGGAATTGGGGAGAAGAATGGGAAAAAAGATGGGAGTGACTGCATAATGTCAGCATTTTGTGCTTTTGGCTCAGCATTTGGATTGGATGGAGGATGTAAGTATAGTTTAAAAGCAAGAATAAGTATATTTAGGGGCCCTATGATAATTTAGGGTATTATCTGAAAGCAAGAATCTAGTAGCCAAGGGAGAAACCGCACACACTAGGTCAGGGGTCCCCAACCCTTGGGCCACAGACTGGTACTGGTCCATGGCCTCTTAGGAACTGGGCCACACAGCAGGAGGTGAGCAAGCATTACTGCCCAAGCTCCACCTCCTGTCAGATCAGCATAAGCATTAAATTCTCATAGGAACTCGAACCCTATTGTGAACTGTGCATGCAAGGGATCTAAGTTTCTCGCTTCTTACGGGAATCTAATGCCTAATGATCTGGGGTGGAACAGTTTCATCCTGAAACCAGCCCTCCGTCGCCACCGACCATGGAATAATTGTCTTCCACGAAACTCTTCCCTGGTGCCAAAAAGGTAGGAGACCACTGCACTAGATGATGCACACACTTTGTCCCTCATCCTAGGGCTTTTACTTATGGCCACTTAGGAGATTCCTAAGGCCACAAGTCAAGTAGATGGAGAGAGTATCTTGAAACTTTGTCCACCTTGCAGCAATATGTTGCTAGGTTTGAAACATGGAGTCATGAGGCATTTTGAAAGCCAATAATATCTACAGTTTATTAAGTATTCACTATGCATCAAGTGCTTCATTACATTATTAATACATCAACCCTATGAAGTAGGTGCTATTAAAACCCTATTTCACTCAGAAATTGAGGCACAGAGATCTGCCCAAGATTGCAAGGAATAAGCGGCAGGACCAGATCTCTTCATCACATTTCACATTCCAAATCACTCAGCTATAAACTCCCTAACATGACAGGTTGCCATTTAGAGGTACCAAATGGTTGTCTGCCCTGCTCCTTCCTTGATGCCAACCAGCCTGATTAGCATTGATCAAAGACCAAGCCAGAGAGGTAGTCCTCTCCCTTTTCAATTTCATTTCATTTCTTTCTTTTTCTGAAACAGGGTATTGCTCTGTTGCCCAGCCTGGAGTGCAGTGGCACAAATGGCTCACTGCAGCCACAACCTCCTGGGCTCAAGCAATCTTCCTACCTCAGCCTCTCATTGTTCCATATCTATATCTCTTATGCCCAAAATAAACTTTCCCCTGCCCCTTGTCTGCACTAAACTATAAGTTTCCAAAATGAACCCTTCCCGTACTCTATTTGGTACACATCTTGTCTCCTGAATAGAGTGTATTTTTTATTTTATTTTATTTTGGAGACGGAGTCTCGCTCTGTCACCTAGGCTGGAGCGCAGTGGCACAATCTCAGTTCACCGCAACCTCCGCCTCCCGGGTTCAAGCAATTCTCCTGCCTCAACCTCCTGAGTAGCTGGGATTACAGGCGCATGTGGCCACGCCCAGCTAATTTTTTGTATTTTAGTAAAGATGGGGTTTCACCATGTTCCCCAGGCTGGTCTCCAACTCCTGAGCTCAGGCAATCCACCCGCCTCAGCCTCCCAAAGTGCTAGGATTACAGGTGTGAGCCACCGCAGCCGGCCATCTCCTGAATAGATTTTAAATACCTAGAGGTCAGGGATGATTATTCAATACATATATATTGAATACTTACTATGTGTTGGACCCGGTGCTAGGGTTTTATGTATATATTTGAGAGCTCCACATCCCTGGATCTGAATCCTCCACTTCCCACTGGAACCATGCCCCTCCCAGTCCCGGTAAGTAAGAGGGAAGATCGGGAGGGCCAAATCCTACACCAGGGTCTATCTTAGGGAGGGAAGGGACCTGGCTGGGGGGAGGGGGATTCTGAGGAGTGAAACCACTTCCTGTGTAGCTAGTTCCTGTGTTGACAGAAAGAGCAGAAGAGGAGGTGGGGTGGAGGGAGCAGAGCCAGGGATTAGGGGACTACTGAGGCTCTGGAGATGAGACCGCCAGGAGTCCTTCCCCACCATGAGCCCCCTCCACTCCTGCAGCTGGAGGAGTTTTTCCCAGTCTCAGTGCTGCCCTGGGGCGAGAGAGACTGAACAAGCTGTTTGGGTGGGAAGAGAATGGAGGAAGTTGACAGGGATGGGCGGGGCCCGTGGGGGGGCTGACCAGGAACCCAGCTTCCTGCTCAGTACCCAGGCATCCAGCCCCCAGCTCACCCCCACCCCTTCCAGCCCCCACTCCCCTCAGGAACCCAAGGTTCCAGCCCTCCTCCCAAATCCCAGCCACCCCTCCCCCACCAGTTTCTCCCCTCTAGGGGATGGAGGCTGAGAGACCCCAGGAAGAAGAGGATGGTGAGCAGGTGAGCTGGGCACGGGGTTGGGGAGGCTGACACTGGGAAAGAAGGGAGGTGAGAGGACCTGGGGCAGAAATGTAGGGACACAGGGGCCTTGAAAGGCTTGGGCAAACTGAGGCAGGAACAGAGACACACAGAGAGGAAACGGGCCACTGGCCTAGCCCCCTGTCCACTCCTCCCGCTTCAACCACCACTGCTTGACTAGAATGGACATATTTTGGCATCAGGGCCCCCCTCAGGATGAGGAAGGCTGGCCCCCTCCAAACTCCACCACTCGGCCTTGGCGATCTGCTCCTCCATCCCCTCCTCCTCCAGGGACCCGCCACACAGGTACCCCTACCCACCCAGGGAGAGCCCCGACCCTAGTGCCCACATCCTGACCCCATTACCAAGGCCCACTCCATTGTGGGCCCTCTCCCCACCTCCTCCAGACTCCCCTTGGGATTCCCCATTGCACCCCCTCTCCTCTGATCCAAAGTCCCTAATCACGTCACCCTGTCCACACTCCCCCACGGCTCCTGTCTGCCAACCTCTCTGGGTCTCTGAGCCCTCCACACCCCTCTCCCCAGCCCTGGGACCCCGCTCGGCCTCCCTGCTCTCCCTGCAGACTGAACTCCTTCTGGACCTGGTGGCTGAAGCCCAGTCCCGCCGCCTGGAGGAGCAGAGGGCCACCTTCTACACCCCCCAAAACCCCTCAAGCCTAGCCCCTGCCCCACTCCGTCCTCTCGAGGACAGAGAACAGCTTTACAGCACTATCCTCAGTCACCAGGTAAGACATCCCCCCAGGAGGCAAACCCAGGCCTCCTGGTCTCTTGGCCCCTGTTCTCTTTGGGGCTCTACTCCTGTTTCTCCCTAGGCACCCCATCGCCTTCACAGGTTTCCTATATGCCTCCCCATACCAACCCTTGATCCTCTCAAGAACCTCCTCCTCTCAGACCCTCACCAAAGCTCTCCCTCTCCCTCCACTCCTCCAGTGCCAGCGGATGGAAGCCCAGCGGTCAGAGCCTCCCCTCCCTCCAGGGGGGCAAGAGCTCCTGGAGTTGCTGCTGAGAGTTCAGGGTGGGGGTCGAATGGAGGAGCAAAGGTCCCGGCCCCCCACACACACCTGCTGAGACTTGAGCCCCAACCAGCCCTTCCTTGCCACTGGTCTCAAAGCTGGGCAGCCCATTGCATGCCCTCAACTCTTGCTTGGCAGGGGTACCAGAGACTGAAAGACACGGCACAAATCTCAATATTCATCTCCCACATCACCTTCCCTGGGAACTGGACAGGGTGAAAGTCCTCAAACTCTGGGAACAGGCGAGATGGAACAGGGATTTAACTCCCCGCCCACAGGTCCATGGGAGCTTGAGGCAGTAAGGGGGATCCCAGGCACCCATCTCAAGGAGTGGCTGGGAGTCTTTTCCCTAACTTGTGGGGACACCACCAGTTGTCAAGCTACTAGGCAGTAGGGTCTGAGGGCTCAGGCCTCCACCTGAGAGGTTATAACCTGAGAGACAGCTCTACCCTTCCTCCCAGTAAGAAGGGAAGGTGGGTGGGCACCTGAGAGATTAAGACTATTCTCCCAGTCCCACTACCAGCACCCCCGATCCCTGAGACTGAGGGGTTTACGGGCTGTGAATGGACCTTCAGCCCTGCCCACCCTCCCTCCCCACTGCTGCTGAGTCTGTCTGATGTTTTGGTTGTGTGAATAAATATAATTCCCCTCTGGACTGCAGACTGGTATCTGGGGGGCCCAGGCGGGGTGAAAGGTAGGAAGGTGAGGCCAGAGGCCTTTTCTCTCCCCAGTCTGGCCAGAGGCCAGCTCCCCTCCCCGGCTGGTTAATTACTGGCTCATTAAGCAGCGGCTGGAGACCTCCCTAATTATCTCCCCCAGCCCCCCTCTTCGGTTTTAATTAAGTAGAACAGGGAGGGGAGTCATTAGAACAAGAAATATGAACTGAGCTGCCGGTGAACCCAGGCATTCCAGCGGCCTGAGTCCACATCGCTTAGATCCCTGATTCAGGACCCAGGTGACAGACGCCCCCAGCCGCCAACACAGCCCCACTCCTAGGCCGCGGAAGTCCAGCCAGGGGGCTTTCCCATATCTTTCAGATGGCCCGTCTCCTCCCCTCATCCCCTCTTCCCTCTCCCCTCCTCCACTAGGTCTCAGTTCCTCTGTTTCTGTGTCTCTCTCTCCGCCCCCAGCTCCTCCCTGTTCCTCCTCTCTTCTCCCCTCCTCTTCCTCTCCGGCTCCCCTCCCCCAGCCTCCCTCCCTCGCTCCCCCCCCTTCTCCCTCCTCCCTCCTCCCTCTCTCTCACACACACCCCCGCTTGGGCCTCCTCTCTCTCTCCGGCTCCATTTTCTCCGCCGCCGGGGGCCGGGGTCTCCTGTGGGGGGCCCAGCCGGTATCCCAGGTCTCCCTTCAGTGCCGGGGTGAACCCCCGGGGGAGCCGGGAGCCGGGGGCAGACGGGCGGGGGTTGGGGCGGAGGGAGCAGCGGCCCCAGCGAGTTTGGGGGGAGAAGTAACCAGGCGGGGGGAGGGGCGGAGCAGGGAGGGGGCCTCAGGGCCCCCCCCCAGCTATGGACGAACGGCTACTGGGGCCGCCCCCTCCAGGCGGGGGCCGGGGGGGCCTGGGATTGGTGAGTGGGGAGCCTGGGGGCCCTGGCGAGCCTCCCGGTGGCGGAGACCCCGGTGGGGGTAGCGGGGGGGTCCCGGGAGGCCGAGGGAAGCAAGACATCGGGGACATTCTGCAGCAGATAATGACCATCACCGACCAGAGCCTGGACGAGGCCCAGGCCAAGTGAGTGCCCCCACTCCGGGACCCCACACAGACCCAGCAAACCCCGTTCACATGTTCTGAATCTTCTGGGAGCCCCCCCCAACTCCAGGGCCCTCTCCAGGATCCAACAGCTCTCTTCTCTCCTTATTCCTGGGAGCCCATAGAAAAGTGATCCCTCTCAAACCTCCCTTCACCCCCAGGCCCTGAAACCTTCACAGAGGGAACCCCCGGTGGCCCGGCTCCCCACTCCTAACCTTTTGCCGACCCCTGCAGTCTCCTGGAACAGCCCCATCCCCGGGAGCCCCCTCTGGCTCCCAGACTAAGAAACTGTTCTTGGGCTACGTTATCTTCTCCCCTAACTCTCCACCCAGCCCCCTCATTCTCTCCAGATGTGGAGACCTCCACACCCTCTCCAGAGCCCCTAAAGCTCCTCTCCACTGCTCAGCCAGACACTAGGTGCATCAAAGCCTCCCACCTGCTCAGCCCCAGGACCCCTTCACACACCCTACACTGATCTCCCCAGTTAGCTCGGCACCCCCAGCCCCACTCTGCCACCTCAAACTCTGACTCTTCTCAACCCCAGCCTCTGTCTCTCTCCCTCTGAAACCTACCAAGTCACTTTCCTTTCTCCATCCACTCCCAGATTCCTCCTCCTACCTTTCTAGACCATCTCCCAAAGCCCGCAGCCTTTAACCTGCTGCCTGCATCTTCCCTGTGTCTCCCTGAAGCTGAGGAGCTTCCCCATGCTCTGGGAGCTGATCTTTTCCCAAGAACTCCTCATTCCACCCCCAACTCATTCCACCCCCAATCCGCTTCCTCCCTCCGCAGACTGACCCTCCTCCCTCCTTGTTCTCAGGCCCCCTGCTCTGTTTCTCTAGCTCCTCAACTTTTCTCTTTCCCCACTCCCACTCCTCCCAAGGAAACACGCCCTAAACTGCCACCGAATGAAGCCTGCTCTCTTTAGCGTCCTGTGTGAAATCAAGGAGAAAACTGGTATGTGGGCCCCCCCCGGATTGCTCAACTCTGGGAACAGAACCCTGTTCATTATAGGGCTAGAGTGTGACAACTTGGGGCCCTGAGGAAAGTAAGGAGTCAGGGGGACTGGGGAAGGAACCAAAGCCTGGGAACTTGGCTCTCCAGGAAGCACCAGGAGGACTGAGCACTGGGTATTGGGGTCTCTGGGTCCCTAAGTCCACTCGCCTGCATGCTAGGCCTCAGCATTCGGAGCTCCCAGGAGGAGGAGCCGGTGGACCCACAGCTGATGCGCTTGGACAACATGCTTCTGGCAGAGGGTGTGGCTGGGCCCGAGAAAGGGGGCGGCTCAGCAGCAGCAGCTGCAGCCGCTGCAGCCTCTGGTGGTGGTGTGTCCCCTGACAACTCCATCGAACACTCGGACTATCGCAGCAAACTTGCCCAGATCCGTCACATATACCACTCGGAGCTGGAGAAGTATGAGCAGGTAAGGAGAGGAGGCTTGGGTGGGTGGAGGGAAGGGCTCTTGCAGGGGAATCCCATGGTCAAAGGGCTCCTCCTCACCAGCCCACTGGCCCCCACTACAGGCATGTAATGAGTTCACGACCCATGTCATGAACCTGCTGAGGGAGCAGAGCCGCACCAGGCCCGTGGCCCCCAAAGAGATGGAACGCATGGTGAGCATCATCCATCGAAAGTTCAGCGCCATCCAGATGCAGCTGAAGCAGAGCACCTGCGAGGCTGTGATGATCCTGCGCTCCCGTTTCCTGGATGCCAGGTGGGCCCAGGGACCCCAGGCTGGCCCCCAGCACTGGGCTCCTTCCCATTCCTCTCCAAGACCCTGAGCTGCCATGCTGCACAACATGGTACTCCATGACAATGGTGACTCTGGGGTCATGCCATGTGACAGCCCTGCCAGGACATCAACATCCTCCTCACTGCTCTTCTCCCTCCTCTGTAGACGAAAGCGCCGTAACTTCAGCAAACAGGCCACTGAGGTCCTAAATGAGTATTTCTACTCCCACCTGAGTAACCCATATCCTAGTGAGGAGGCCAAGGAGGAGCTTGCCAAGAAGTGTGGCATCACCGTGTCTCAGGTATTATGGAGGTTGCGGGAGGAGTTGTCAGGCAAAGTGCACGCATCTCAGCTAGGTGCAGTGGTGTGTTCCTGTAATCCCAGCTACTAGGGAGGCTGAAGTGGGAGGATCACTTGAATTGGAGACCAGCCTGGGCAACAGCATAGTGAGACCAGGAAGCAAAAAAAAAAAAAATGCTGTCACTCACATCTTATTCAGTGAAGGACTTCAGAGGCAAATGTTTCTACCTGACCCTCCTTTCTGCCCCACAGGTCTCCAACTGGTTTGGCAACAAGAGGATTCGCTATAAGAAAAACATCGGAAAGTTCCAAGAGGAGGCAAACATCTATGCTGTCAAGACCGCCGTGTCAGTCACCCAGGGGGGCCACAGCCGCACCAGCTCCCCGACACCCCCTTCCTCTGCAGGTGGATCCCACTGTCACCCCGGCTGACTGTTTTGCACACTTCCTGCTTTTGTTCCCACTTCCTATCTAGGCAGGATCATAGCAGAGAGGGGGCCTTTTGGGGTGAGAGGGACCGAGCTGAGATAGGCTGGAGATGTCAGGGGACAGAGGCCATTCCAGTGATCTTAGTTCTGCCTTTCTTCCCACGGGTGGCCAAGGAACAGCCTGCTCTTTCTGTGTGTTGGAATGTTATTTTGTGGATAATTGGAGTATAGTAGCATGTCCCCACAAGAGTTGAGAGTTGTGGTTCATCCTCTACCATCACGGGCTCTATTACACTCTTCCCTCTCTGCCCCCACAAGGCTCTGGCGGCTCTTTCAATCTCTCAGGATCTGGAGACATGTTTCTGGGGATGCCTGGGCTCAACGGAGATTCCTATTCTGCTTCCCAGGTCAGATGCCCATCTCCTCTCGAATAGGGCTTTCCCCAACTCCATTTCCTCTACTTTAGGATACAAGACCTCTTTCCTCTGAGGCTTCTCTTCACTGTCATACCTTCCTCTGCTGCCTGCAGGTGGAATCACTCCGACACTCGATGGGGCCAGGGGGCTATGGGGATAACCTCGGGGGAGGCCAGATGTACAGCCCACGGGAAATGAGGGTGAGTGGATCCTGAAGCTCCTCTCTGTCCAGTTCTCACAGGACAGAGGGGCATTTTCCCTAGTAATGTTGTGCCCACACAGGGTTCCCAGGGCTTTCTCTGTTTTCTGTACTCTGTCTCTCCTTTCAGGCAAATGGCAGCTGGCAAGAGGCTGTGACCCCCTCTTCAGTGACATCCCCAACGGAGGGACCAGGGAGTGTTCACTCTGATACCTCCAACTGATCTTGCCCCTCAGGGTCACAGGGGTGGGGGCTCTCACAAGGCGACTTGAAGAGGACGCAGGCTTCCAGAGGACAAACCCCAATACAGGAGAAGCACAAGACAGAGAAGGGCCAATGGGGTCATCCCCTCCCTAACGAGACTCTCTGTGCTGGGGGTGCTAATTACATGGCAGGAAGAATGGGGCCTCTAAGGGGAGTGTGGGGTCTGTCTCTCCCTTTTTTCCATCTTTTTCCTCTCTCGCTTTCTTTCTTACACAGAAACATACACATACCGAGAAACCTATTTCTCAGACCCCTTTTTCTCCTCTGTCTTTCTCTCTCCCTCTCCCACACCTCACACACACATACTCCCACTTGCAACTATTCTGTTTCTCTCCTGGGCTCCCCCACTTTCCCTTCCCCACCCCACTTGTATGCTCTGGAATCTGTGGAGACGCCAGCCCTGCCCAATCAGAGATGCCAAAAATGGGGACATGACTTCTGGACAGAGGACATGGGCCACGCCCCCATGCATCCCCACCCCCGCCCCTCCGGACGGCTTACTTACCTCATACGCAGCTCATCTTAAACCAATAGAATCGCTCGGTGGACGAGAGTGTCTGACTCAGATATCTACCTCGGAGGGAGTTTCTGCTACTTTAGGGAATTATTGACTGGGCTTTGGGGTTGAACTTTTTTTTTTTTTAAAGAAAGAAAAAGAAACCCTGGGATCCATCTGTTTTTTTTGTTGTTGTTGTTGTTTTTGTTGTTGGTGGTGGTGGTGGTGGTGGTGGTTCTTAATTTTTAATTTAGTTTGGGGAAGTAGCTTGTTTTTTTTTTTATAAATATGTTGATTTCTTGTCTTTTTTTTTTATTTCTTACTTTCCCATATTAGGGGTGATAGCCAAAGGGGTTCTGGTAAGAGAAAGGGGGACAAACAGAACTGGTAAAGAGGCCCCCCTGGCTCCAGGCCTGTCCATCAGGAAGTAAATTTTACAGGGCACCAAGCTTTGCCCCCTAAAATCCCTTAGGTGTTCTTTGTTCATGCAGGCAGGTTTCTGCCGCATTTGATGTGGAGGCAGTGAAGGGCTTGCCCTGCTGGCCTCTCATCCCCCTTCTTCCCACAACCCTTGGGCAGGGCTGGACTCAGTAATTTTGAGGAAATTGAAGATGCCATCTTCCCCTGTGAGTGACATGTCTTTAATTTTTTAAAAAACTACTATTTGAAAATTGGAGGGGGAAGAATGGGAAGGGAGTTATTGCCAAATATGTTAAATATGGGTTGGGGTGCTTGTATATGTATCTTCCTCAATTTCCCCATAAATGAGGTATCTTTTTGTCACACCAAAATCAAGGGGTAGGGAGAGGGAGGAGGTTGCAAAAAGCCAGATGTGGGGGAAAAGTAACATCAACACTGTCCCATCCTCAGCCCTGAACTAGCTACCATCTGATCCCCTCAGACATTCTCAGGATTTTACAAGACTGTCAGAGTGGGGAACCCCTCCCATTAAAGATCCGGGCAGGACTGGGGACAGGTTGGAAGTGTGATGGGTGGGGGGGTGGGAGGCATGGGCCGGGGGCAGTTCTCTCCTCACTTGTAAACTTGTGTAGTTTCACAGAAAAAAAACAAAATGCAGTTTTAAATAAAGAAATTTCTTTTTTCCCTGGGTTTAGTTGAGAATTTTTTTCAAAAAACATGAGAAACCCCAGAAAAAAAATGATTTTCTTTCACGAAGTTCCAAACAGGTTTCTCTCCTGTTCCCCAGCCTTGCCTTCATGATGCAGGCCCAAATGCACCCTTGCAGACAACAGTCTGGCCTGAACCCTATTGATGCAACTTTGCGCAATCAAGATGGGGCTCCAGTGGGTCACCAGGCAGCCCTGATGGACTGATGGAATAAATAGGATCGGGGGCTCTGAGGGAATGAGACCCTAGAGGGTACACTCCCCATCCCCCAGGGAAGTGACTGTACCCAGAGGCTGGTAGTACCCAGGGGTGGGGTGATAATTATTTCTCTAGTACCTGAAGGACTCTTGTCCCAAAGGCATGAATTCCTAGCATTCCCTGTGACAAGACGACTGAAAGATGGGGGCTGGAGAGAGGGTGCAGGCCCCACCTAGGGCGGAGGCCACAGCAGGGAGAGGGGCAGACAGAGCCAGGACCCTGGAAGGAAGCAGGATGGCAGCCGGAACAGCAGTTGGAGCCTGGGTGCTGGTCCTCAGTCTGTGGGGTGAGCCACTCCCTCAACCCCACTGACCCTCCCTGCAGAAAGCACTTTAACCCCACACCCCAGTCGTCCTAGAACTTTTCCCAGAACCCGAGGAAGTGCCTTTCAAGGTCCCTCACCCACCCTGTCCAAATTTTGTTAGCCCTCATTCCCTTCCTACCCCTCTACCATGGTGCTATCTCCCAGGGGCAGTAGTAGGTGCTCAAAACATCACAGCCCGGATTGGCGAGCCACTGGTGCTGAAGTGTAAGGGGGCCCCCAAGAAACCACCCCAGCGGCTGGAATGGAAACTGGTAAGCGGGGCTCCTGTTGCAGCCTCCCAACTTCCAGGGAGACCAGCAATGATTTGGATCCCCGTCACTCTGCCTCACAGTCCTTTCCCAAAGGCCTTGCACTGTTTAGGCCCTGCTTCTCTGCTTCTAGAACACAGGCCGGACAGAAGCTTGGAAGGTCCTGTCTCCCCAGGGAGGAGGCCCCTGGGACAGTGTGGCTCGTGTCCTTCCCAACGGCTCCCTCTTCCTTCCGGCTGTCGGGATCCAGGATGAGGGGATTTTCCGGTGCCAGGCAATGAACAGGAATGGAAAGGAGACCAAGTCCAACTACCGAGTCCGTGTCTACCGTAAGAATTCCAGGGTCTTCTCCAAGGCCTCCCTCTTACCTAAGAAAAAGCCTTCAACCCCAGCCTTGGCCCATGAGGGCCTCTGACTTCCACTGGCCTCATTTCCACATACAGAGTTTGAGAACCTTCACAATTACAGCCTCTGACTGGATTTTTCCTCCTTCAGAGATTCCTGGGAAGCCAGAAATTGTAGATTCTGCCTCTGAACTCACGGCTGGTGTTCCCAATAAGGTAGTGGAAGAAAGCAGGAGAAGTAGAAAACGGCCCTGTGAACAGGAGGCGAGTGTGTGTGGGTGTGGGTGTGTGGCATCTCTCATTTTCAAAGGATTCTGAGGTCACCACTCTTTCCCCAGGTGGGGACATGTGTGTCAGAGGGAAGCTACCCTGCAGGGACTCTTAGCTGGCACTTGGATGGGAAGCCCCTGGTGCCTAATGAGAAGGGTGAGTCCTAAGGTGCCCCCCAAGCTGCCTTCTCCCTGATCTCACTCCCACACCCACCCTGGGATAATTTGTCTTATCCTCCCATCATAGGAGTATCTGTGAAGGAACAGACCAGGAGACACCCTGAGACAGGGCTCTTCACACTGCAGTCGGAGCTAATGGTGACCCCAGCCCGGGGAGGAGATCCCCGTCCCACCTTCTCCTGTAGCTTCAGCCCAGGCCTTCCCCGACACCGGGCCTTGCGCACAGCCCCCATCCAGCCCCGTGTCTGGGGTGAGCATAGGTGGGGAGGGCCCCAAGCTCACGTGAGCACGTTCTGGAAGTCTGACCCTTAGGGAAAGAGGGAGTCAAGCCCATGGCCACTGGGATCACTCACAAGTGTAACTCTCCACCTCAAAACCCTTCCAACTCCCAGAGCCTGTGCCTCTGGAGGAGGTCCAATTGGTGGTGGAGCCAGAAGGTGGAGCAGTAGCTCCTGGTGGAACCGTAACCCTGACCTGTGAAGTCCCTGCCCAGCCCTCTCCTCAAATCCACTGGATGAAGGATGTGAGTGACCTGGAGAGAGGGGCTGGGAGGTAGGGTGAACCATAACTAGCAACAGGGAGGGCAGAGGGCTAACGAGGGAAAGGCAGGCTAGGAGCTGAGGAGGAAGAGAGGGTATCTGAAGATATGGAGACAAAAAGACAAGGGTTTTGAAATAGTCTCCTCTCCCCTTCCCCCACCAGGGTGTGCCCTTGCCCCTTCCCCCCAGCCCTGTGCTGATCCTCCCTGAGATAGGGCCTCAGGACCAGGGAACCTACAGCTGTGTGGCCACCCATTCCAGCCACGGGCCCCAGGAAAGCCGTGCTGTCAGCATCAGCATCATCGGTGAGACCTCTCCCCAAGCCCTACAGACCCTGGGACTAGGGTGCAGGACAGCACAGGCTCTAATTTCCTGCCCCATTCTGGCCTTATCCCTAACAGCCACCCCACCTCTCCCTCCATGCACCCACACCCAAGCCTCCCCTGCCCCACCCAAATTCTGCCAAGAGAGCAGCCAAGCCTCTCCCTTCTTCCCTCTGAGCTAAAAAAAGGAACAGACGGCTGGGCGCGGTGGCTCACGCCTGTAATCCCAACACTTTGGGAGGCTGAGGCGGGCAGATCACCTGAGGTAGGGAGTTCGAGACCAGCCTGACCAACATGGAGAAACCCCATTTCTACTAAAAATACAAAATTAGCCAGGCATGGTGGCACATGCCTGTAATCCCAGCTACCTGGGAGGCCAGCTACTTGAGAGGCTGAGGCAGGAGAATTGCTTGAACCCAGGAGGCATAGATTGCGATGAGCCAAGATCGCACCATTGCATGCCAGCCTGGGCAACAAAAGTGAAACTCCATCTCAAAAAAAAAAAGAAAGGGAAAGACTCCACTGGGGCTCCCACTAAATAACCCTCTCTCAACCCGAAGTCTTCCTTTCTGACTGGATCCAACTTTGTCTTCCAGAACCAGGCGAGGAGGGGCCAACTGCAGGTGAGGGGTTTGATAAAGTCAGGGAAGCAGAAGATAGCCCCCAACACATGTGACTGGGGGGATGGTCAACAAGAAAGGAATGGTGAGTGGTGGTGGCTGTGCTCTCAATTTTCCCTGTCTCCGTACAGGCTCTGTGGGAGGATCAGGGCTGGGAACTCTAGCCCTGGCCCTGGGGATCCTGGGAGGCCTGGGGACAGCCGCCCTGCTCATTGGGGTCATCTTGTGGCAAAGGCGGCAACGCCGAGGAGAGGAGAGGTGAGTGGAGAAAGCCAGACCCCTCAGACCTAGGGCTTCCAGGCAGCAAGCGAAGAGGGGTCGGGGGGTGGAACGACAACGTGCCGCATTCCCCCCAATCTTTCTCCTCAGGAAGGCCCCAGAAAACCAGGAGGAAGAGGAGGAGCGTGCAGAACTGAATCAGTCGGAGGAACCTGAGGCAGGCGAGAGTAGTACTGGAGGGCCTTGAGGGGCCCACAGACAGATCCCATCCATCAGCTCCCTTTTCTTTTTCCCTTGAACTGTTCTGGCCTCAGACCAACTCTCTCCTGTATAATCTCTCTCCTGTATAACCCCACCTTGCCAAGCTTTCTTCTACAACCAGAGCCCCCCACAATGATGATTAAACACCTGACACATCTTGCTCTTGTGTGTCTGTGTGTGTGTATGAGACACAACCTCACCCCTATACCCTTGAGGGCCCTGAAGGAAAGGGACTCACCCCCATACTTCACCATACTATACCAAACATCTACTCAAGTTGGGGAGAAGATGCTTCTGTCGGGGGTGGGGGCGAACTTGGGAAGAGATCCCATCAATATATTTCACCTTTTTTATTGAATTTGTATTAAAGGAGGTAGTGAGGGGGCGGAAGCACTTAAGAGTCAGAATCCATATTAGACTCTGGGGAGTGAAAAATTAAATTAAATCAGTAAGATGGGGAGTGGGGGAAGAGTCAGAGGGAACTTTGCCCACCTTTGAAGATCAAATCAAGAAATCAGGGAAAGCAAAGACTTAGGAGAGGAGAAAGACATTCTCTCAATCCATCCTCCTTCCCCAGGGCAGAGAATTAAACAACGTTACTGAGTGAGCCTCTGAGCAGAAGGCTCTCCCATCTATGCACAGACTTCACTCCTCCTCCCCAGGCCTTCCTGGACAATGTCCAGGGCTGGCCTTAGCCAACAGAAATAGAGGGGTCAAGGGGGTCCAGGAGTACGGAAGGGTCAGCAGGGACCCTCAATACTGATTCTTCTCTGGCTGGAGGTGGGCAGGAAGCAGACATAGCTCAAATACTGAGCAGCCAAAAAAAGAAGAAGATGGCGAGAAACAGGAAGAGGGAATCCTGCCAGCTGGAGGCTGGGTGACCCTGTCCCAGATCCACACCTGTGGGAGAGAGGAAAGCTGTGGAAGCATATGCTCCTAGGCTGGGAGGGGGCCTGAGGGGATTCACAGGGCTCCCTGATGGGAGCTGAGTGTGACTCTTACCTGTACCCCGGCGGAAAGGCTCATGGGCATTGAAGACGGTGGTGAAAAAGCCAAAGGGAAAAGCACCAACACCAAATGAGAAGTGGAAGCCCCCGGTATCACCAAATGGCTGGAATCCCTAGGGAGGCAGAAAAAGTCAGACGGGAAGCCGGCAAATCTGTCAAGGAAGGGACACAACTGGACAAGAAGACTCACCCCTCTGCTCTCCGGAGCTGGTCTCTGGCCCTGGGGGCGGGGTGGAGTTTTTAATCTGAGGAAGTGGAGAGAGAAAGTTAACAGGGATTTTTCTCCTCCCATCTTCCACACCGTTTTCCAAGGGCAGAAGCCTTCAATCTTCCCTAAGCAACACCTCCAGTCTCTCACCTGGGATCCTGGGGCTTCTGGCTCCCTCGCCCATAAAGCGGGACAACCTTCTCTCTGCTGATCCCAGCTTTACATACTGGACACTCTTGCCGTTCTGGCCGTGTCTCCAGCCACTGGGGAGAAAAAAGGTGGTTTCCAGTATACAAGAGGGTCTTACAGCTCCTCAGACCTCCCCATTTCCCTCTTCATCTCCTGAGTACGCACCTGATGAAGACATGGCCAACTGGATGGGGGAGAAAAAAAAAAAAAGGTCAAACTAGCTACAGAAAAGAGAGACACAGACCCTAGACTTCGCAGAATCCCATCTAACCCCTCTTCCCAAGCAACCTGCTGTTGCTTTTCAGATTTTCTGCAACCTCTACCATGCCAGCCAACTTAGTTAGCCTTCCTGCTTGTCTGATCTTCCAACACCTAAAGCTCTGTCCATCCTCAACACACTCAACCCTCTCCTTTCTCCTCTCCCCAACAAACACATACAAATTTTCGTGCCCTCTCTTTTCTGCCTTTCAAGTTAATTTCTAATTTCCTTCAGCCACCTCTTTCTGGGTCTCCTCTTTTCAACCCCAACCCCATCACTCCAAACCAAACCCCTTTACTAGCACATTCCCCCATTACTCACTTTCAAGCTCAATAATGTCCCTATCTTTATGACCCTTTAACCTTTCAAGTCTGCCTCTCCACAGTGCCCTTATACCAGCCCCCTCCCAGATCTCATCTGAATGTGATCCATATTTCCTGGTTCTCCCCGACTCAACTGATGCGTGCCTCCCTTAACCTTTGTGTCTCACTTGTTTCCACCTGCACAGCTAAGACCCCTCACTTCTCTGGGGTAAGGTGGCTCGGGTCTCACATTGTCCTGCCACTCCCCGCCCCACCTTCTCTTCTCAGCACATCACGTGCCTCAGCTCCTGGTTCCTAAGACCTTTCTTTCCACAGATCTCGACCGTTATACTCCCACCCACACATACCAGCAAAGTCTTATGTCTCCTGTCGGGCTTCACCTATGGGAACGTGCCCTCCGATTATCTGTATGACTGTATGATTATTCGCTCCTAGCCTCTCCAGTATATAAGCGAGACCCACCACCTCCCGCCCCCCTCCTCGATTCTCACCAGTACAGGTGGCCACACACACTGACCACAGCTTCCCGAGCAGTCTCCAAACATATATTACATTCGAAGGTCGCGCCCGCCCCGCCCCGCTCGCGATTTGGCCCTTCGGGGCCCCCGTCCTCCTCCTCCGCTGCTGCCATGGCCGGTTTTGTTTCGCCCCACGTACCCTTCAGTCCCCCCAAATACACATACACACGCCCCAACAAACCAGAAACCACCTCCTGCCCACGATCGTTGGGCAGGCTTCAAGGTTTCCTAATCACTATTGGTCTGAATGCCTGCCAGTCACAAAGAATTCAAAAGAAAGGATTGGCCCAAAGGGTAGGGGCGGGAAAAGGTTAGTGCAGTCCTGCCTTCGCACAATGGCTATTGGCTGATACGGTCTAAGTCAATGTGCAATGCCAAGGGATTGGTAATAACTCGCTACACGCTGTCGCCTGGCCAAGGAGGGCTTTATTCGTCTGAGTAGTTGTCAGTCATAACCAAAGCCATAAGCAATTTGCTCGGGACTACCTATAGACCTCGCCCACTATAAGCCCCTTTCTTTCCTTCGCTTCCTCTTTTAGAGAATGTCCGGATTGCTATTGGACTTTGGAGCGTATGGCTCCAAATCAACTCATTGGCTAAAACTTGACGGAAAATGGTGGTTAGGTAAAACGCGCCTGCGCAGCACGCGGCGGGACGGGGGTGGGCCAATCCTGTGAGGGTTTAACCTTCTCTTGTTCCACCTCTTCACCCCTATCTTGTCGCCATGGTGACTGCTCTACAATTGGCGAGGCTTGCACTTCAAAGTCCTAGGCTCGCTTCATCCGGGTCCTTCAGCTGTGGACTTTCTGCTGATTGGGCCTTTTCCTTTTCCCCTGATTGGCCGACATCGGGAAAGACGGCGAAGAGCTAGGAAAAGAGGGAAAACACTAGGGTCGCAGGGTTCAAAATGGCTCCAACCTCCTTTGGTGACGTAGAGAGCAGAACTTGGGTCTGCCCCTCCCTTTTAGTTAAGGGAGCAGAACTGGGATTAGCCCGACGTTTGGATAGTGGGAACATCGATCTGCGGCGCTGGTGTTAACCCAACTCATTCGGCTGGACGACTCAGCCCTCCCCATATTAGGTGATTTACAGAGCAAAACTGAACTAAAGGCCCACCCCTTTCTTAATGTTGTACACAGAGTAGAACAGGATTGACTTCAACTCCGTTTTAAACCTTCAGAGCAGGAAAGCTCTGGGCTCAACCCCTTTGTGAGTGGTGCAAAAGGGACAAAGCCCGCCCCTTTTAAGGAGACCCGCGGAGGCTAGACCCGCCCTTTCCTCTTTATAATTTGCCCATCAGAAATAGGGTCTTCTTCCCAGGTTGGACCCCGGGGAGTTTGGGCTTTTCCTACAATCACTGACCCTCACTGTGACTAAAGGAGCAGAATTAGGTAACAGTCCTCCCACTACCAATCCTCTTCCCGAGGGCATGTAAACTAATGCAGGGTAAAGGTGTGGCTAGAGGGGGGACCTTGATAAAAGATCCCATGTGACTCAAGAGTAAGGAAAGATGAGAAGTTAGCAGTTGCGTAAAGAAGGACTGGGGCAGATGAGGATTCAGGAAGCTTGAGGTTTAGGAAGGAAGATATTGAGAGGGAAAGGTGGAAATGAAGGAGAGTGAAGTGATGGAATGATCCTAGTAAAGGGATAATGGGAGTGGAGGAAGAGAAGAGGGGGTGGAAAACTAGATACATGGCTACCAAATTAAGGAGGCACGCGCATTCCAGAGGAATCGGCATTCTTCCTCACTTTTTATTTTTCTAGAAAGCACCCCTGAAGCCAAATTTCCATTGGAAGAAAAGATGTACCCATATTGTATGTTGTGAGAAGGGGTTGTCTCAGCTTGGGCAAGTAAGGAGACTGATACGAAGGAAGTAGGAAAGAAAAGGTACAGAGGTAAAAGAGCATGGAAAAGGAAAGGGTCAGGGATAAGGCCAAAGAGATCTCTTCTCTTTAAAGGCCAGAGAAGGCAGGTGGAGGGGGGAGCTGGACTGCTGGGAGATAGTGAGGGACAAAGGGCAAAGGAAACCAGACCAGAGGACTGGAGAGTGAGATGGAGTGAGATGGAGTCCTGGAGAGAAAAAGAAGAGAGGTGAACTTAATGCTTGTCATATGGTAGGTAGATGCTTGATAAATGTTTAGAATTGAATGGGTACGGGAAAAGGGGTCCTTAAGAATAGTTGGGGGGAATAAGCAGCAGATAACCGGAGTTGAGAAAAAAAGAGACCAAGTAAAAGTGGCAGTTAAAAGAGAGCTGATGGAGAATAAAGGAAGGAATGTGCGGAAGGAGGAATACAGCACCAGGGGATCCAGAGCTGAAAGGGAGTTAGAGAAAAAAAAGATGCAGCTGGAGCCAGAGATGGGGGCAAAGACCGAGGGAGAGCCCTGGGGCGGGGCTCGCAAGAGGACACTGGTAGATGTGGGGAGGAGATGCCAGAGTTTCTGGGAGACGATTGGCAAAACAGGCTGCCCATCACCGCCCTCCACTTCCTGGCCGGCCCCGGAAACCAGCAGGCGTTGGGGAGGGGTGGCGGGGGAATAGCGGCGGCAGCAGCCCCAGCCCTCAGAGAGACAGCAGAAAGGGAGGGAGGGAGGGTGCTGGGGGGACAGCCCCCCACCATTCCTACCGCTATGGGCCCAACCTCCCACTCCCACCTCCCCTCCATCGGCCGGGGCTAGGACACCCCCAAATCCCGTCGCCCCCTTGGCACCGACACCCCGACAGAGACAGAGACACAGCCATCCGCC
Organism: Homo sapiens; assembly: GCF_000001405.40. Taxonomy (NCBI): domain Eukaryota; kingdom Metazoa; phylum Chordata; class Mammalia; order Primates; family Hominidae; genus Homo; species Homo sapiens. The sequence continues at coordinate 3,492,083 of NT_167249.2, read as the reverse complement.
ACCACCGCTGCCGCAGCCTGGCTGGGGAGGGGGCCAGCCCCCCAGGCCCCCTACCCCTCTGAGGTGTGGGCGGGAAAGGGATGGGAGGAGGAGGGAAGAGGGTGCTGAAAGCGACTAGGATGAGGGGAAGGGGAGAGATTGGGTCTGGGAGGGCCGACTGGGGGAGAGGGTTGCTGGGGAAAGGAGAGGGGCCGACTGGGAAGAGGGTTGCTGGGGATAGGAGAGGGGACCTGAGAGGGAGGAAGGATGGAAGAGACCTGGGAGGGAGGAGAAATGGAAACCCTTGTGAATTTGGGACTGGGAGCGTGCACAGGGAATCCTGGAGAGGGAATTCCCTACACCTTCCCCAATTCCTTTTCTTGCCCTTTGACCCCACATGACTCTTGAAGGGTCATGAGGGGAGAAGGCCAGCAGAATTTGCCTCTTAGGAATACCCTTAGGTGCCTCTGTTTCCATCTAGGCACAGGACCTCTTGTTTCTCAGTGGCCTTCCACACTGCTAGACCCTTACTGACACACAAATGCCTTATGGGAGCCATGTTTTCTACATTGAGTCTGTGTGCCTTTGACATGTTTAATGGCTTGTGTGCAACTAGGTTGTCCCAATGCTATCCATAGGCTGTGTAGAAATGGTGTGTTATTTTCTATCAGAATTGCCCATTCTTCATTCTTGTGTCCATGTCTCACATCCAGTTTTGACATGTTTTAAGTACCGCATGTGTGTGAGTTTTCATATATTGCACCTGTTCTATAATTTCATGTTACTTGCACATTTTATGTTTTGGCATGTTTATTTCAGCATGTGAAGGTTATATACCTTATTTTGCTTTGGCTGACATGTCCATGGTCCTACCATTTGCAGTAGTCTTCATGTGTGGGATCCCATGGCTTGGCTGAATACCCCACACTCTGATGTCTGACTGAATTGGCCTGTTTGCTGTGTTTTCCCAGTCACAGTTCACAGAACACATGTGTATGCGCCTTTGCATGATACACTGATGTAACAGGACCATAGAATGTGTGTTATAAATTTGTCATCAGTATATTTTGTGAGCCGTATGCTCATTAAATTTGGCCCTCCATTGCATTTCTAAATCCTTGGACTTTTGTTCTCCAAAGAGGGTCACTTAATATCAAGTGTTAAGAGAAGAAGGTAACTGGGTCTCCAGGTCTGCAAAGAACCATCCCTGCATGCCTTACCTTGGTGACCTCCCTGGCCCATACCTCTCTACACAAACATTATCTTTCCAGTGGCTGTGTACAGTCTGTGTCCATGAGCTCAATGCATGTCACAGGGTCAATCCTGCTGTGAACCCCATTGTTGGTATTTATTTATGGACATTATCCTCCATTCTTTGCACTGTTGGCACACATTTGATGAGAGCAGCATCTTTCCCTGTGGCATCTTGATCCCATTCGGTACATTTCTCTTGTGAGATGACCTCTTCCTGATTATTGTTACTCTGCCTTCATTATGGCTATGTATTGCATGTATCTATTCAGAGTCGGTTACCATTAGGCTTGGTGTGTTCGTTACTTTCTCAGTGACTTCTTTTAGTAGTCACTTCTACTCAAGAGGATAACTATCTAATTTGTGATCAGAACCGCCATCTCTGTCATTAACTGTGGCTCTATGGGTGGGTATACAGCCTTAGAATCTGTTCAGCAAGTGTTTATTGAGCACCTACTCCATCTCCTATTGTCCTGGCACTGGAGATAAGACAGAGTCCCTGTCCTTAAGCTGCTTACAGCCTAAGGAGGGAAACAAAAACGCCAGTCAACACATAGTGTGTTGTCAAGATCAGTGGTTCTTAAATTCAGGCGCACATCAGACTCACCAGAGGGCTTGTTGAAATACAGATTGCTAGCCAGCCACGATGGCTCACACCTGTAATCCCAACAGTTTGGAAGGCTGAGGCAGGAGGATCGCGTGAGTCCAGGAGTTCAAAACCAGCCTGAGTGACAGAGTGAGAAAAAGAAAAACAGATTGCTGGACCTAATGCCCAGAATTTCTGATTCAGTAGATCTGGGGTGAAGTCTAATAATTTGCATTTCTATACTTCGAGACCCGCTGATCAAGATAAAAGTGTAAGGAAAGCACAGGCCTGGAGGGGTTCAGGCAGCCCTCCAAAAGGTGACACTGAGCTGTGTGAGGCAGGAGAAGAGACAGGCATTCCAGCCAAAGGGAACAGCATGTTCAAGGTGGGGAAGCATGAAAGATCATGGTGTCTGAGGAACTGAAGTGAATCAGTTTGACTGGAACAAAGAGTTTTGTGAGGATGTGGTCGAAGATGTAAGCAGAAGTCAACTTATCAAGAAGAGCCTTTAGGCAAGACAGGGAAATGCTCTGTGTTTCAGAAAAATCTGTGCTAACAGAAAAATCTCTGTGGTTGCTACGTGGAAGATGGATTGGAGGGAGTTGGGAGCCTACTCCACATAGTTCAGGGGAGAAATGATGCTGTTCTGAACTTGTAGGGGCAGTGGGATGGAGCAGCTCAGAAAGCCTACGGTATTCCAACTGGCAGGGTCTCCTGTTTCCTCTATTGCCTGTTACCTTCTCGCTTGGCAATAGGCTTACCTTTGAGCATAGCCCTTCCCATCATGGGAAGACAGTGCCTGTGGCCTCAGTAGGAATGACAGGTATTTGCCTGAACACCCTTTTTGTGAATTGTTACCCTGCCCCCAACACTGGGGCAGAGTGGAGGAAGGAGGAAGAACCTAGAACACAGGTTCTGTGTTCCTGCCTCTCTTCCTCTTGAGCCCTTTCCTCTCCCAGGGCAAGTGCTGTTAGGTCACCTTTACTCCATTCCCTCCTTTTTTCACTTGGTGAGGCCTCACACACTGTACCTGCCCACGCAAAGTGTCACTAGAAGGAAGGGAAAGGGTAGTAGGATTCGTTTGCCTGTCTGGAGGTAGGATTGGTCTTTGTAGCTATTCCAGGTATGTCCATAAGTTTACCTAGGAATAGGGGAGCTGCCTGGGTGGAGAGGGATTTTTCTAGTTATGCATTTACATTCTTTTATCTGTCACTGGGTGTAATTATAAATTTGTGTCTATGTGTGAACATGTTAGTCTTTGTATGACTGTGTGTCTGTTGGCATTAGTGACACGAACTTTTAATCTTGCCATTTGGCCCTTGGGTATATGGCTGTGAGTGTTCTGTCACAATCACCATATATGCTGTGTGCTGTGTTCGTATATATATATGCAATACATACCAGTGTCAGCGTAATGGAGTGGTTAGGAACACAGGCGGCTTAGATTTAACCTAGAAACTGCTGTTTAGGAGCTGTATGACCTCAGGTAAGTTATTTAGCCTCCCTGGGCCTATTTCCTATAAAATGTAAATAGTAATAGTACTTTCTAGACTATCATATGCATCATTTTAAGAGTTTAACTTAATGTATAGACCAGTACTGTTCTACAGAAATATAATGCAAGCCACAATGTAATTTTTTTATGGTAGCCACATTTTTACAAGGCAAAAAGAGTGAAATTAATTTTAGTAATATATTTTCTTGAATCTGATAACATCCAAAAGATTATAATTTCTTTTTTTTTTTTTGGAAATGGAGTCTCACTCCATTGCCCAGGCTAGAGTGCAGTGGCGTGATCTTGGCTCACTGCAACCTCCGCCTCCCGGATTCAAGCGATTCTCCTGCCTCAGCCTCCCGAGTAGCTGGGATTAAAGGCATGCGCCAACAGGCCCGGCTAATTTTTGTATTTTTAGTAGAGACGGGGTTTCACCATGTTGGTCAGGCTGGTCCTGAACTCCTGACCTCGTGATCTGCCCACCTCGGCTTCCCAAAGTGCTGGGATTACAGGCGTGAGCCACTGCGCCTGGCCCAAGATTATAATTTCAAAATGTAGTCAGCATAAAAGATTAGTAATGGATATCTCACATTTTGTTTTTTATTCAGTCTTTGAAATCTGATGTGTATTTTACATTTCCAGCACATCTCAGTTCAGACTAGCTGCATTTCAAGTAGCCACATGTAGGTGGTGGCTACTTTCTCGGACAGCACAAGTATAGACCATTATAAGACCCTTACCAGCTACAAGTGTTAGCTATTATTCTTGTTGTCATTTATTATCAGGTATCTGTGAATTGTAGATGTCTGTGTCTTGTGTCTCTTGTCTGAATATATCCGGAGCCTTTGGGAAGAGTGGTGGGAGAGCAGTCCTGAGCTCTTTCTCCACCACCCTCATCCTAGAGAGCCTTCCTGGGAAGGTTTCAATGAGACCCCTGCCCCAGTTTGTGTCTCAGGCCCTTGTCCTCATAGCACCAGCCCCCAGCCCTGCCTTCTGTGCCTTGCCTACCCCACTCTCCTCCAGAAACCAGGCTGATTGTCCCTTGCCCCATCCCCTGCAGGTGGCCAGAATGGATTTGTGGCCAGGGGCATGGATGCTGCTGCTGCTGCTCTTCCTGCTGCTGCTCTTCCTGCTGCCCACCCTGTGGTTCTGCAGCCCCAGTGCCAAGTACTTCTTCAAGATGGCCTTCTACAATGGCTGGATCCTCTTCCTGGCTGTGCTCGCCATCCCTGTGTGTGCCGTGCGAGGACGCAACGTCGAGAACATGAAGTGAGGGGCAAGGGGTCTTGGGCAATGAGGGAACCTAAGGGTACAAAGTGAGTAGTGGATTGGGGGAAGGGGGCATGGTGTGTGTAGAAAAGACTGAGAGAGACCAGAGACAGGGAATGGGGAGAGGACTGCAAAGGTGGTCAGAAAGACAGTAAGGTGGGGGGAGCTGAGGCATGCAGATGGACATCAATGGATCCCACTGGGACCCCTTGCCATGACCCCACAGGATCTTGCGTCTAATGCTGCTCCACATCAAATACCTGTACGGGATCCGAGTGGAGGTGCGAGGGGCTCACCACTTCCCTCCCTCGCAGCCCTATGTTGTTGTCTCCAACCACCAGAGCTCTCTCGATCTGCTTGGTGAGACCCCACCACAGGGCACACCTCCCCCAGCCATGCCTCCCCTCCTGAAACCTTCCCTAGAATATCTTCTCCTAGAGATCCTCAATTCCCCTTCCTCTGGGACATTGCCCCCTTGCCTCCCACTCAGGCCTTCATTCCCTGGGTAGAACTGCCCTCATAAGCAGGGTACATATACTTTTGGTCACCCTTTCCTTCACTTGGGGCCCCCCTCCCTGCCTAGTCTCCTCCTTCACCTCCAGTCCCTACCAGAGGGTGATGAGCTGGGTGAGGTGGGTTGCCTTCTGTGACACTCTGCCTCCACCCCGATCCTCACCCACTCCCACCCTGCCCAAGGGATGATGGAGGTACTGCCAGGCCGCTGTGTGCCCATTGCCAAGCGCGAGCTACTGTGGGCTGGCTCTGCCGGGCTGGCCTGCTGGCTGGCAGGAGTCATCTTCATCGACCGGAAGCGCACGGGGGATGCCATCAGTGTCATGTCTGAGGTCGCCCAGACCCTGCTCACCCAGGACGTGAGTCATCCTGGGGAAATGGGGGATTGGAGGGATACAGAGTAGAACAGTTGTAAATAAACTGATATGCAGGGCCAGTGGGCCTCAAAGGTCCCATTATAACATCACACCTATTCTGACTCCTCCATATGTATTTGTCTTCTTTGACCCTCTTTCTCCCCCAGGTGAGGGTCTGGGTGTTTCCTGAGGGAACGAGAAACCACAATGGCTCCATGCTGCCCTTCAAACGTGGCGCCTTCCATCTTGCAGTGCAGGCCCAGGTGACTACTGCTCTTCGTTCTGCTACTCAGCTGCCAACCCCCACCATTCCCTCATCTCTGGGCAGGGGCTTATTGTAGGAGTCTCTGAAGAGAGCTGTGGACTGACCTGCTTTAACCCTTCCCCAGGTTCCCATTGTCCCCATAGTCATGTCCTCCTACCAAGACTTCTACTGCAAGAAGGAGCGTCGCTTCACCTCGGGTGAGGGCTTTGAGCAGTTCTGGGGTAGGGTGTGTCCGGAGAGGCTGGGAGGACATCCCTGTGAGGCAGGGGGATCATTCAGTGTCAGAGCCATGAGATGTCTACACAGTCATCTAGTCTAACCCCACATCAGCCAATAAGTCTTTACTAAGCACCCACCATACCCTGCCAGATGGGTAGCACTTGGTCCCACCAAGAGAGGCTGTTACTAATCTTAACAGGAAAGATAAGGCCTGTGTGCACAAAGCTGTAATGAATAACACTCATTCAGCAGTAAATGCCAAACCCAGAGGAGGGGGGCTGGAGGGGTGCTGAGGAGATGTCTGAACTGGGGATTGGAGAAGGCTTTGTATAGGAGAAGGGCCTCAGAAGTGGCAGCTGGCAAGCCCAGGGATGGTTGTCCAGGGTTGGGGGAAGAGAACTGAAAGGTTGAGGAAGAGTATCACTCGGAAGCTGGGCCCCACCTGTGGGCAAAGACCTGGGTGGACAGGCCATGATGGTGCTCCCCTTGCCCCAGGACAATGTCAGGTGCGGGTGCTGCCCCCAGTGCCCACGGAAGGGCTGACACCAGATGACGTCCCAGCTCTGGCTGACAGAGTCCGGCACTCCATGCTCACTGTTTTCCGGGAAATCTCCACTGATGGCCGGGGTGGTGGTGACTATCTGAAGAAGCCTGGGGGCGGTGGGTGAACCCTGGCTCTGAGCTCTCCTCCCATCTGTCCCCATCTTCCTCCCCACACCTACCCACCCAGTGGGCCCTGAAGCAGGGCCAAACCCTCTTCCTTGTCTCCCCTCTCCCCACTTATTCTCCTCTTTGGAATCTTCAACTTCTGAAGTGAATGTGGATACAGCGCCACTCCTGCCCCCTCTTGGCCCCATCCATGGACTCTTGCCTCGGTGCAGTTTCCACTCTTGACCCCCACCTCCTACTGTCTTGTCTGTGGGACAGTTGCCTCCCCCTCATCTCCAGTGACTCAGCCTACACAAGGGAGGGGAACATTCCATCCCCAGTGGAGTCTCTTCCTATGTGGTCTTCTCTACCCCTCTACCCCACATTGGCCAGTGGACTCATCCATTCTTTGGAACAAATCCCCCCCACTCCAAAGTCCATGGATTCAATGGACTCATCCATTTGTGAGGAGGACTTCTCGCCCTCTGGCTGGAAGCTGATACCTGAAGCACTCCCAGGCTCATCCTGGGAGCTTTCCTCAGCACCTTCACCTTCCCTCCCAGTGTAGCCTCCTGTCAGTGGGGGCTGGACCCTTCTAATTCAGAGGTCTCATGCCTGCCCTTGCCCAGATGCCCAGGGTCGTGCACTCTCTGGGATACCAGTTCAGTCTCCACATTTCTGGTTTTCTGTCCCCATAGTACAGTTCTTCAGTGGACATGACCCCACCCAGCCCCCTGCAGCCCTGCTGCACCATCTCACCAGACACAAGGGGAAGAAGCAGACATCAGGTGCTGCACTCACTTCTGCCCCCTGGGGAGTTGGGGAAAGGAACGAACCCTGGCTGGAGGGGATAGGAGGGCTTTTAATTTATTTCTTTTTCTGTTGAGGCTTCCCCCTCTCTGAGCCAGTTTTCATTTCTTCCTGGTGGCATTAGCCACTCCCTGCCTCTCACTCCAGACCTGTTCCCACAACTGGGGAGGTAGGCTGGGAGCAAAAGGAGAGGGTGGGACCCAGTTTTGCGTGGTTGGTTTTTATTAATTATCTGGATAACAGCAAAAAAACTGAAAATAAAGAGAGAGAGAGATCTGGGTGTTGGTGGTTGCATTTGTTAAGGAATTGAAGAAGCAGTTCTTGCCCAGGCAACCTGCCCCCAGCCAGAAGACTCAGGGGCAGGCCAAGAACACAGGCCTCCCCCTTTCTTCAGCTCTCTGAAGTTTCCATTGTTCATTGCTCTTTGGTGGCTGATAGCCTTATCTGCAGCTCACAGTCGGCCAATCCCAGAGGATTAGTGGGTCCGGTTTCTGTATAAATTAGGGGGCAGGGGTGCTGTAGAGGCTTCTTATCGATGATTGACGCCGAGGCCCAGGCTGTTGTCCTCACAGGAGCCTGGTTAATGACATGGCAGACACAGTGGCTGTGGTCAGCCTGGAGTGGACTACACTGCCACTCTCACCAAACAATAAGTGAAACTGTTGGGCTGGGGACAGGATTTCAGAAGAGAACGATGGTAAAGTGGAGAGGCATGAGGATAGTGAATGTTGGAGAGGGGCTTGGAGGAAAGAGGGAATGCCTGAATGGAGAGGGGTCTTGGGGAAAGTTGGGGAATAGAAGTCAAGGCGGGAGGAGTGTGAGGACTCACAGGCACCTAGCCTCTCCTCCAGCAGCAGCACCTGGTCGCTGAGAGATTCGATCCGGTCACCCCGGCCCCACAGCTCAGCCACCTGTTCTGGCTGCAGCTCTTCAGGCGGCACGGGCAGCACCGCTCTGACCCAGGCCCCAGCCTGACCGGCCCACTAGAAAGGAAGAGATGCCTCAGGGTATTGACAGTGACGTCTGGCCTCGCCCCACCCAGCAGGCTTGGCTCACCTGCTCCAGCCGCTCCAGGCGCCCTCGCAGCTCGTGAATCTCCTGCTTCAGAGCGCGCTCATCTTTTTCCGCCTCCCGAACTAGGGACAAAGGAGACCAAGAGTGTGACCACTACCCGAGCCCGGACGCCCGTCCCGAGTCCCTCGGGTGGCCCGTACTCCTGCCCACTCACCGGCCACGCTGAGTATGCTGGCACTGGTTGGGGGCTCTGGGGACCCCTCCATGCAGGTGCGCCCGTCCACGCCTAGCACTAGGTCATGGGGGCAGCCGCAGGTGAAGCTGCCTGCCGTATTAAAACAATGGTGCGAGCAGAGGGTGATGCTGGTCCTACATTCATCCACGTCTAGTTACCGAAAAAAGGAAGGGGCTGAGAGAGGGGGCGGGGGCAAGCACCTGGGTAGGTGGGGAGGACAAGCTGACTCACCCACATGACAGTGCTTCCCTCCCCAGCCGGGGGCGCACTCGCACTGGTCAGGCCTAACGCAGACGCCTCCGTTCAGGCAAGGCTTGGCGCAGATGGCTGAGGACAGAGGAAGTGGGGTTCAGACTCAAACCGACGACCCAGCTCCCCAGCTCCGTGGGGCGCGCCTCCCGCAAGGCCCGGAAGACCCAGCCTCACCTTCACAGGTGAGCGCCCCCGGGTGCCGCTTCTTCCAGCCCTGGCAGCACACTGCATGGGTCTGCTGAACCTCCCGCCTCACCTCCCGCCACATAACGCGGTACATGGTCCTGGAACACAGCGCCCGGCTCAGGACCCTGAGTACGGGTCCTAGTTGGGGTTCTTGGGGTCCCATCTCCCCATCCCTCACCTGTAAGTGCTGCAGATGCGCCTCCCAGCGCACAAGGTCAGGTAGGGCTTGTACACTGGTTGGCTGTAGGACTCGTTGTAGTGGAGCGGGACCACCAGTGTCTGCTTGGAGCAGACTCCCTGACTGCGTCCATGCCAGAGGATGAGGTGGGAGAGATTGAGTAGGCCAGGCCCTGGGGAGCCAGGAGTCCCACTTCCCTCAAGAGGCTACTGAGGCCCCCCGCTCTCCCTCCAGATGACAGCCTCTCACCCCCATTCTAAACTTACAGTTATGTTTTGCCTCCTGTGAAGCCCCACCCCCAGCAGAAGGCTCCTGAGAAGAGCTCACCCCGGGCCCTACCCCCTCTGTTGTCACCTCTCTCTGAGGGATCCACCCTTGGCCCCCTCGCCTGGTATCAGTAGCAGGAGGAAGGAGAATCCGCCTAAGAGAGTGCACAGCTCAGCCCTGGACCCCATGATTCGCTTTGACGCTGGACCCTACAGGCTGCAGGCAAGAAAAGGTTAATGGATGCCCGTCCCCTCTCCTATTAATTTCTCCAGCACTAGTCCCTCCAAGGGCACTCTGCAGGTACCCTCTAAGGGAGTCAGGACATTCACTTTTACATACTAGCCACCAGGATTGCCTACACCTGTGTGTACAACCCAACACTATCCTGTCCTTAGCATATCATGATCCTTTCAGCATCATAAAAGCTCACACCCCAGCACACTCCCTCCACCTCCCCTCTAACCTACTTACTTCTAATCCCCTCTGCACAACCTGGAGGGACACACAGTCAACCCTCCCCTTATGACCCTCCTGTCTTTTTTTGGGTTTTTTTTTGTTTTTGTTTTTGAGAAGGAGTTTCGCTCTTACTACCCAGGCTGGAATGCAATGGCATGTTCTTGCCTCACCGCACGACCTCCGCCCCCCAGGTTCAAGTGATTCTCCTGCCTCAGCCTCCCAAATAGCTGGGATTACAGGCATGCGCCACCACGCCTGGCTAATTTTGTTTTGTTTTGTTTTGTAGGGTGTGAGGGTATATAGCTAGGGTTTTTTTTTTTTTGGTTTTTTTTTTGTTGTTGTTTTTTGAGACGGAGTCTCGCTGTCACCCTGGCTGGAGTGCAGTGGTGCGATCTCGGCTTGCTGCAAGCTCCGCCTCCCGGGTTCATGCCATTCTCCTGCCTCAGCCTCCCGAGTAGCTGGGACTACAGGCGCCTGCCACCACGCCCGGCTAATTTTGTTTTGTATTTTTAGTAGAGACGGGGTTTCTCCATGTTGGTCAGGCTGGTCTCGAACTCCCGACTTCAGGTGATCCGCCTGCCTTGGCCTCCCAAAGTGCTGGGATTACAGGTGTGAGCCACCATGCCTGGCCAACCCTCCTGTCTTTAACATGCCCTCTTATAACTTCATACCTTCAAAACCCTAGCTGGTTGGGCGCGGTGGCTCACACCTGTAATCCCAGCACTTTGGGAGGCTGAGGTGGGTGGATCATGAGGTCAGGAGTTCGAGACCAGCCTGGCCAAGATGGTGAAACCCCATCTCTACTAAAAAATACAAAAAATTAGCCAGGCGCAGTGGTGGACGCCTGTAATCCCAGCTACTCGGGAAGCTGAGGCAGGAGAATCCCTTGAACCCTGGAGGCAGAGGTTGCAGTGAACCAAGATCATGCCACTGCACTCTAGCCTGGGCGACAGAGCAAGACTCCGTCTCAAAAAAACAAACAAAACAAACAAACAAAAAAAACCCCTAGCTATATACCTTCACACCGTACACACAAACCAAGCACCTGGAAACTCCACACCTTTCACACACTGCTACTCCCCTCATATACCCACACCGTCACATAACGCCCTAAATGCACATCCCTTGCTCCAACAAAACACCCCGCAACTCATGCCCACCCTAAGGCTCTGAGTAAACCCCACTCTTTCCCCATTTGAAATTCTCTCCCCACTTGCCTTCCTCTCTCTCTCCATTCCCACCTGGCTTCTTTCTCCTGGGAGGCTTCAAGCAGACCAGCCTCAGCAGAAGCAGCTCAGACTGGTGGGTGGGCCTGGCAGGCTAAGAAGGAGAGGAGGGGCTGGGCCAGAGAGTCCTCCCATTCCTGCCCCCTCCCACAAGCCTCCTCCTTAGCTCCAGCAGGGTCAGCTCAGTAGGGTCAAGTCCCACTACCCTCATCCCCATCCCAGCAAAGGGCTCCCTAGAAGTATCTTTCCAACCCTCTGAGGCCCCTATTTCTGGACTCCCCAGATCAGAAGCTATGAGCTCTGTAACACCACCAGTACCCCCTTGAACCCAAAACAGACTAGGGGAGAGTTAGGGGGCAGGGAGAGAACCAGCTGCAGGGAACAAAGCAGTTCAGGTTATGGGAGAAAAAGCAAGATCAGCTGAGGAAAGCTAGAAGGGCAAGTCGTCACAAAGGGGCAGGGGGGCAGCCCAGGGCACCAAGGGGAAAACTGCCCCCCTCTCTTCATGACATTTGTTAGGGCTTAGGGGGAACAGAATTGAGTCAGCCACCACCCCCCATGCCAGAACAGACAGGGCCCTATTGTCTCAGCCAAAATTCCTTCTTTCAAGGAAGAGGAGGCTCATTGTCCAGCCCTACACCCAGCTCTGGCCCACAAAGCTCAAAAGCGGCACAACGAATGCCCACCCTGACCCTCTGCCCCCTCGTCTAGCCTGGGGGTGGCAGGCGCATTCCACCCATGAGGCTGAGGCCCAAACCACTGGAGCCCTGAGCTTAACCCCCCAGTCTTGGGGACTGGGAGAGGAAGAGAATTGTCTTCAGCAGGAAAGAACCCGCAGAGAACCAGGAACCCACAAAGAATGGGCATTGAGAGAGAGCGGAAACACCAAGGGGGTCCCCACCCTAGACCAGGCATCTGGGCACCCAGGCCTCAGGCTCCGCCCCCACCCTCCTTGGGGAGCCAGGTCCCCTCCACCTGGAAATGAGCCAAGTCACACTGAGGAAATGGAACTTTATTTCCATAAATACAGGGATAACACCTATTCAAAGGTAGTTAAAAGAGGGCCTGGGGCCTCAAAGAAACTAGGCTCTCCCAGGGGGGTACTCCAACACTGATCATAGGGACTGGGGGATCCCCAAACCTGAGATGGGCCTCATAGGCCACAGATATTCCCCAACACTGACACTTCAAGAACGGAACTGTCCCCATAGGGGAGCCTCAGAACCCCACTCTCATGGGTAGTCCCTCTTAGGAGTTGGGAGGGCTGATGTCAGGGGACTTTAGAGAAAAAAGGGAACATGGGGAGGAGAGAAGCTAAAAATGTCCTGAGTGGCCTGGAAGGAGACCCCTGTGGTGGGCAGGGGGTGGGTTCTCCACCCATACAGCCAGATACGGAGGAGCAGCAGCAGCAAAAGCAGCCACAAGTTAAAAACATGGTTTCTCACTTCCCAACTTCGGCCTTGAGAGAAAGGGACAGCACGGAGCAATCCCCCAAATGAGAGGACATGAGGTAGGGGAGGCCTGGAATTGTCATTCATGGAGGAGCAGAGGAAGGGGGTTCTGGGAGGCCAAGTCTCTACTAAAACCCCGTCTCTACTAAAAATGGGGGATAATATGGGAGCAATGAGGTGGTCACAGGCACACCAAAGCCTGACATCTGCTTTCCAAGGCCACCACTTGGTCTCTGGACCGAGGAGTTCCTGGGGACCCCTGAATATATCCTCAGGAGAGCCAAGGTTCAATGCAGGTCTCATAAAGGGTACGGTTGGAGTGCCAGGCTGTGTGGGAGATACCGGCCATTGGACACCTCACTATGGCCCCCCGGGCCAATAGAGTCTTCAACCCAAAAGAATCCCGCAGATAAACCTTCAAGGTGGTCGAAGGGGCGTGGAAGCATGGAAGAGAGACACAAGGAGAGACAAAGTGAGTTACTGCTGGGATCCTGGACCTCCTCCCCACAGGGTGAACCCTTCAGCTCAGGAGTCACAGAGAGGGCTCTGGAATAAGGTGGGACAGCGGCTAGAAGGGGAAGTAATCCCAGGGGGCTCACCAGTTGCTCCTCCATCTCCAGGACGGTCTCATTTGCATCATAGAAACCAAAGAAGCTACAAAGAGATTTGGGGGGAGGTCATCAGAAGAGCTGGAGAAAATCTGGCCGGGCGCAGTGGCACACGCCTGTAATTGCAGCACTTTGGGAGGCCAAGGAGGGCAAATCACCTGAGGCCAGGAGTTCAAGACCAGCCTGACCAAAATGGTGAAACCCCATCTCTACTAAAAATACAAAAATTAGCTGGGCATGGTGGCAGATGCCTGCAAGCCCAGCTACCCAAGAGGCTGAGGCAGGATAATTACTTGAACCCGGGAGGTGGAGGTTGCATTGAGTCGAGATCGCACCACTGCACTTCAGCCTGGGTGACAGAGCGGGACCCCATCTCAAAAAGGAAAGGAAAGGAAAAAGGAAAGAAAAAAGAAAAGGAAAAAAGAAAGGAAGAAATCAAGGTGGGCTAAGGTCCCAAAGGAACCCAAGGCCTACTGGGGAGACAGGTAGCAGGGAGGACACTCAAAACTACCTTACTGGATATAATGTACTTCATGAGGTGATACACTGAAGATACGACCTCACTTCTGTAGAAACCCCATCAAAAATGCATTACTGGCCGGGCGAGGTGGCTCACACCTGTAATCCCAGCACTTTGGGAGGCCAAGGCCGGCGGATCACCTGAGGTCGGGAGTTCAAGACCAGCCTGGCCAACGTGGTGAAACCCCATCTCTACTAAAAATACAAAATTAGCTGGGCGTGGTGGCTCAAGCCTGTAATCCCAGCACTTTGGGAGGCCGAGGAGGGTGGATCATCTGAGGTCAGGAATTCGAGACCAGCCTGGCCAACACGGAGAAACCCTGTCTCTACTAAAAATACAAAATTAGCTGGGCGTGGTGGACGCCTGTAATCCCAGCTACTCAGGAGGCAGAGGCAGGAGAATTGCTTGATTCTGGGACGCAAAGGTTGCAGTGAGCCGGGATGGCGCCACTGCACTCCAGCCTGGCGACAGAGTGAGACTTTGTCTCAAAAAAAAAAAAAAAAGAGGCCAGGTGTGGTGGCTCATGCCTGTAATCCCAGCACTTTGGGAGACCAAGGAGGGTGGATCACCTGAGGTCAGGAGTTCAAGACCAGCCTGGCCAACATGGAGAAACCCCGTCTCTACTAAAAATACAAAATTAGTTGGGCATGGTGGTGGGCGCCTATAATCCCAGCTACTCAGGAGGCTAAGACAGGAGAATCACTTGAACCTGGCAGGCGGAGGTTGCAGTGGGCCGAGATTTGCCATTGCACTCCAGCCTGGGCAACAAGAGTGAAACTCCAACTCAAACAAACAAACAAACAAAAAGATACTAAAGAGACGTAACAAGATCATGCAACTCAAGATCCTGATTTGGATCTTCCACTGTATATTTTTTTCTGTAAGGACAGTTGGAAAAATTTGAATAATCTGTGAGCGCATATTCAGGAAAATTTGAATCTATGTTTATATTTAAATATAACATTAACGTATATAAATAAATGTATATATATTTAGAGAAAAAAGATATTAATGTAAACATGACAAAATGTTAACATTTGCGAAATCTAGGTGAGGAGTATAAATGACTGCTTTTTGCTATTTTGGTAACTTTTTTTTTTTTTTTTGAGACAGGGTCTTACTCTGTCACCCAGGCAGGAGTGCAATGGTGAGATCTCGGCTCACTGCAGCCTTGGCCTCCTAGGCTCAAGCAATTCTCGTACCTCAGCCTCCCAAGTAGCTGGGACTACAAGGGCACACCACCACGCCCAGCTAATTTTTGTATTTTAGGTAAAGACAGGGTTTTGCCATGTTGCCCAGGCTGGTCTCAAACCCCTGGGCTCATGCCTCGGCCTCCCAAAGTGCTAGGATTACAGGCGCAAACTTTTCTTAAGTATGAAATTATTTCAAAATAGAAAGGTCTTAAAATCCTTTTTTTCTTTTTTTTTTGAGACAGAGCCTTGCTCTGTCACCCAGGCTGGAGTGCAGTGGCACCCTGTCGGCTCATTGCAACCTCCGCCTCCTGGTTTCAAGTTCTCCTGCCTCAGCCTCCTGAGTAGCTGGAACTACAGGCGTGCGCCACCAGGCCCACTAATTTTTGTATTTTTAGTAGAGATGGGGTTTCTCAATGTTAGCCAGCTGTTCTCGAACTCCTGACCTCAGGTGATCCACCCGCCTCGGCTTCCCAAAGTGCTGGGATTATAGGCGTGAGCCACCGCACCCAGCCAGATGGAGTTAAAATCTTTTAATTAAAAAATATTGGCCAGGCAAGGCCGGGTGCGTGGGCTCACGCCTATAATCCTAGCACTTTGGGAGGCCGAGGCGGGTGGATCACGAGGTCAGGAGATCGAAACCATCCTGGCTAACACAGTGAAACCCCGTCTCTACTAAAAATACAAAAAAATTAGCCGGGCGTGGTGGCGGGTGCCTGTAGTCCCAGCGACTCAGGAGGCTGAGGCAGGAGAATGGCGTGAACCTGGGAGGCAGAGCTTGCAGTGAGCCGAGATCACGCCACTGCACTCCAGCCTGGGCGACCGAGCGAAGACTCCAACTCAAAAAATATATATCTATCTATATATAGAGAGAGATATATATTGGCCAGGCGCAGTGGCTCACGCCTGTAATCCCAACACTTTGGGAGGCCGAAGCAGGCGGATCACAAGGTCAGGAGATCGAGACCATCCTGGCTAACACAGTGAAACCCCGTCTCTACCAGAAATACTAAAAATTAGCCAGGCATGGTGGTGGGCACCTGTAGTCCCAGCCACTTGGGAGGTGAGGCAGGAGAATGGCTTGAACCCAGGAGGCGGAGGTTGCAGTGAGCCGAGATTGTGCTATTACACTCTAGCCTGGGCGACAAGAACAAAACTCTGTCTCAAAAAAAAAAAAAAGGAAGAAACAGTGACTTGGAACATTAAAAATGTTATATAACCATGAGCTATCACTGTCATTCATAGGGTTGTGGTAGATGTGAAATGACATGATGTACATAAAACTCATCACTTACTATTATATTATTACAATATTTTAAGAGATGTCCTGCCTTCACTGAAAACTGTCCAGTGCCTTCCCATCTCACTCAGAATTTAAAAAAAAAAATCAAAAGCCTGGTTACCGGGACTGTCGGGAAATAGGGATGAGGATATATATATATATATATATTTTTTTTTTTTTTTTTTTTTTGAGATGGAGTTTCGCTCTTGTTGCCCAGGCTGGAGTGCAATGGCGCAATCTCAGCTCACTGCAACCTCTGCCTCCCAGGTTCAAGCGATTCTCCTGCCTCAGCCTCCCAAGTAGCTGGGATTACATGCATGCATCACCACACCCAGCTAGTTTTGTATTTTTAGTACAGACAGGGTTTCTCCATGTTGGTCGGGCTAGTCTCGAACTCCCGACCTCAGGTGATCCACTGCCTCGGCCTCCCAAAGTGCTGGGATTACAGGCGTGAGCCACCACACCCAGTCTATTTTTTAATGGGTATACGGTTTCAGTTTGGGGAAAAAGAAGTTCTGGAGATGGATGGTGCTGATGGGTGATGGTTTTACAATGATGTGAGTATACTTAATGCCACAAAACTGTACATTTTTAAATGGTTAAAATGGCAATTTTATGTTATGTATATTTTATCACAAAAAAAAGAAAAAAAAATATCAAGGGCCTTACCTTGACCTGCTAAGGTTTGACATGCCTGGTCCCCTGCTACCACTTTTAGCTCCTCTCCTGTCCTCTCCCCAGCTCCTTGTGCACTAGCCATGCTGGCCTCCTTATTGCTCACACGTGCTTCAGGGCCTCTGCAGGTGCCAGACCTTCTCCCTGGGGGGTTCTTCCACCCAGAGCACAACTCCCTCCTTCACTTCCTTCAGTCTCTAATTGAATGGTGACTTTTCCAGGAGGACTTCTTCGGCCACTATTGAAACTAGGCCCCGGACATCCTCTAATCCTTTCCCCTGCCTTATTACCTGACATATATATTTGTATGTATGTATCAGCTATCTTACAAACTAGAATATAAGCTACATAACATTAGGGACTTCTCTTTTATTTACCACTGCATCCCTAGGGCCCAGAACAAGCCTGCGCCCATAATGTTGAATAAATATTTGTTGAGCAATTCAAGTAGCTCAGGTGACATTACAGATCACACATGGTGACCTATAACACAGGCAAGCACATAGTACCATGGAGCCATGGATTTTTTTCTAAGGAATAGGATGGAGGGGACAAAGCTGGAGGCTGTTATAATAGTCCAGGTAAGTAAAGAGGTGGTAGGAAATGTGATAAAATGGTATAAAACTACACACACACATTGAACCAATGTGAATTTCCTGGTTTTGATACTGTGCTATAATTACATAGGATGCAACCACTGGGGGAAGCTGGGTGAAGGGCCTCGCTATACTATCTTTGCAATTTCCTATGAATCTATAAGAATTTCAAAATTAAAAGTTTTTATAAAGTGGGGGAGGGGGTGATAGGGATGGAGAGGAGAAGAGTCAGCAGGACTTAGTGACTGGCTTGATACAAGGGGTTGGGATATGACTCCCAGGTTTTGGTCTTGGGTGACATGATGAATGGGGGGAGGAGCACTAACTGAACAGTGGAAGGAGCAGGCCAGTTTAGGCATGAGATAAAGACCAACTGGGGTTGGGGGATGTCTTTAGCCAATCTTCAGGCCACAAAATCCCTTATTACCTGGACTGCCAGGGAGTAATAACACCATCATCAGGGCCCCCAATCAGCACCAGGTGGCCCACACGCAGAAAGTTCTTCCGCCATACTGTAGGATGGGAAGAAGAGAGGCTGAGTCAGCCACAGGGGTCAGGCCAGGTTGGAGAGGGAGACATAGGGAGTCAAAGAAGCAGAAAAAGCAACACAGGTAGGAGCCTGAATTCTCACCTGTGGCATTGGGATGGTCTCTTTCCCCATTGATCAGGGCCAGGAAGCTGCTGGCATTGAGGTACAAGTCATCGTGGTGGGGATCTGGGTACAAACAGCAGTTAGAAAAAGAAGCAGAAAAGGGAGGCAAGACTGGTGGTGAAAAGCCCAATAAGGAAGCTGCAGCAATAGTCAAGGTGGATAGTAATAAAATAGTAGTGATAATGTAGGCCAGGTGCGGTGGCTCACACCTGTAATCCCAGCACTTTGGGAGGTAGAGGCAGGTGGATCACTTGAAGTCGGGAGTTTGAGACCAGCCTGGCTAACATGGCGAAACCCTGTCTCTACTAAAAATACAAAAGTTAGCCAGGCGTGGTGGTGCATGCCTGTAATCCCAGTTACTCGGGGCGCTGGAATCACTTGAACCCAGGAGGTGGAGGTTACAGTGAGCCGAGACTGCACCACTGCACTCCATCCTGGGAGACACAGTGAGACTCCATCTCAAAATAATAATAGTAGTGATAACAACCGTAAACATAGTAACAAGTACTTTTTTTTTTTTTAGATGAAATCTCACTCCGTCACCCAGGCTGAAGTGCAGTGGCAGGATCTCCGCTCACTGCAACATCTGCCTCCCGGGTTCAAGCAATTCTCCTGACTCAGCATCCTGAGTAGCTGGGATTACAAGCGTGTGCCCACATTCAGCTAAATTTTTTTTGTATTTTTAGTAGAGATGGGGTTTCACCATGTTGGCCAGGCTGGTCTCGAACCCGACCTCAGGTGATGCGCCCACCTCCCCCTGCCAAGATATTGGGATTACAGGTGTGAGCCACCACACCTGGCAATAGCAAGTACTTCTATCTAGTATCTACTATATGAGCCAGGTACTATTCAAAGTACATTGCATTCATTTATTTATTTAATCCTTACAACCACCTGGTGAAGTACATGCTATAATATTTTACAGATAAGGAAAACTGAGTAACAGAATGGTTAAGTAACTTGCCCAAAGGCACCCAATAGGGTCAAGATTCAAACCCAAGTATTCTGGCCCCATGGTCTGGTCTAGAGGTTGGCAAACTGTGACCAAAGGACCAAATCCAGCCTGCTACTTGTTTTTGTAAATGAAGTTTTACTGGAACACAGGCACATTCATTCACATATGGTACATGGCTGCTTTCACACTACAACAGCAGAATTGAGGAGTTGTGAAACAGACTATATGTCCTACAAAGTCAAAAATATTTACTCTCTGGCCCTTTATAGACAAGGTTTGCTGACTCCCACATCAGACTAAACCTTCTAAGGCAATAAGGTGACACACTTAAAACATTCTGGGCCAGGTGCAATGGTTCACACCTGTAATCCCAGCACTTTGGGAGGCCGAGGCGAGTGGATCACCTGAGGTCAGGAGTTCGAGACCAGCCTGGCCAACATGGCGAAACTCCATCTCTACTTAAAATACAAAACTTAGCCGGGCATGATGGCGCCTGCCTGTAATCCCAGCTACTAGGGGGACTGAGGCAGGAGGATCACTTGAACCTGGGAGGCGGAGGTTGCAGTGAGCCGAGATGGTGCACTGCACTCCAGCCTGGGCAACAGAACAAGACTCCGTCTCAAAAAAAAAAAAAATTCTGAACAGAGCCTGTTCAAATAACTCAATAAATGTAAGTTATCTTTATTGTCATCACTGCTATTGGTTGTAGCAGAGGTGGAAGCAACTGACCTGATCCATGGAAGCCCCAGTTCAGCATCCCCACTCACCATGCCAGTAGTTGCAGATGGAGAATTCCTGGCCCCAGGGGCTATAGCAGATCCGATAGAGGTTAGACCGCATGGAGGTGGGGAACAGCCACTTCAAGTAGTCCGTGTCTGGCAAGCGAATGGCAATGCTAAGTGACCATAAACCTCTGTTCCCCCAAAACTCAGGGCATTCTATGGAGTCTAGTGCCCACTCACCTCCATACTGTCCCATCTGTGGAGAGGAGAGGGAGATGAAAGAATCCACGTTGTGATCATCCATGACAGAAAGCAGAGCCCGGCACACAAGGCCCCCTGTAAGCAGAACACCACATTGGGCAGGCACTTAAGGACAGCAAAGCCAGCAGCACCCCCCACCCCCACCACACACACACACACACACACACACACACACACAGAGACACACACAGACACACACTGTACACAAAGGAGACTGAGGCTTACAGAAGGCAGGCACACCCTGTGCCAAAAGGTCACACATCATATAAGTGACTGAGCCCGAATTAGATGCTGGGCCTCCTGCCTCTAGTTCTAGGATGTTTTTACCTGCCCCATTAGCCCTTATGTCCAAGAACCATGGGTAACAGGAAGCAAAAGGGCAGCAGTGTAGGGAGCCTCCCTCCCATTCAAGACAGAGATGAGACCCAGGTGCTGAGGGAAGTCAGAAAGGAAGGGCTCAGGTACCAGGGTTGTGCCTGGAGCAATGTGGTTCAGAAAAAGGGACGCTAGGAAGTGTCCCTCAGATAAGGATCAAGCCTCAGATAGGGCTTAGGAGTTAGGGGCAGGGGAGTCGCCTACCCTGCGAGTAGCAGATGAGATGCACCCCTTGAGGGGCCTTTGCCATGATGGGGACCACAGCCTCTCGGAACCCTTGCACCTGTTCCCACAGGGGTCGCAAGCTCTCTCTCCCATCGAAGAGATCGAGCACTGTCACCACAGTCCCGGGGTGTGTCTGTGGGAAGGGGGCAATGCAGCCACCGGGGATAGGCTAAGAAGCTCCCACACGCCACCCCCTGGCCCGCGTCCACAGGTCTATTGTACCCTGCTAGAACCAGGGATCCCGTCCCCCAACTCTCCCCCACGCCAGCACCAGCTCCCTGAGGAACTGGGCAGGCCCAGAGGGGTGGCTTTCAGTTCCCCGCTCTCCCTCCCCTGCCACAGTAGACGCCTCTAACGCCCTGCACCCAGGTGTCCCCTGCCAGACCTCATTGATGTATTCCAGCAGGTGGCGGAAGCTGTACGAGCTGTCGAAGAGCCCATGCACCACGATGACCGGCTTGTAGGACGCGCGGTGGGGCGCGGGGGCTGCAAGCAGCAGCAGCGGCAGGAAAGGCAACAGAAGCAGGACCCACGCCGCGGGGAGCCGCTGCCCCCAGAGCCCCAGCATGCTCCCGCCTGAGAAAGGGGTGATAAGGGCATGTGAGGGAGATGGCAACACCCTCCTCCCTCGGAACAGACGCCCGGCAATCAAGCCACCTCCTCTCGCTCCCACACCAGGTCCGTGTCACAAAATAGCCTACTTTTAACTTACTCCAGCCCTCTCCCTACAAACACACCCCCCCACCACGTTGACGCACCAACGCGCACCCGAAGTCCCGCCTCCAACTCAGCGTTCGGGGGACTTGTTCTCTAGGTCCAGGATCTTCCTAATGCATCGCCTCAGCCATGAACAACGCGGAGTTCTTTAATACCCGTGAGCAGCAGCCCAGGCCCCTTGAAGAGTGCAGACTCCCACCTGGCCTGGGTCCGTAGGCCTCGCTCCACCCGCTGTTTACTTATCCCAAGTCTGGAACCCACGGTGGCGGGGGGAAGGGTGAGGAAAGAGAGCGCAGGGGAATGACGGATGGGAGGGGGAAGGGCGGGCTGCTTGGGGTCGCGCAAATCCGTCACGTCCGGGGCTTTCTCTGGCAACCGCGCGAGCGTTCCCCGCAACACAGACCCAGGACAGGAGGGGCAATGGAATATTCCATTGCGCCCTAGGTGCTGGGGAGGAAACAGGCGGAGCGATCCATTTAGGCCAGTGGGGAGAGGAAAAAGCAGCAAACATATTCTGGGAATGGAAAGAAGGCCTCTCCAGGCTTCGTTGCCCCCAGCGACCCAAAAGTCCGATTTCCCCGCCTTGATTCTCCCCACTTCCCAATACAGGCGTCTGGCTCCGCAGCAGGACACGAAGTTTGCATTCCCCAAGGGGCGGCCAGGGGGCGGACCAGGGAAAGGTAGTCCTCTGCATTTTGCCGTGTGCTGGGTGAGTGGCAGGGTGGCCTGGAGGGCTGATGCCAGCCCGGGCGTGCCCCTCAACACCCACCCCACCCCACCCTCCAGTCCGCCCCAGGTCAGCGACTTACAACTCTTCATTCTGAAGTGCGTGTAGTGCCCTTGTCTCCAGAGACGCAGAGAGTCCTCGAGGCCCCTTGAGCTAAGTGCAGCCTGGCCCAGTTTCTCCTGCCCTACTCTACTCCCCTCCCTATAAGCGACCCACCCTCAAGGGGCGGAGGGCGCGTAGGGATGCGCTGACTCATGCCCGCGTAATTTCGACCAGTCTTTCAACCTGAACGACCCCCAGAATCTGGCTGTCTGAGTTATCTGTGGGTGGCTCCCTACCGAAACCCCCAGGCGCCCCACCTCTCCGCCTGTGACCCCTAACCGACACCCTAGTGCCTCAGGGCTTTTACTTGCTAGGGCTTTTACTTAGCATTTAAAGACGTTTCTCTAGAGATAAGGATTTCTCAGCATGTCTGAGCCCCTCTCTCTGTTTACAAGGTCATTGCTTGGTCTAAATTTGTCTCAATCAAAACATTTTTGCGCTCAGAATGGTGTAGAGTGACGATGAGGTGGCGGTAAGGGGTTGAGCGCTCACGCGAACGCCTAAGTGACCAGAACGACTGGTGTGAAGCCGTGATCTGACTCTGTGGAGCCTGGGACTGGTTTCAGCGAGAGCCTCTGTACTGCTCTGTAGTCTCTGCTAGGACATGGACGAAAAGGGACGCAGCCGGGAGAGCGACTGCCCCAGGTGGGGGCTGGGGGGACGTAAGGGAAGAATAATGATTATCTGGCTGTGTTTTTGTTTAAAAAAAAAAAAAAACTGGTGTAAATCTCCATAGACTTCCTATCCTCGCTCCCTTCACCCACCCACGCGCTCCCAAGATGCAATAAGCAAATAAAAAGACTAATAACGCTGTACTGCAGGTCGACTCAGGAGCTGGAGATGCGTCTTGGTGGGAGGTGGTGGGTGGGAGTAGGGGGGTTTAGGGAATGGATCTGAACATTGACCAGCCCAGAGACTCTAAGCAGCCTCAAAAGCAAAGGGAAAGTGGGGGAACAAGCACACATTACCAACAGAGCTGCCAGAAATGAGCAGTTAAGTCATACCCCCTACCCCCTCCAAAAGAGCTTCAGCTCCTTAGTCCTGGACGAAGAAGGTATGTATGCACACCGCCCAAACTCTCTCTCCCTTTTCCCTCCAAGGCCCAGCTCCCCCTGATTTACAGACCTGGGCCTCCCTCTTTACTGCTAGGTTGGTAGGTTCACCAAACCCTGGGAACTTTTCAGACCATCGCAGTTCTGAACTCTGCACAATTCTCTCTCACACACAAGTATTTATCTCTTCTAAAGAGGAGGAAACTGGGGCCAAGGATTTGGGAGAAGACCCTGGCACCTTGCAGGGAGCTAAGAGGGGGAGACGACCTGCCTCTGGAGGCACCTGGGTTATTAACTCCACTGAGAACCTGTTCACTTCCTCCCACAATACAATCACTGAGTCTTGGTGGGGGAGACTCCAGAGAGTTCTCCTTCCTTCCTTTCCTTAGTCCCACCCGCCTCGCCTGGTCTAGCCTCCGTGTTTCCATGACAACTCCAAAGGAGCCCAAACTGGGGGCTTGAATGCCGGGGTAAGAGGAGGAGAGAGGTGGTCCGAGAGCAGAGAGAGACCGAGTGGGAAACATCTGAAGCGCTCCCCCTCCCTCGCCTCGGTCCCTTTAAGCTCCCCCCCTCCCCGCTCTCCCTCCGCCCGCCCCCCCCGCCCCCCCCCCCCGCCGCTGCCTTCATCTCTCCATCTCTGCGCTGCTGCCGGCTGCGCCATCCAGCACCCAGACTCCAGCACCGGCCGAGGACCCCCACTCCGGCTGCAGGGACCCTGTCCCAGCGAGACCGCAGGCATGTCATCCGAAAAGTCAGGTAAAAACAATAACAAAACCTCCCACCCCCTCCACTGTCTCCAGACTCTCCGTCCCCCTTGCCCCAACCCCCTCCCTTACCCCTCCTCAGCTGTGGTTCTATTTCATTCCCCTTCTCTCCAGCTCTCAACACTCCCCCAGTCCCCCTCCTCTTTCTGTCTCCCCCTTTCTCTTCCTTTCCTCTTTCCAGTGGCAGCCTCTGCCCCTTGCCAACAACATGGTCAGGGGGGTAGGTTGAGAGGGTGAAGGAGGTACAGCCAGGTTTTGCAGGGATGGCATCATTGGGAGTGACAGATGGACAATCACTGGCTGGCATGGAGACATCCTGTGAGGAAATATGGAGACATGACCAGATGGGGGTTGTCAAGGGAGCAAAATCCAGAGGGCTCTTCTTAATCTGCCCTAAAAGAGGTCCCGAGATTCTCACAGAGGCTGGGGCACTCCTCCCCCCACTGAAGGAACAGCAGAGTGGAACACATGTCATCCCACATGTGTTTATACAACTGTTGAATTGAGCACATATTAACACAGGGTTGCATGTCTACGCATACGCACACACAGGACTAGCTCGGATAGGCCAGCCCAAAGGCAGCTATAGCAAAGGAGAGGGGATTAGGTCTGCAGGTGAGAGCTGGGTGCATGGTGATGAAAAAGACAGAAAAGAAGCAGACCAGAGTTGTGACCTCAAAACTAGATTGGAAGGAAGAAGGAGGGGGGCAGATGGCCTAGATACAGCCCCTCTCTTGCCCCTCAAATTAGAGATGGTTTCTCACCCGTCTCTCTCTATGTGTCTCTCCCATTATCTTTCTCCATCCCTGACCGGCTGTGTTTCCCCTTACCCCCTCCTCAACTCATCACTGTGTCATCTTTCCTCTTATACTCTCCTCCACTCACCTCCCCCAGGACTCCCAGACTCAGTCCCTCACACTTCTCCGCCGCCCTACAATGCCCCTCAGCCTCCAGCCGAACCCCCAGCCCCACCGCCACAGGCAGCCCCTTCCTCACACCATCACCACCACCACCACTACCATCAGTCTGGCACCGCCACCCTCCCGCGCTTAGGGGCAGGGGGCCTGGCCTCTTCCGCGGCCACCGCTCAGCGCGGTCCCTCCTCCTCTGCCACGCTGCCGAGGCCCCCCCACCACGCCCCTCCCGGCCCTGCTGCCGGGGCACCCCCACCCGGCTGCGCTACCTTGCCCCGCATGCCACCCGACCCTTACCTGCAGGAGACTCGCTTCGAGGGCCCACTTCCCCCGCCGCCGCCCGCTGCCGCCGCCCCGCCCCCGCCGGCGCCAGCCCAGACTGCCCAGGCCCCTGGCTTCGTGGTGCCCACGCACGCGGGGACTGTGGGCACGCTGCCGCTGGGGGGCTACGTAGCGCCCGGATACCCCCTGCAGCTGCAGCCTTGCACTGCTTACGTGCCGGTCTACCCGGTGGGCACGGTGAGTGCCGGGCAGACAGGGACATGGGAAAGAGGGGGACGCGATACAGGACTTGAAATTGGGGATACGCTGGGGGCTGGTAGGATAGAGGAACAAGGGCAGGGAACAGGTAGTGTTCCCGGGACAAGCCCTAGAAAGAAGGGAGCCTGAGACAGGAAGGACTAGGGAGAGACACGGGAGTAGGAGTCTACTGGTGCCCAGAGTCAGGGCCTGGGAGGGGGATCGGAGCCTAGAGGTTCAGAGGAGGTCTGAAAGTAGGAAACCGCCTGGCGGGGGACGGGGGGAATGGAAGCTGGGAACCAAGAGGGATGTGGGAGAAGCCTGGGACTAAGGGGGTAGGGGAGGCCTGGTAGGTGTCTGGAGGGAAGAAAGAAGGTCTGACCTGAGGCCAGGACAGCCCCAGTGGGACCATACCTTGCGGGAGAGAATGTAGAAAGCCCAAGAATATGGTGGTTAATGAAGCAAGGAAGGGAGGAGAGGGGCTTAGGTGGAATTTATGGGTGTCCTGGAAGGGTAATGGGTGCTTTATTTTGAGAAGCCATAGGTAAAAATTGTGCTTTTAAAGCCACTCTGCCAGCCGCCCAACGCTGGTAGGCTGGGAGAGGGTCAGAGTGATGCCCCTGCCCCCCAAATTTCCTTCCACAGCCATATGCAGGCGGGACCCCGGGGGGAACAGGAGTGACCTCCACTCTCCCCCCGCCGCCCCAGGGCCCAGGGCTGGCCCTACTGGAGCCGAGGCGCCCGCCACACGACTACATGCCCATCGCGGTGCTGACCACCATCTGTTGCTTCTGGCCTACTGGCATCATTGCCATCTTCAAGGCCGTGCAGGTAGGGGGCAGGGGCATACTCGGTTTGGGGGCGGGGACAGGGAGTTCTGGGCGTTCTGGGGACCATCTTAGAGAAAGGCTGAGGCGTTCGAACGAGGCCGCAGCTCTTTGACCTCCTTCCCCCACCCCTCCTCCGTAGGTGCGCACGGCCTTGGCCCGCGGAGACATGGTGTCGGCCGAGATCGCTTCACGCGAGGCCCGGAACTTCTCCTTCATCTCCCTGGCCGTGGGCATCGCGGCCATGGTGCTCTGTACCATCCTCACCGTAGTCATCATCATCGCCGCGCAGCACCACGAGAACTACTGGGATCCCTAAAAACGCCCCTGGTCCGGCCCCACTCTGCGCCCCTCGATCTCCCAGGCTCTTTCTGCAGTCATACCGCGGACCCAATGGGCGCCCTGCACACCCGTTTCTGGGGCCGTCAGACTTGGATACATCGTAAACTCCGCCTCCACGGAACGTCTCGCCTTGCGAGCAAGCTCGGAATCCAGTTCCTCAGGAACCCCTCCAAAACCCACACCCCCAGGGACGCCGCTTTCCGGGATCCCGGCCAAACGCCGGACCCTCAGTCGCTCCAGGCCCCCTCACCCTCAAAGTGTAGCGCCCCCAACCGAGCAACCTCGGTTTGGTCCCTAAAACCCCGCCTCCTCTATAAGCACCGCCCCAGCTCTGACAAAACCCCGCCTCCAGGTCGGCAGGCTCCGCCTTCTTTTCTTCTCCGCGGGGTGATTCAGTCCAGTGATTGGGTTTGTGGCTCCAGGCCTCGCCCACAGACGGACAGACCCCTCCCTTTCTTCCGGCAAAAGGACCGAGCCCTGGGGTAGTAAGGCCCCCACACTCCTGTTTTTTGCAAGTACATTTTTGTCCCTCCTCCACCCAGGTATCTGCCTATTTTCTTGCTAATCCCAGAACCTTTCCTTTTGCTTTTTTTAAGGACATTTGGGAAGTTCCTGGTGTAGGACCCTTCTCCCTGGGATAAGAAACCTGCCTGTAAACGCTCTGTAAATACTCCCTTCCACCCATCCCAGCCCCTGGGCAGCCGGGCAGAAGGGAATCCAGGCTATGGACCTCCCAAGTCCCCGCTCCCCGCTCCCCTCGGCGGCCCCGCCTTGTTCTGATCTGTGTGTGAGTGTGTGTGAACTTCTGAAAGACAATATTAAAGAGACTTAGTTGATTTATCGCCCGCAATTCCAAAGACTGCGGCCCCGCAAAGACCCTCCCCACTTTTGATTCCGCCTTTCACTTCCCTTCATCTCCTCTTCCAAGGAAAAAAAAAGAAAACCCGACAGAGACTAACGTGAGGGACACAGATTCCCAGATCGCCAGAGAGACACGTGAATATGGGGGACGGAGGGGAGCTCCCTGGGAATCCACCAAGGAAGACCTTGGGGTCCATTCTCAGTGAGGCTTTATTTTCTTAGTGAGGCTTTATTTCCCCAGTACCCCTTTTCCATTCCCTACTATCCCCAGAACTCCAGGAAGACAAGAGAACAGAGAGGGCAGACCATGGTGAAGAAGCTGGTCAAGGATAGAGTGATGGGGGCCAAGAAGAGATGCCAGCTGCCCATAGCTGTTCCTGACTGTGGGCTGGAGGGTGGCAGATAACTTGGATTAGAGCCCCACATGCTGGACTGTAGGGGGTATAGGAAAGGCAAAGAGAGCAGATTGCTGTGGGAGCCCAGGGAGGAGGTCAATGGCCTCTCAAGTCTCCCTGGGACTAGTTGCCCTCTCCTATCCTGAGGTCAACCAATAGGCCTCTTTTCTGAGGGGAGTGGTGATTAGGGGATGCTGCCAGCAGTGGGCTTGGGTCTTTGGTTGTACACCCACAGGACAGGGTCCTAACCTAATTTATGCATTTATGCAACATGCAGACTCCATGCTGGATGCTGGTGAGACATCCACCCAGACAGCAGGTGTGACCCCTGACCTCATGGAGCTTACAATCTAGAAGGGAAGCCATGCACTGAGATAGGAAATGTGATAGGAGATGTGGGAGGAGGGTGGGGTGAGGTGTGAATATCATGGGTTCGCCCTTGGATGTTTCGCATTTAATGTGCCTACCTTACCAAACTTCTTGAAAAACAGAATTCACGGCTGGGCACGGTGGCTAACACCTGTAATTCCAGCACTTTGGGAGGCCAAGGCAGGCGGATCACTTGAGGTCAGGAGTTCGGGACCAGCCTGGCCAACATGGTGAAACCCCATCTGTACTAAAAATAATAAATTAGCCGGGCATGGTGACGGGCACCTGCAGTCCCAGCTACTTGGAAGGCTGAGGCAGGAGAATCGCTTGAACTTGGGAGGCGGAGGTTGCAGTGAGCCAAGATCAAGTCATTGCACTCCAGCCTGGGCAACAAGAGCGAAACTCCATCTCAAAAAAAAAGGGGCAGGGGGGTGCGGAATATTGCTATCAGAGATATGTCTGTATCTGTCTTTTTTTCATACCCACTATTTCTTGACTTATTGGAATATGCATCCACACCCTATTCTCCTGAAACCTCCCTCTCAAATGGCAACCAATTACCCAGATCCCAAATCAATGGCATTTTCACAGTATTCTGCCTCTCTAAGCCCTCCCATGTTTGTCCCTTGACCCTGAATTCCCCACATACCCAGGTTCAAGAACGTATTACCTCCCTTCCCCCGACACACACACAGACCTCTAACCATTCCGCCTCTGCCTTCCCTCCTTGCTTTTTCTCCTCCCTTCCCCTAAGTGTCCATCTCTGATTTTTTTTCCTTCTCTGAGACTTTCCTTTGAAAAGCTCATTCACTCAACTCAGCTAATCAAATGCTTTTCCAACCTGTATTTTACATGCAGACGTTTTTTCCAGTGCCTGAAGATCATAGCCACATGGAAGATGCTTGCTGGTCCTCTAAAATCAACACATTCCAAAACAAACTGATGAAATGCCACAGAAAACCTGCTTCCCTGTCTCTGTTAATAGACCATTTTCCCAATCACTCTTCCTTATCTAGAAATTTGCCGCCTCCTCCCTCTCCCTCCTGCCTTATTTTTGGTGTGCTCTCAAGCCTAGTCAGTTCTGCCACCACAATGTCTTTTGAATCTGTAATTTTTCCCCAGCCCTTGCTGGAAAAATTACCTCATTAGGATTATTGCATCAGCTTTCCCAACAGGTCTCCCTACTTCCTACTTCTCCCTACCTCAAGTCTCCCTCCACACTATTGTCAGATCAGCCTCCCTAAACACACTTTCATAACTCCACTGCTCAAAAGCCCTTCAAGGTTCCCTATTGCCTACTCAATTATTTACAAAATTTTAATCTGGCCTTTAACACCTTCCATAATTTAAAATCATCCAGCTTCTCTGTTTATTCTAATTTCTAACCATACTGAATTACTCATCATTCCCACCTCCAGGTATTTGCCCAGCTGTTCCCAAATCTTAGACCTCCTTCCCAAATCTCTGCCTATTATAAACCAAATTGTTTGCAGCTTGTCACAAATTTCAGAGGCTTTAGACCACATCTAGGCTCTTGCTCATGATGTTCTCCCCCTCTTGACATCTGCCTCTCTACTTGGTCAAATTTTATTTACAATATCTTTCAAAGTCCGGATCAATTCATCCCTCACTGTAGCAAAAAGGTGTCTCTCTTTCCTCTGGGTTAGATTAAAGCAGTGGGTTTCCAAACAGAGCTTCAGGCATTCCTTGGAGCAACGGTTCTTACCCCAGGTTACACATTAGAATCCACTGGGGAGCACTGAAAAATCTGAAAGCCCATGTCGCATCCTAAAACAATTAAATCAGAATCTCTGGGCTCAGTGCCAGTGGCTCACACCTGTAATCTCAGCACTCTGGGAAGTCGAGGCAGGAGGATCGTTTAAGCCCAGGAGTTCGAGACTAGCCTGGGCAATATGGTGAGACCCCATCTCTACAAGAAAGTTTAAAAACTAGCCTAGGCCAGATCGAGACCATCCTGGCTAACATGGTGAAACCGCGTCTCTACTAAAAATACAAAAAAATTAGCTGGGTGTGGTGGTAGGTGCCTGTAGTCCCAGCTACTCAGGAGGCTGAGGCAGGAGAACGGCATGAACCCGGGAGGTGGAGCTTGCAGTGAGCCGAGATCGTGCCATGCACTCCAGCCTGGGCAACAGAGCGAGACTCCGTCTCAAAAAAAAAAAAAAAAAAAAATTAGCCTAGGCCGAGCGCGGTGGCTCACACATATAATCTCAGCACTTTGGGAGGCCGAGGTGGGTGGATCACCTGAGGTCAGGCGTTCAAGACCAGCCTGGCCAACGTGGTGAAACCCCGTCTCCACTAAAACTGCAAAAATCAGCCGGGTATGGTGGCACATGCCTGTAATCCCAGCTACTCAGGAGGCTGAGGCAGAAGAATCGCTTGAACCTAGGAGGCGGAGGTTGCAGTGAGCCCAGATTGCACCACTGCACTCCAGCCTGGGTGGCAGAGAGGCACTCAGTCTCAAAAAGAAAAAGAAAAAAAAAATTTAGCCGAGCCCCATGGCTCACCTGTAGTCTTAGCTACTTGGGAGGGTGAGACGGGAGGATTGCTTGGGCCTGAGGGGCAGAGGCTTCAGTGATCAGAACACGGTGCTCCAGCCTGGGCAACAGAGTGAGACCCTATCTCAAAACAAACAAAAAAGAATCTCTGGGGGTGGAACTCTGGCATCAGTATTTAAGACATAACCAGGTGATTCCAAAGGGCAGCCAAGGTTGGGAATCACAGGTTTACAGACACTTTAAGGACCACCCAGGGAGAATGGAAAGGCCAAAAAATGACTTCAACCCGGGCAATTTTCTTTAGGAGAAAAGTATCTAGATCTAAGATTCATGTTATCTGCATATTTTCTCATCTCTTCCCACCTGATATCTTGACATACACAGTTTACCTTGTGAGCTACTTGAAGGCAAGAGTCAAATCTGGCTTATCTCTGTTTTTCAGATCCTCATCAGATAAAACCTCCTCTACCAATCTTTGAACTCAATTGAATTGAAAGGAATCAGGCAAAGGGAGAGATGAATAAAAAATGACTTAGCTTTCTTTTGCTTTTCCTTAGGAATGTTTGTTTCTTAATCTCAGATCTCTTAACCTCACCCAGACTCCTCCCTCATGAGGAAATAAAATGTTACAATGTGTGGCCGGGCGCGGTGGCTCACTCCTGTAATCCTAGCACTTTGGGAGGCCGAGATGGGCGGATCACGAGGTCAGGAGATCAGGACCATCCTGGCTAACACGGTGAAACCCCATTTCCACTAAAAATACAAAAAATTAGCTGGGTGTGGTGGCAGGCACCTGTAGTCCCAGCCACTTGGGAGGCTGAGGCAAGAGAATGGTGTGAATCCCGGAGGCAGAGCTTGCAGTGAGCCGAGATTGTGCCACTGCACTCCAGCCTGGGCAACAGGGCGAGACTCCGTCTCAAAAAAAAAAAAAAGTTACAATGTGATCCTCTTCCTATCTGACTCACCTCCCTCTGCAGGTGATACCCTTGGCTGTGGCACCTCTACTGACAGAGACTCCATCCTCTAGGAGAGGCTCTGCCCTCCCATAACATCTGTATGGGTGCTCTCATACAGATGGGGGAAAACCATGATTAGATTCTGGGTCATCATTCCCCCTCTACAATGGAAGATTCAGCACCTGATCACTCTACTTCCACCGCTCATTTCATTTTCTTCTTTTTATTATTTATTTATTTATTTTTGAGATGGAGTTTTGCTCTTCTCGCCCAGGCTGGAGTGCAGTGGCGCAATCTCGTCTCACTGCAACCTCCGCCTCCTGAGTTCAATAGATTCTCCTGCCTCAGCCTTAGTAGGTGTGATTACAGGCATCTGCCACCACGCCCAGCTAATTTTTGTATTTTTACTAGAGACAGGGTTTCACCATGTTGGCCAGGCTGGTCTTGAACTCCTGATCTTAGGTTATCTGCCTACCTCGGCCTCCCAAAGTGCTGGGATTACACACGTGAGCCACCGAGCCCAGCCTCTTTTTCTTTTTTCTTTTTTTTCTGAGGCAGGGTCTCGCTCTGTCACCCAGGCTGGAGTGCAGCAGCAGGATCATAGCTCACTGAGCTTCGATCTCCCGGTCTCAAGTGATCCTCCCAGCTAATTTTTTTTATTTTTATTTTATTTTTTTTTTTTGAGATGGAGTCTGGCTCTGTCGCCCAGACTGGAGTGCAGTGGCACAATCTCAGCTCACTGCAACCTTGCCTCCTGGATTCAAGCAATTCTCTGCCTCAGCCTCTGAGTAGCTAGGATTACAGGCGCCTGCCACCACGCCCGGATAAATTTTGGGTTTTTTTTTTTTTTTTTTTTGAGACAGAGTCTCACCCTGTCGCCTAGCCTGGAGTGCAGTGGTGCGATCTCGGCTCACTGCAAGCTCTGCCTCCCGGGTTCATGCCATTCTCCCGCCTCCCACCTCAGCCTCCCAAGTAGCTGGGACTACAGGCACCTGCCACCATGCCCAGTTAATTTTGTTTTTGTATTTTTAGTAGAGACGGGGTTTCACCGTGTTAGCCAGGATGGTCTCAATCTCCTGACCTGGTGATCCGCCCTCCTCACCCTCCCAAAGTGCTAGGATTACAGGCTTGAGGCACCGCCCCTGGCCTGTTTTTTTGTTCGTTTGTTTTTGTTTTTTTTGGACGGAATTTTGCTCTTGTTGCCCAAGCTGGAGTGCAATGGTGCCATCTCAGCTCACTGCAACCTCTGCCTCCCAGGTTCAAGCGATTCTCCTGCCTCAGCCTCCTGAGTAGCTCGGATTACCGGCGTGTGCCACCATGCCCGGCTAATTTTTTGTATTTTTAGTAGAAATGGGGTTTCACCATATTGGTCAGGCTGGTCTCAAACTCTTGACCTCGTGATCCACCCGCCTCGGCCTTCCAAAGTGCTGGGATTACAGGCATAAACCACTGCGCCTGGCCTCTGGCCTTTGATATTTAATAGAGATGAGGTCACACTGTGTTGCCCAGGACAGTCTCGAACTCCTGAATTCACACAATCTGCCTGCCTCAGCCTCCCAAAGTGCCGGGATTATAGGCATGAGCTACAGTGCCTGGCCCCGTTTTATTATTTTTGTTTTCAATGTTCATGCAGATTCTCTAGCACCCTGCCCTTCTCTTGCAGTGATTTATTTCTCCCTGCTTCCCTCTCGCCCTATGTCATACCTTCAACTTGGTTGCCACCAATACCTACTGCCCTTCTAAAATCTCATCCTCAGTCTTTTCATGTTGCTCCCCAGTACCCCTATCCCAAAAATTCTTCAACCCCATCTGGGCCTCCCATCCACTAACTTACTTTTCATTGTTTGATCTCAATTCTTCACTTTCCTCATTACCCAGTTTAGATTCCAAGGTTCAACATGGTAATCGCCTCTCAGCCCTCACCCTGTACTCCTGGCCCCCCTTCCTCTGGCACATTTTATCCCTGGTCAAATCCCACTCTGCCTGCTCCACACCTGCATTCAACAGCTGGGGAGAAACACACAGTCATACTGACTGGTCTTGCTTCCTGCGGGCCCTCAGTGTGGCATGCCAGCTCGCCTTTCCCTACTCAGTTCACATTCCCCAAATCTGAGACCACAACTTCACAAGATGATGACTTTTCTTCCTATTTCAGTGAGAAAACAGAAACTTTCAGAAGGGAACTTCCTCATGTTCCCACCCCAAATTCACCAGTCTACCTGCAACTCTACCGCAGAGAAGCTGACATGCACCCACCTGCCACCTCATCTGTACCCCGGGATCCTGTTCCCTCTCACCTGCTCAGAGATGTTATTCCTGAAATTATCCCCTATCTCTCTCTCTCTCACTTAATCAGTTTACCCCTCTGTACTGCAACACTCCCATCATTATGCAAACATGCTATAAAATTATACTTCATCTCTGAAAAGAAAGAAAAAAACTGTTTCGCTACTCACCTAGGTAGTAAAAGCACAACATTCAGAGAATGGTGCTTACCCTTTGGCAGAAAAGCAATCTGGAAAGGGAAATTCAGGGAGCCTTAACTATACTGGGGAAGATTTTACCTCTTGTTTTTGCTTTCTTTTTTTTTTTTTTTTTTTTTGAGATGGAGTCTCCCTCTGTCACCCAGGCTGGAGTGCAATGGCACGATCTCAGCTCACTGCAACCTCCGCCTCCCGGGTTCAAGCGATTCTCCTGCCTCAGCCTCCCAAGTAGCTGGGATTATAGGCACGCACCACCACACCTGGCTAATGTTTTAGTAGAGACAGGATTTCACCATGTTAGCCAGGCTGGTCTCCAACTCCTGACCTCAGGTGATCCGCCCACCTCAGCCTCCCAAAGTGCTGGGATTACAGGTGTGAGCCACCTTGCCCTGATGGGAAGATTTTACTTCATAAGCTGCCTGATGTTCACAAAATTATTCTTTGTAATACATATATATTTATGCATATAAATTATAATTTTATATGTATAAAATAATGCATTTATTTTTAAATTTAAAAACTCTTCCCTGACCCAGCTCACTCCCTCAGTGTTCCACTTCTCTCTCCACTTAACAAAACTTCTCACTGCCTCTACTTTCTCACCTCTCATTCACTCTTGAATTTCTCTCAATCAGGCTCTCATCCCCACCACTTTACTTAAACCACATGTCAGAGTCACAAATGACCTCCAAGTTTCTAAACCCAATGGTCAAGGGTCAGTTTGTGGCAGGCCAATTCTCCCTGACAGTCACACAGACAGGCCTGCATAGCACCCCAGTTACACAGACAGATTTCCACAGCATTGCCTTAACATTGAGCAAATAGTTAAACCTAGGGGAATTGGTGTACAGACATCAAAGCTAGAAATGAAACACATGGTGAGTAAGAGCCTTGCATGGGCTTCTCCCTTGCTGGAGCAAGTCAAAATAACAGAGACAGCCTTACATTCCTAGTGCCAGGACTCGTCTCGGGTCGACGATATCTGAGACAAGTCAAGGTAACAGAGGCAGCTGTTTGAATAGATTCATTGGAGAATCTAAGGCAGCTCTCCGCACCAAGCTGTAAAGGAGATAAGATAGAAATAATCACTCTGGTACCACAGTAAACAGGCCTTGAAGGTACTGGGGCCCTCACAGCTTAATCAGACTTAGCAAGAATTTTTTTGCCTCTGACCCTCTAGTTGAAACAAAATTAGTTACTGATAGACTTTGGTGAATGCCATACTGCATGTAGGCATATAACCTAAACCTGTATAAACACTAAGAAAATAGTAACACTGGCCGGGTGTGGTGGCTCACACCTGTAATTCTAGCACTTTGGGAGGCCGAGGTGGGTGGATCACAAGGTCAAGAGATCGAGACCATCCTGGCCAACATGGTGAAACCCTGTCTCTACTAAAAATACAAAAATTAGCTGGGCGTGGTGGCACGCGTCTGTAGTCCCAGCTACTCGGGAGCCTGAGGCAGGAGAATCATTTAAACCCAGGAGTCGGAGGTTGTGGTGAGCCAAGATCGCACCACTACACTCTAGCCTGGCGACAGAGCGAGACTCCGTCTCAAAAAAAAGAAAAAAAGAAAATTGTAACACTTTGAGTTGGTCTGGTGGAATTATCTCCGACCCTTTCCCTGTATCCGGTGACAGCAACAAATTCCCTTCTTTCCTAGTTTGTCTGCTTCTCGTTATTGGGCCACGAGAAAACACAGCCAAACCTGGCTTAGTTCCAGGAATAAGTTCTCAACTAGAGTCTAAACTAGGGTTTCTCAGTTTCAGGGATTATTGACATTTTGGGTCAGATAGTTCTTTGTCATGGGGGTCTGACCTGTGCATTGTCTTGCCAAGTATCTCCTGTGGGACATCTTGACCAGTGGTTTTCAAGAGTGGGTGATCCTCCCATCCCACCCCCAGGAACATTTGGCAATGTCTAGAGTTGTTTCAGTTATCACAACTGAGGAGGTGCTCCTAGCGTCTAGTGAGCAGCGGCCAGGCATGCTGTTAAACTCCTTGCAACTGGAGGACACAATAAATAATTATTTCACAGCCATAGTAAAGAATGAAATTGGCCGGTCGCGGTGGCTCACGCCTGTTATCCCACCACTTTGGGAGGCCGAGGTGGGCAGATCACCTGAGGTCAGGAGTTTGAGACCAGCCTGGCCAATGTGGTGAAACCCCGTCTCTACTAAAAATATCAAAATTAGCCAGGCATGGTAGCACGTGCCTGTAATCCCAGCTACTCAGGAGGCTGAGGCAGGAGAATCGCTTGAACCTGGGAGGCGGAGGTTGCAGTGAGCCAAGATCATGCCATTGCATTCCAGCCTGAGCGACAAGAGAAAAACTCCATCTCAAAAAAAAAAAAAAAAAAAAAATGAAATCATGTCCTTTGCAACAACGTGGATGAAGCTGGAGGCCATTATCCTAAGTGAACTAACTCAAACATAGAAAACCAAATATTTGGCTGGGTGTGACGGCTCATGCCTGTAATCCCAGCACTTTGGGAGGCCGAGGCAGGTGGATCACTCGAGCTCAGCAGTTCGAGACAAGCCTAGTCTCTACCAAAAACACAAAAAATTAGCTGGGCATAGTGGTATGTGCCTGTGGTCCCAGCTACTTGGGAATCTGAAGTGGGAGGATCACTTGAACCAGGGAGGCAGAGGTTGCAGTGAGCTGGAGTCACACCACTGCACTCCAGCCTGGGTTACAGAGTGAGACCCCATCACGGGAAAAAAAAAAAAAAAAAAAAAGTCGGGCACAGTGGCTCACGCCTGTAATCCCAGCACTTTGGGAGACAGAGGCGGGCAGATCACCTGAGGTCAGGAGTTCGAGACCAGCCTGGCCAACACGGCAAAACCCCGTCTCTACTAAAAACATGAAAATTAGCCTGACATGGTGGCGTGAGCCTGTAATTGCAGCTACTCAGGAGGCTGAGGCAGGAGAATCACTTGAACCTGGGGCGAGGAGGAGGTTGCAGTGAGCAGAGATAGCGCCACTGCACTCCAGCCTGGGCAACAGAGTGAGGCTCCATCTCAAAAAAAAAAAAAATTTACCTATTGGGTACAATGTTCACTATTTGGGTAACAGGTACACCACTAGAAGCCCAATCCCCACCAGGATGCAATGTAATCATGTAACAACCAACCAGGTGTACTGCTTGGGTTTAAAATTGTGGGGGAAAAAAAAGAAAAGAAAGAAGAAAAAAATTATCCTGCCAGGTGCAGTGGTTCATATCTGTAATCCCAGCACTTTGGGAGGCTGAGGCAGATGGATCACTTGAGTTCAGGAGTTTGAGACCAGCCTGGACAACATAAGGAGTCCCCATCTCTACAAAAAATTAAAAAATTATCTGGGCATAATGGCACACACCTGTGGTCCCAGCTATTTGGGAGGATGAGGTAGGAGGATCACTTGAACCTGGGAAGTCGAGGATGCAGTGAGCCATGGTAACCCCACTGCACTCCAGCCTAGGCAACAGGCTGTCTCAAAAACAAAAAAGAAAGAAAGCATTCCCTAGTTCCTTATTTACTGCTCCTTCTCAGTCTTCACTGACAGCTCCTATTCCTTTTCCAGACCTTTAAATATTAGAGAGCCTCTGGACTCTATTCTTGGCCCTCTCCTCTACCCTAATCCAAGCTCCCATGATTCCATTGTCCCTTCCTTTGTCCCTTAATTGGATTTTCTGCTTCTATTTTTTACTGATGTGGCCTACCCTCTATGAAGAAACCAGAGTGATCTTTAAAATTACCAGATGATATCATTTACCTGCTCAAAACCCTCTGATGCCTCCTGATCACATGTGGGACAAAATAAAAAGTCCTTCCCATGGCCTATGAAGCCTACCTGGCCTTGTTTCTCCCCACCTCTCTGTCTTCATCCCTTACCACTCTTTCCCTTGCTCACTCTGCTCCACTCACTCTGACCTCCTTTCTGAATTTAACATAAAAATCCAATTCCTTTCTACCTCAGGGCCTTTGCACTCTCTTTTTCTTTTCCTGGACACTCTCCCTCCAGATACTTGCATGACTGCTCCTTTATGTCATTTATATCTGCACAAACATCACCTCCACAAGGAGGCTTTCCCTCATCACTTGATTAAATATAGTACCATGGCCAGGCACAGTGGCTCTTGCTTATAATCTCAGCACTTTGGGAGGCAGAGGCAGGAGGATTGCTTGAGGCCTGGAGATTGAGACCAGCCCAGGCAACATAGTGAAACCTCGTCTCTAAAAAAAAAAAAAAAAATTAGCCAGACATGGTGGCATGAACCTGCAGTCCCAGCTACTCATGAGGCTGCGGTGGGAGGATCACTTAAGCCCAGGAGGTCAAGGCTGCGGTGAGCCATGACCACACTACTGCACTCCAGCTTGGGCAACAGAGCAAGACTCTATAAATAATAATAATAATCATCATCAATAAATATAGCACCATGCATACCTGGGAGCACTTTCTATCCCATTCCCTTACCCCTCACCCTGCTTCATGGTGTTCATAGCACTTGTTAGTGCCTGACATTGTATTAAATTTTATTGATTTTTTTATCGTCTGTCATCTTCAATTCAATGTAAGTTACCAGAGATCCAAGGCTTTTTCCACTGCCTTATTCCCAGCATGTAGCACAGTGCTTGGTACAAAGGAGGCCCTCAGTAAAGATTTCTTGGCTGGGCGCAGTGGCTCACGCCTGTAATCCCAGCACTTTGGGAGGCTGAGGTGGGCGGATCGTGAGGTCACAAATCCGAGACCAGCCTGACCAACATGGTGAAACCCTGTCCCTACTAAAAAAAATACAAAAGTTAGCCGGGCGTGGGGGTGCACACCTGTAGTCCCAGCTACTCAGGAGGCTGAGGCAGGAGAATCACTTGAACCCAGGAGGCGTAGGTTGCAGTGAGCCGAGATCACGCTACTGCACTCCAGCCTGGGTGACAGAGCGAGACGTCATCTCAAAACAGCAACAAGAACAAAAACCAACCAACCAAACAAACAAAATTCTTTGAATCACTGAATGAATAAGTAGTTCATAGAGTTGTGTGAGAGAAAAATAGCTAATATATACAAGACATTTAGAACAATGCTGAGTATTACGGTCATAATGCATGGCCAGCGTTTAGTAAGGTGAAGCTGTTATCATTAAACACTTCACTGCCAAAAAGGCTGCCTCCCTCCTGCTTGAAAACCCTGACTATAAGGGAAGCACAGCAAAATGCTTTGGGACCAAAAAGGAGGGAGGAACGATTTTGACACAAATCCCAGCAAAACTAAAAGCCACAGAAACCACCAAAGCTAAACAGAAGGGGAAATTTATTTAGCTTTTGGAAAGCTAGAATTTTTGTCTCTCATGCAGATAATAAATGGAAGAGAATAAGTGCAGCATATGGTTCCATGTGGTGAGTATAGAACGCAGGGGAATGTGAGAGTGTAAAAACTTCCAACCAGCTCAATGCCTGGTGACAGGGCAGCACAAAGGAGTATTGGAATAGCCTGGGAAAACTGAGACTCACAGACTGGAGAGGAATAATCCTGGGTGTTAAGTGGCTTTCCTTACTTCTCCTACCTTGTGCTGCTTCTTCCACCTGCAATAAATCTCTTCCATTTCTTTTTCTTTTTCTTTTTTTCTGTTTTGTTTTGTTTTGTTTTGTTTTTTGAGATGGAGTCTTGCGCTGGCGTCATGCTGGAGTGTAGTGGCGCCATCTTGGCTCACTGCAACCTCCGCCCCCTGGGTTCAAGCGATTCTCCTGCCTCAACCTCCCAAGTAGCTGGGACTACAGGCACATGCGACCACGCCCAGATAATTTTTGTATTTTTAGTAGAGACGGGGTTTCACCATGTTAGCCAGGATAGTCTCGATCTCTTGACCTTGTGATCCACCCGCCTCAGCCTCCCAAAGTGCTGGGATTACAGGCATGAGCCACCGTGCCCGGCAGTCTCTTCCATTTCTGCATATCAAATTTGCGGCCCTCTTTCAAGTCTCAACTCTCTGAAGCCATCCATGAGGTATTTTCAGATCAACCCCAGTTGAAAATAACTCCCCTGCCACTTATCACTTTTTCCTTTGCATCTGGAGCATTGGCTAATCTGACTTTTCACTCTCATTAGATTACTGGTGGGGATTCTCCGTATTTGTCTCCATATTTCACTGGCAAATTCTGGGTATTCAATAAGGGCTACTGAATGAATAAGAAAAAAATTCTACTTCATCCATTTAGAGGGCAAGCATCATATGCTCTGTGTGCAGGAACAAGATGAAACAACCACTAGCTGGCAAACTACCTCAAGCCAGCTCCTGAACCTCTCCTTGGGTTCTG
The DNA here is from genome assembly GCF_000001405.40 of Homo sapiens. NCBI lineage: Eukaryota > Metazoa > Chordata > Mammalia > Primates > Hominidae > Homo > Homo sapiens. Next base: position 3,451,532 of record NT_167249.2, on the reverse strand, counting down.
CCTCAGGTTAACTCTTTTTTTTTTTTTTTTTTTTTTTTTTAAAAGACAGGGTCTCACTCTGTTGCCCAGGCTGGGGTACAGTGGTGTGATCCTAGCTCACTGCAGTCTCAACTCCTGGGCTCAAGTAATCCTTCCGCCTTAGCCTCCTGAATAGCTAGGACTACAGGTGCACCACCCTGCCTAGCTAATTTTTATTTTGTAGAGGCAGGGTCTCTATGTTGCCCAGGCTTCAGGTTAGGTCTTGAATGAAGGCAAACAATGCCCTTCTGGGATAGAACAAGGAGAATAACAGAGTATGGCCAGTTTCTCTGAGCCATCTTAGAAGGGGAGGACCCAGAAAAAAGGAAGGAGGGAAGTGACTCCAGGTAAGATGTAAATATATTTGCAGGTAAATCCCCAGAAACTTGTCAAATATGGTTTCCCTCAGTCCAATTTTCTTCACTTAAAGGAGTGGAGAATTGTTCCAAAATGGAGTTAACATTCTGCAATCATAGAGAGCAGAATTATTGCCCTCCTCCCAAGTTCTTGCATTCTCCTAGATGTCTCTTTGACCTTTTTTTTTTTTTTTGAGACGGAGTTTCACACTATTGCCCAGGTTGGAGTGCAATGGTGTGATCCTGGCTCACTGCAACCTCTGCCTCCCAGGTTCAAGCGATTCTCCTGCCTCAGCCTCCCAAGTAGCTGGGATTACAGGCGCCCGCTACCACACCTGGCTAATTTTTATATTTTATTAGTAGAGATGGGGTTTTACAATGTTGACCAGGCTGGTCTCGAACTCCTGACCTCATGTGATCTGCCCGCCTTGGCCTCCCAAAGTGCTGGGATTACAGGCGTGAGCCACTGCACCTGGCCCTCTTTGACCTTCTTAACCCAGAGTCTCACTTTTCGAGAGGTTTCTGTGTAGCAAGACGGGGTAAGTATGTCCCATTTGCATTCACACGATTTCTGGAGGTATTGGTGATGTTGGTCCCTGCAACACCAAAGGAAGAGAGGGAGCAGAGGACAATTTGTAGTGACAAGAAGAGACTGGATCCAGTCCCTTGGGGAAGAAGATTCCTTTTCATCTCTTCCTCTCATGCCTGCTCATCTTCCATTTCATTCTCAAATCTTTAGGGGAAAGGGAGAGGAGAGAGACATTGCTGTTTCCCCACTTTCCAGTCCAAGCATCTATCCCAACAGATAAGCAAATTTCACTTGTCATCCTCTTTATGTATCTTTCTCAAATGTCTTGTTCTCTAGCCAGGCTTAAGGATATAATCTTCCTGGTTTGTGGCTCTCTTTCGTCTTGATTCCTTGATGACTGCCTCCAAAGAGCTGAGCTCTGGCACAATTAGACTTGAGGAAGATAGTGTGAGTCAGTCAACAAGCATGTAGTATCTACACTTTGGGGGAGAGCCTATACTCTTTCTTATTTCTTTTTTTACAAATTATTATTTTGAGACAGAATTTCTCAAATTCCTTTCTACCTCAGGAAAGGAAAGGAAATTGGATAAGGCGACTTTGTCGCCAGGCTGAAGTGCAGTGGTGTGATCTCGGCTCACTGCAACCTCTGCCTCCCGGGTTCAAGCGATTCTCCTGCCTCAGCCTCCTAAGTAGCTGAGACTACAGGCACACACCTCCACACCAGCCTAATTTTTGTATTTTTAGTAAAGACGGGGTTTCACCATGTTGGCCCGACTGGTCTCAAACTCCTGACCTCGAGTGATCCACCCACCTTGGCCTCCCAAAGTGCTGGGATGACAGGCATGAGCCACTGCGCCTGGCCACTCTTTCCTATTTCTGAATCTTCACAGGTTGTTGGTCCCTTCCTAGTCCTGTGTTTCTCAAGTTAAGACTAGGGGGAATCTACAGGTCCATGGCTATCTTCTCTGGGGAACTCTTCTAAAACTTTAAGTTTGTGCTTACCTCTTGATGGGCCATATTTTTAAAAAGAGAAATATTTTCATACATGATGATTTGGATTAGGTTTTTTTTAGGGGTTTCAATGCCTATATTTGTATTTGTGTTTATTTATTTATTTATTTTTTGAGACAGTCTTGCTGTGTCGCCCAGGCTGGAGTGCAATGGTGTGATCTTGGCTCACTGCAACCTCCGCCTCCTGGGTTCAAGCGATTCTTCTGTCTCAGCCTCCCAAGTAGCTGGGACTATAGGCGTGTGCCACCACGCCAGGCTAATTTTTGAATTTTTAATAGAGACGGAGTTTCACCATATTGACCTTGTGATCCGCTCGCCTCGGCCTCCGTGCAGTGGCGCGATCTCAGCTCACTGCAACCTCCGCCTCCCAGGTTCAAGCGATTCTCCTGCCTCAGTCTCCTGAGTAGCTGGGACTACAGGCATGCGCCACACCAGCTAATTTTTGTATTTTTAGTAGAGACGGGGTTTCACCATGTTGGCCAGGCTGGTCTCAAACTCCTGACCTAAAGTGATCCGCCTGCCTTGGCGCCGTGGCTCACGCCTGTAATCCCAACACTTTGGGAAGCCGAGGTGGGCAGATCACTTCTGGTCGGGAGTTTGAGACCAGCCTGGCTGACATGGTGAAACCCCATCTTCACTAAAAATACAAAAATTAGCCAGGCATGGTGGCAGGTGCCTGTCATCCCCGCTACTTGGGAGGCTGAGGCAGGATAATCGCTTGAACCTGGGAGGCAGAGGTTGTAATGAGCCGAGATCTCGCCAGTGCACTCCAGCCTGCGTGACAGAGTGATACTCCGTCTCAAAAAAAACAAAAAACAAAAAAACAAAAACAAACAAACAAAACCAGGGAGAGAATTGTTTTGACACAAGTCTTTGGCTAATGATGAAACCGTCTCCCTTCCTGGCTGTCCTGGCATGGTTTTTATAGTCTGAGGCACAATGGTGAGAGCAAACTTAAGAGGGAGCCAAAGTGAGGTACTCAAGAGAGGGATCCTTCTTTCCTGGAGAACTGTGGTAGCCCAGGCTGTGTAGGTAGCTGGACAAGCAAGACTGAATCACAATAGGTCTCTACATCTTCTATTAGGAGGAGAACCTGCAACATCCAGTGGAGCAGGTCACACCAGTTATACATGTAAAATGTAGGATAAACTAAAGGGGCACAGAGCCAGGGGAGAAGACAATGGGATGAGACTGTTCTAGAATCTCATCCCATTGGTTCATTGCTGGGTGTGGTGGCTCACACCTATAATCCCAGCACTTTGGGAGGCTGAGATGGGATGATGGCTTGAGGCCAGGAGTTTGAGACCAGCCTGGTAAACACAGCAGACCCCATCTCTCTAAAAAAAAAAAAAAAAAAAGAAAAACATACGGCTTATGAACCAGCAGCATCTGCATTAACCAGCTTATTGAAATGCAGAATCACAGGCCCCACAACAGACTTCCTAAATCATAATCTGCAACTTAACAAGTTCCCTAGGTGATATGTATGCACACTTATGTTTGAAAAGCACTAAGATTTCTTGATGAAGGAGGACTTGAAAGGCAATGATGGATGTGAAAGGAAAGGTAAAGAGAAGCCTCAGGTAGTCACCCAAGGGACAGGGCCGGTTGGAGAGAGAGTCCCGAGGTTTTATCCTGGAGAACACCCTGTACTGAATGAGCTCTGAACATAAAGATAGTTAGCATAGGAGGGCCTGAAGTCTCCAGATAAAAGGCTGCTGCCACTATCATTTACCACGACCTCTGCCATTCTCCACTCTATTGTCATCCGCCCCCAGTCTCCATTCCAGGACTTCTCTACACTTTGACTTTTTGTTTGTTTGTTTGTTTGTTTGAGACGGAGTCTTGCGCTGTCGCCCAGGCTGGAGCGCAGTGGCACGATCTTGGCTCACCGCAAGCTCCGCCTTCCGGGTTCATGCCATTCTCCTGCCTCAGCCTCCCGGGTAGCTGGGACTATAGGTGCCCGCCACCACGCCCAGCTAATTTTTTGTATTTTTAGTAGAGACGGGGTTTCACCATGTTGTCCAGGCTGGTCTCGAACCCCTGACCTCAAGTGATCCCCCCGCCGCCCCGCCCCCTCCCCCCCGCCCCGCCCCCCCCCGCCGCCTCGGCCTCCCAAATTGCTGGGATTACAGGCGTGCGCGATGCCCGGCTTTTTATTTATTTATTTATTTATTTTTGAGGCGGGAATCTTGCTCTGTCGCCAGGCTGGATTGCAGTGGCACCATCTCGGCTCACTGCAACCTCCGACTCCCTGGTTCAAGCGATTCTCCCACCTCAGCCTCCCAAGTAGCTGGGATTACAGGCACACGCCACCATGCCCAGCTAACTTTTTGTATTTTTAGTAGAGACGAGATTTCACCATGTTGCCAGGATGGTCTCGATCACCTGACCTCGTGATCCGCCCACCTCAGCCTCCCAGAGTCTCAGTTGCCAAAGCTGGAGTGCAATGGCGCGATCTCGGCTCACTGCAACCTCCGCTTCCCAGGTAAGCCATTCTCCTGCCTCAGCCTCCTGGGTAGCTGGGATATAGGCGCCCGCCATCACGCCGAGCTATTTTTGCATTTTTAGTAGAGACGGGGTTTCACCATGTTGGCCAGGCTGGTCTTGAACTCCTGACCTCAACCTCCCAAAGTGCTGGGATTACAGGCGTGAGCCACCGCGCCCGGCCCACCTTTTTTTTTTTTTTTTTTTTTTTTTTGTTTGAGACGGAGTCTCTAGTCTCGCTCTGTCGCCCAGGCTGGAGTGCAATGGTGTGATCTCGGCTCACTGCAACGTCTGTCTCCCGGGTTCAAGCGATTCTCCTGTTTCAGCCTTCCGAGTAGTTGGGATTACAGGCGCGCGCCACCATGACCTACTAATTTTTGTATTTTTAGTAGAGACAGGGTCTCACCATGTTGGCCCACTTTGACTCTTGAGCAGCCTGGCC